>NC_000004.12:158618350-158921381 GCF_000001405.40 Homo sapiens | reverse complement strand
CAACCTCTGCCTCCCGGGTTCAAGCAATTCTTGTGCCTCAGCCTTCCAAGTAGCTGGAATTACAAATGCATGCCACCATGGCTGGCTAATTATTTTTGTATTTTTAGTAGAGACGGGGTTTCACCATATTGGACAGGCTGGTCTTGTACTCCGGACCTCTGGTGATCTGCCTGTCTTGGCCTCCCAAAGTGCTGGGATTACAGGCTTGAGCCACTGTGCTCAGCCTACACTTTCTAACAACCAGATCTTGTGAGAACTCTGTCACGAGACAGCACTAGGGGGATTATCAGGGGAACCTGCCCCCAATATTTCAACGTAGGTTCTTTCTATTTTTCCATAAGTGTCAGCTGGCTAAGAAATAAAGAGAAAGAGTATAAACAGAAGAATTTTACAGCTGGGTCGCCAGGGGTGACATCACATATCGGTAGGACCGTGATGCCCACCTGAGCCTCAAACCAGCAAGTTTTTTATTAAGGGTTTCAGAAGGGGAGGGGGTGTAAGAACAGAGTAGGTACAAAGATCACATGCTTCAAAGGGCAAAAAGCAGAACAAAGATCACATGCTTCTGAGGGAACAGGCCAAAGGGCAAAAGCAGAACTACTGCTACTGATAAGGGTCCAACAAAGATCACAAGGCAAAGGGCAAAAGCAGAACTACTGATAAGGGTCTCTGTTCAGTGGTGCATGTATTGTCTTGATAAACATCTTAAACAATAGAAAACAGGGTTCAAGAGCAGAGAACCGGTTTGACCACAAATTTACCAGGGCGGAGTTTTTTCCCCATCCTAGTAAGCTGAGGGTACTGCAGGAGACCAGGGCGTATCTCAGTCCTTATCTCAACCGCATAAGACAGACACTCACAGAGTGGCCGTTTATAGATCTCCCCCCAGGAATGCATTCCTTTCCCACAGTATTAATATTAATATTCCTTGCTAGGAAAAGAATTTAGCAATATCTCTCCTACTTGCACGTCCATTTATAGGCTCTCTACAAGAAGAAAAATATGGCTCTTTTTGCCCAACCCCGCAGGCAGTCAGACCTTATGGTTGTCTTCCCTTGTTCCCTAAAAATTGCTGTTATTCTGTTCTTTTTCAAGGTGCACTGATTTCATATTGTTCAAATACACATGTTTTACAATCAATTTATACAGTTAACACAATTATCACAGTGGTCCTGAGGTGACGTACATCCTCAGCTTATGAAGATAACAGGATTAAGAGATTAAAGTAAAGACAGTCATAAGAAATTATAAAAGTATTATTTAGGAACTGATAAATATCCATGAAATCTTCACAATTCATCTTCCTCTGCTGCAGCTCCAGCTGGTCCCTCCATTCGGGGTCCCTGACTTCCCGCAACAGGGGATGGTGCTAAATGATTAGAACCCCTGCAACACCCGTAATCCAATCCCCTCCCACCAGGCCCCACCTCCAACAAGTTCCTTCACAAAATGGATTATTCCAGGGCTGGGGTGGGAAAAGATGACCCTGGAACATCTTTTGTGCCAAAACATAAGGAAGTGTATAAAGAATGACAGGGACATGTCAAAAGGACACAGAAGCCAGATTGAAGGGGCTACTGCTAGCCAAATCTGGGATAACTTGAGCATCAAAATGAACAATGTTGGTGATGGATTATTACTTACTGGATAAAGCAGGAAACCGTGAGCCCATAATGAAATAAGTGGATTTAAACAAATACAACATTTCATATGGGATGAGAATTTTTACATAATTTCAAAGTACTTTTCCAAAAAGTACTAATAACAAGAAATGTGATGGTATAAAGGAGAATTCTGGTAGGTAGCATTTTAAGCAAGTGACCTAAGTGAACATCATCAGTAATGGGACAACTCAAAATTATGGTCATTCTGTGTTATTCCTGTCCAAAGATGCATAACCTGAATCTAACCAAGAGGAAACATAAGAAACCCAAATTGAGGGACATCTGCAAAATAACTGGCCTGGATTCTTCAAAAGTATCAAGGCTATGTGAAAGTCAAAGGAAGACTGAGAAACGGTTCCAGACTGAAGGAGACATAAAAACTAATGTAACACGTGATTCTGAACTGGATTCTTTTGCAAAATGGGTGTTATTGGGATGCCTGGCCAAACTTGAAGGTGTCTGAGCATTCGATGGTAGTAATATAAAAACGTTAATTTTCCCATTTTCTCTGCTTTTGACGGTTATGTTGAGGTTATGTAGAATGTCCTTGTTTGTGGGAATTACACACTTACGTACTTGGGGATGACAGGTATCCTGTCAACCACTTGGGGGGATGATAGATATCCTGTCAACAACCAGTACTTTTAACTGGTTCGAGAAAAGATTTTGTACTGTGCTTCCAACTTTTCTATAAGCTTCAGGTTGTTTCAAAAAACAACAAAAACGAAAAGTATCTGACCCTAAGGGGCCTATTTAGTGTAATAATTAAATAGTAAGAATGTTGTATTATAAATGTCTGGTGGTGGTGTTCATTGTGGGGCATGCGTGTGTTTGCTGCTATTTTGTGTGTGCACCTGACACCTACCCATCACGCGGGCCTGGCACTCATGGCCCATCTGGAGCCAAACCTTCTGCTCCTTGGTTTGTCTCTTTAGACTTTGGGTCCCATCTGGGGCCCAGTTCAATACAGTGTGGGTAAATCCCCACAGTTGATGTGGCCAGTATATTTGTAAAACCTTTAATATCTTTGAACTACATCTAATTTTTAACTTTCTATTGCTTCTGGTGTTCCCAATTTCAGGGATGTAGGAGATACTGAATTTAAAAGATAATAAAATATTTTAGCACTTAAGTGAAGACTAAAGACGGCCAAGGATTTTTCTTTTCTAAACTCTTCTATATAGTTACTTGTATAACATGTTAAAGAAAAGGTGACATTTGCATGAAATAGTTTTCCCTTGAATCATTAATCAAGCTAATATAAACTATAAGCACTATCTGTTGCTTACATTCTCACCATCAGCTATCCTGCCTTTTAAGCTTTCTTGAAATTATTTCCAGCTATTAATCTGTACTTGTAAATAACACAACTCAGACAAACTGGACCACAAGGATCCAGTCCTACATAGCTGCCTGGCAGGAGCGGAAAGAGGCTGTAGAGCAGGTGGGGTGAAGGGAGCGGGAGGGAAGGCAGGCGCCCTTCCTGTCACTCAGTTCTGGTCTTTCCTGTCCTTCCCTCTTCCTCTATTCTCCAAGATTAGTTGAGTGTCAATTACGTGTCAGGCAGGGTAATGGCACTGGGGAGCCAATGACGAATGAGATACACTCCGGGCCTTTTAAGGAGCACTGAATTTGTAGAAAGAGAGACTGCTGAGCTAGGAATTCAAGAATATTCTAATAGTTTCTACAAAAGAAGTCAGGCCGGGCACGATGGTTCACGCCTGTAATCCCAGCACTTTGGGAGGCCGAGGTGGGTGGATCACCTAAGGTCAGGAGTTTGAGACTAGCCTGGGTAACATGGTGAAACCCTGTCTCTACTAAAAATACAAAAATTAGCCAGGCTTGGCAGGCACCTGTAATCCCAGCTACTTGGGAGGCTGAGGCAGGTAAATTGCTTGGACCTGGGAGGCAGAGGTTGCAGTGAGCTGAGATCACGCCATTGCACTCCAACCTAGGAGACAGAGAATCTGTCTCAAAAAAAAAAAAAAAAAAAAAAAGTCAAATAGTGCTATTAAAGGAGAAAAATTGCTTCATGACAGGAACAAAAAGTCTTCAGGGAAAAGGTGATGTTTAAAGCCCCAACTTAGTTGCAGTTTTCCAGGAAATAAGGAGGAGAGGGAATCACAAGCAGAGGAAATTGAAGCAAAAGGCTGTGAGTCTTTTGCTCAGAGTGCAGCTTCTTTGGAGCTCATCGAGGGGAAGGTGAAGGCGAAAGGAAGGACTGTGTGTGTCTGAAAGTAGAGACGGGCTGAGGAGAGTGGGCCAGAAGGATCAACTGAGGTTGGACCTTTTTTTTTTCCCCCTGCTCTGTCACCCAGGCTGGAGTGCAGTGATGTGATCTCAGCTCACTGCAACCTCCGCCTCCCAGGTTCAAGTGATTCTCCTGCCTTGGCCTCCCGAGTAGCTGGGATTACAGGCGTGCACCACCACACCCAGCTAGTTGTTTGTATTATAACTATTATTTTTTTGAGATGGAGTCTTTCTTTGTCACCCAGGCTGGAGTGCAGTGGTGTGATCTTGGCTCACTGCAACCTCTACCTCCTGGGTTCAAGTGATTCTCCTGCCTCGGCCTCCTGAGTAGCTGGGACTACAGGCGTGTGCCATTACACCTGGCTAATTTTTTGTATTTTTAGTAGAGACTGGGTTTTGCCATGTTGGCCAGGATGGTCTTGATCCCCTGACCTCGTGTTCTGCCTGCCTGAGCTTCCCAAAGTGCTGGGATTACAGGCATGAGCCACCATGCCCAGCAGGACCATTTTTAAAAAGAAAGCAGACAGGCTGGGTGGTGACTCATGCCTGTAATCCCAGCACTTTGGGAGGCTGAGGTGGGAGGATGGCCTGAGGTCAGGAGTTCAAGACCAGCTTGGTCGACATGGTGAAACCCTATCTCTACTAAAAATACAAAAATTTACTGGAGGTGGTGGTGTACACCTGTAATCCCAGCTACTTGGGAGGATGAGGCAGGAGAATTGATTGAACCTGGGAGGTGGTGGTTGCAGTGAGCAGAGATCGTGTCATTGCACTCCAGCCTGGGTGACAGAGCGAGACTCCATCTCTACAAACATACATACATACATACATACATACATACATACATATGTACATACATAAAGCAAAAGCAGACAAAAACCAAACAGCAACAACAAACTTCCCTGCATGCTATGCTGAGGAGCTCAGACTTTATTCTAGGATGATGGGATGTCAGGGGAGGGTCTGCTGGAGACAGCCATGGTCACTTCCCTCCCACCACAGGGATTCTGTGATTCTCAGGAGCAGGAAGGAACTGCCTGACCTCTGTATGCTGGGAGAATGGCTCACACTCTTGCTTCACTGAGATCTCTGCTCAAACATTACCTCGTCCTCTCTTGTCTAACCTCACGAAAATAGCATGCCCAAGATTTTCTACTCATCTGCCTTAATTTTTTTTCCTAGTACTTCCCAAATATTTCAGTTATCTGTTTATTTTTTGTCTCCCCCACAGGTATATAAGCTCTGTGACAACAGGGGCTTTATCTTATTACTGCTGGTCCTCACGGTGCCTTGTACTGTGCCAGCCATGTAGAAAGAGCCTGTAGATTCTTGAGTGAGTGAAGGGCGATGCAAATCTCCCACAAATCATGGTCCAAAGACCTTGGGAACCCACAGACTCAGATTCTAGAAAGAGAACTTTGCAGTCCCCAAGGGGCTCTTGCAGCCCAGGTGGAAGGATGGTGAATAAGAAGTCCCAAGAGGCTCTCTAAGAAACAACAGCTTTCCAAATGAGTTGGCAAATCCCTACCCTTACAATCCTGTTTCTGTCTGTTCCCCAGAGTCAGCCTTTTATAATGGAAAAGCAGGGCTGAGATAATGTTCTAATTTAGGGTTGTTAGAACTTAGCCAAGGATCTCACCAGGGAAAGAGGAAGAAGCTTAGATCTTTCCTCTAAAATGCAGTCCAAAGCCAGAGCTTGGAATAGAAAAGCTGGTGTTTTCCTGAATGTCCATGAGACCTCAAAATGGATAGGCCATGTCCTTCAGGAGATCACATGGGTCTCATGAAGCCTCAGTGTTAGCATATCACCTTCAACTTCACAGCATCTTCCATGCTTGGCTCTGAAAGGACAGTAGTGCATTCGTCAACAAGCTTCATAGATAGGTGTCCATCTTGGGGGTGGTTCTTTGGATCTCTAGCAGTCCAGTGATGTAGAGTGGAGAGAGTTCAGAAACTTCCCAGGATGGGTCAGGTCTTCAGCTTTCCTAAGCCACATGGCTAGAATCACCTTAAATTACTAGAAAAACAGACAAATCTCAACTATCTGAAAACTGGTGGCCTTGTTTCTAGCTCTTTTCCATTTCAGAACCAATTTGTTCCTATTCCAGGCAACCAAAACCTCATGTCCTGGATATGCAAGGAAAACAGAGTCGCGCTTCTTTTGCCTGGCATATGAGTGCTTTCGAGGACACTGATCAGAGAAATTCCAAATGGGCTATTCTTGTTAGGCAGTGTAAGTCATCATTGCCAAGAGCTTCCAAACCACCTAAGCTGCCGAAGCTACCAAAAAAGGAAAAGGTATGATGTTTTGCTTTTCTAAATCGTCATAGAAAAAGTCAGGCTGCTTTAACATATAAATCAGGGACAGGTTTCTCATAGTAATACTAATAATCAGTTTTGTAGCTTCTTTTAACCTATCGAAGCATTTTGTAATTTATACTGGATTGCCACAGTGATGTTTATTCAGTGGGTAAGTGGGCATTATTCACCTTTTATAGTTAAAGAAAACAAGAGGTTGTGTCCTCAGAATTTCTTATCACTAGGTTTAACCTTGAGAGAATGGCGACCCCTGTGAGTTCCAAGAGCTGAGAAAGCACCGTTTGTGAAATGGAGGTAAATCTGTAACTCCACTCAAAACCTCACAAACTGGTTAGCAGAGTAAGCTTATACCCGTTTGAATTCTAGGTTGTCCCCTAAACTATTTATGGAATCTTGGGCAAGTTGCATAATTTCCCTGTATGGGTTTTTATAAGTAAAATGGGGATTTTGGTATCTGTTTTGAATATTTTATAGAGTTAGGAGGAGAATTAAAGAATGTGGAAGTATATATTCAACAACTATTTCCTGAGGTCTGTGTACAAACCATACGCCAATAATAGCTTTCTGTCTAATCCCACAGCACAATGAACTTTGCAGGCGTCCAGTTTTTCAATAGAGTTTGACAGCAGATTTCCATGCTAGAAAAAGGAATAGAATAGCTCAGGCCCATTCAGAGACTCCTGTTCCCTACGCATAAAAAGACTTCTTGCTCTTTTGGAGAATCTTGCCAATTCACTAGAATATTACTCACCCTCTGTTGCCAGAGATCTGATTCATCAGCAAGCCATTATGTCTATTTGAGACATTTTGTGATGGCAGGAGACTTAGCTGTCCTCCTCAGTAGATCCTGACCTTAGGAATACTTCGTATTGAAAAAGGGAACAGTTCGACATCTAACATTTCAATGTAGTCTGAATTTTGAGATGGGTCCAAGTGAAATGATTTATTGCAGTGTGTGTGGAGGAGGGCTTGGATTAGTTACTTTCTGTCACTGAACTAATTTTGTGTCAGATTAGAGCTATTACAGACTAAATTATCCCAAACGCCTCTATCATTCGCCAAATCCAGTTGAAATATTTTTTGCATTAAAAAATCTGTTAAAAGACTTCTTATTTTGATTTCAAATTTGTAGAGCATGTTGTAACAACAGCTCTAAGAACGTGATATACTCTTTCCCCAGCCCCATCTGTTGTTAATTTTATTTGCTTTTATGTTCGCTTTCTTCCTCTCTCTCTTACACCATTTGAGTGCAAGTTGCAGACATGATGCCCCCCAACTTCTCTTGTCTTTTTTTTTTTTTTTAAGATATGGGGGTCTCACTATGTTGCCCAGGCTGGAGTGCATTGGCTATTCATGGGCACAACCATAGTGCACCGCAGCCTTGAACTCCTGGGTTCAAACAATCCTCCCACCTCAGCCTCCTGAGTAGCTAGGACTACAGGCACAGACCCTGTGGAATAAATGGTCTACAGGCTAGACCCTTTACTCCTAAATATTTCAGGGTGTATTTCCTAAGAACAAGGATGCTGTCTCACATAAACACAGTACAATTTATAAGATTCAGGAAATTTAACATTGATAGAGTATTATTATCTAATCTAAAGTTCATAGTCGAATTTTACTAAATAGCAGATGGTGGTGTTTCACACCTATAAACCCAGCACTTTGGGAGGCTGAGGTGGGAGAATCACTTGAGCCCAAGTTTGAGAGCAGCCTGGGCAACATAGTGAGACCCCATCTTTACAAAAAATATAAAAAATTAGGCAGGGGTGGTGGTGCATGCCTGTAATCCCAGCTACTCAGGAGGCTGAGGTGGGAGGCTTGCTCGATCACAGGTCTGCAAGTCTGCAGTGAGCTATGATTGCATCACTGCACTCCAGCCTGCGTGACAGAGAGCCTGACTGTCTTAAAAAATAACAACAACAACAACAACAGCAACAACAAAAAGTATTAACTGACGACCTTTGTAATATTCTGATCCAGGATTCAGTCTAGGACCATGTATTACATTGAGTTATCACGTCTCTTTAGTCCTCTTCAATGTGGAGGAGTTCCTCACTCTGGTCTTTTATAACATGGACACTTTTGAGGAATCCAGGCCAGTTCTGAATCTTTCAGTATGGGCTTGTCTGATGTTTCCTCACGAGTGGGTTCAGGTTACGTGTTTTTGTCAGGAATCCCAGATAAGTGACGTTGCCTCATGCTCAGTGCATCACATCAAGAGGCACCTGAGGTCGGTTTAACCCATTATTCCTGAGAGTAGTTGAGCACTTGGTCATACCCCTTCCATTCCAGAAATAAACAAAATACTGAATCATTCAAAATAATTTATCTTTTTATCAATGAGGCTTTCTTCTAAATTTCCAGAGTTACTTTAGATACTTGTCCCACAAATCCATTTTTTGGACTGTCCTGCAGAATTTGTGTGGATGCTTCAATAAATACTCAACACCCCTCTCTTTTACATGAATCCTCTTTAGGGAAAATAAATTGGAACAAATGTTCTTACATATTTGAAAGCAAATAATGAATACCACATGTGAAAAGCCTCCAACGCAGTGCCTCACACATAGCCCCCAGTGAGTGGCTATCATTACTATTCTTACTTGAGATGCCAACACATTTTCCATTCTTACACGACAAGAATCAGAACCAGGCACTGAAAGTCTCTTAAGTAGAAATTTGTCTGTGTTACTGGGTGACTTGGGGGAAATTTTAAAAGCTTAAACCTATAGACAGTATCATAAACTTTCCCATCAAAATAGATGGTTGAAAATGGGAATATTTTATATCCATGCTTTGAGTTTGGTTTTCCATGTATAAACTTAAGGTTAGAGAGCTTAATTACAATGTTTCTAAAAAGTACAATTTATGAGATTTAACAGTATGTATCATTCTTATATACATTTACCCAAAAATGCTCTTAAAAATACTTTTGGAAATCCATTGAGCAAGTCTCTAAACCACTTCTTCTATAATGCCCTAATCTCTCTTTTTAAATCACAAAATGTCTCTTAAGTTCTATCTTCTATTCCATTCATTATTTTCCCCTTCTGGATTTCTGGTTGTTTTTTTCCTTCATACAATAATACATTCATTATTTATTATTATACATTTCCTTCATACAATAATACATTCATTATTTTCCCCTTCTGGATTTCTGGTAGTTTTTTTCCTTCATACAATGCATATATCATATGCATTGTATAATTTATGTGCATATGATAGACACTTTTAACATAATTTATTTCTATTTCATTTCTTTGCTGGCAAATGTTCTCATTGTCCCCCTTCATTCCAATACACAGACTTCAGTCTCAGTGACTGATACATTCTTTTCCTCATCCACTCGAGTTTGAGAGCAGTATTCTCAAATTTTAAAGGTCATGCAAATCACTTGGGGATCCTGTTAAGATGCAGATTATGATTCAGTAGGTCTGAAATGGGGTTTGAGATTTTGCATTTCTGTCAAGCTCCCAGGAAATGCAGTTAGTTGTTGCTGGTCTGAGGACCTTGAGTAGCAAGGTGCTGGAGGATTTGACAATGAATTGAATTTTGTGCTAGGAACGGGGGACTTGATGAGGCAAAGGGAAGTCTATTCTAGGAAGAACAGACAGGGCAAAGACAATAACCTAGCACCTTTGGGGAAGTACATGTGGTTCAATGTGGCTGGAATATAGAACACAGAATTATCTGGTGATGAGGCTGGAGAAGATGAATCAGCTGGGTCACTGGAGTGCACAGGGCTGGGCTTTTATTTATTTTATTTATTTATTTATTTATTTATTTATTTATTTATTTGAGACGGAGTCTCGCTCTGTTGCCCAGGCTGTAGCGTAGTGGCACAATCTTGGCTCACTGCAGCCTCCGCCTCCTGGGTTCAAGTGATTCTCCTGCCTCAGCCTCCTGAGTAGCTGGGATTACAGGCACTGGAATGAGCCACCGCGCTGGGCCTTTCCACCA
This sequence comes from Homo sapiens, assembly GCF_000001405.40. Taxonomy (NCBI): domain Eukaryota; kingdom Metazoa; phylum Chordata; class Mammalia; order Primates; family Hominidae; genus Homo; species Homo sapiens. The sequence goes on along the minus strand of NC_000004.12, from coordinate 158,911,185 downwards.
CTTTTAACGAAATGTTACCTCCTTCCTTCTCAGAGGGTTGTTTTCCAATTCTTTGCAACACATATTCAGAGACTACGTGACATCTATGTCAGCCTTTATGGGATAACTCTTAAGTTGGTACTGTTTATGATGTTAAAGATATTTGCTTGAAAGCCTACTTCCTGTAACTTGGAATGACAATTTTCTGATCCTACTCAACTCCATTTTGGGTTATCATACCATATCATTGGACTGATCTCCTAAGTATCTGTATCAGTCAGGGTTCTCCAGAGAAACAGAACCAATGATGTGTGTGTTGTGCATGTAGGAGAGCAAGAGCCAGGGAGGGGTGTTTATTTTTAGGAGTTGGCTCCTGTGATTGTGGAAGTTGGTAAATCCAAACGCAGCAGGGTGAGCCAACAGGATGGAGACCCTGGGAGAAACTGATGTTGCAGCTCCAGCCTGAAGGCAGTTTTCAGGCAGAATTCTCTCTCCCTGGGGGATCTTCAGTCTTTCTCTTAAGACTTTCAACAGGTTGAATGAGGCCCACCCACATTATGGAGGATAAATAGCTTTATTCAGGGTCCACTGACTTAAATATTAATCTCACCTAAGAAATACCTGCACAGCACTGGGCTGGGAGTGGTGGCTCATGCCTGTAATCCCCGCACTTTGGGAGGCTGAGGCGGGCAGATCATCTGAGGTCGGGAGTTCAAGACCAGCCTGACCAACATGGGGAAACCCCGTCTCTACTAAAAATACAGAATTAGCTGGCGTGGTGGTGCATGCCTGTAATCCCAACTACTCAGGAAGGCTGAGGCAGGAGAATCGCCTGAACCCGGGAGGCAGAGGTTGCAGTGAGCCAAGAACGTGCCATTGCACTCCAGCCTGGGCAACAAGAGCAAAACTCCATCTCAAAAAAAAAGGAAAAAAAAAATACCTGCACAGCATCATCCAGATTAGTGTTTGACTAAATATCTGATTACTATCGCCTAGCCAAGATGACACATAACATTAACCATCACAGGCCAGACCTGGTGGCTCATGCCTGTAATCCCAACGGTTTGGGAAGCTGAGGCAGGAGGGTCATGTAAGGCCCAGAGTTCAAGACCAGCCTGGGCAACAGAGTGAGACCCTGTCTCTACAAATTTTTTTTTGTTTTTTTTTGAGATGGAGTCTCACTGTTGCTCAGGCTGGAGTGCAGTGGCACAATCTCAGCTCACTGCAACCTCTGCCTCCCAGGTTCAAACAATTTTCCTGCCTCAGCCTCCTGAGTAGCTGGGACTACAGGCGCGTGCCACCACGGCCGGCTAATGTTTTGTATTTTTAGTAGAGGCAGGGTTTCACCGTGTTAGCCAGGATGGTCTCGATCTCCTGACCTCGTGATCTGCCCGCCTCAGCCTCCCAAAGTGTTGGGATTACAGGCGTGAGCCATTGCGTCCAGCCCCAAATTTTTTTTAAAAAAATTAGCTGGGTGTGTTGGTGCATGCCTGTAGTCCCTGGTACTTGAGAGGCTGAGGCAGGAGGATACTTGAGGCCAGAAGTTTGAGGTTACTGCGAGCTATGATCATGCCACTGTACTCCATCCTGGTGACAAAGTGAGACCCTGTCTCTTAAAAAAAAAAAAAAAAACCATCACAGTACCCCTCATCCATTGTGAGGATTAAATGAGGTAACATACAGAAAGCGTCTGACAGAACGGTCCAGGCACTAGGGAACCAAAAAGCACTCTTGTGTGCACGTGCGTTTAACTCCTTTTATCAATGGCATGATTTTAAAGCTGTTTCACCCGAGTACACAGCAGGGAAGCCATCCTTGGAGAGCTGAACATGCACGAAAAGGAAAAAAAAAAAGCTTCAGGGAAAAACACTTGAAATTTTCATTTATCAGAAAGGATTTTGAAATATCTACTGTAACTTTCCCCCCAGTCTTTAAGATAACATAACTCAGTATGGCATTATGTTGGTACCAACAGTTGCTCTCAGTGGCATATTTTTTCCTGAGAACAAATATATCTGTGGACATCATCCCTTTTCAGAGCAAATATTTTGTAATGCCCCCTTTATTAACCTAAAATAAAATTTACAAATATACTCAATTTATATCATACCAATATAATGCCCTATTATACTGTAATTTAAAAGAAATTTAAAAGTAATTTATAATACTACTTTAATACATAAATATTGGGGCAGTAGATTAGAAAATATAATGAAGTTGGCCAGGCACAGTGGCTCACGCCTGTAATCCCAGCACTTTGGGAGGCTGAGGTGGGCAGATCTCCTGAGGTCAGGAGTTCAAGACTAGCCTGGCTAACATGGTGAAACCTCGTTTCTACTAAAAATACAAAAAATTGGCCAGTTGTGGTGGCGCATGCCTGTAACCCCAGCTACTTGGGAGGCTGAGGCAGGAGAATCACTTGAACCCAGGAGGCGGAGGTTGCAGTGAGCCGAGATTGCACCATTGCACTCCAGCTTGGGCAATAAGAGCAAAACCCCATCTCAAAAAATATAATGAAGTAGGCATCTATATACAGAGTCTTCATGAATGCAGGGGCTACAAATGAAGACTGACAGAGATGTCCTGTATTGGTGACTCAAATTCCATGGGTACCATAGCTACCAAACTATGTTACCATTGGAAACGCAGTTTTCCAAAAGTATATCAATTCTTGGTAAAGACCAAGTGACCACTTCTTGCTAAAATTCTAAATCTTACAAAGTAAAAATCTTCCCTCAATTTATACAACAATTGCATTCCTGGAGAATGCATTATATACAAAAATCATGTAAAAATACATTGTGTTTTTTATGTATAGCAGAATTATCTGCTTAATTATAAACAGGCTTTTTTAGCCATATAAATGTCCAGCAGGACATTTAAGGGTTACGCAGGAGGTGGGTGGGACAAGTCCTCATCCCATGGGGCTGTCTCACATGGTGCAGGACCTCTCGCCTATCATCTGAGCCCCCAGCCTCTCTGTGCCAGTAACCCTAACCTGGCATTATGCTAACCAAAAATGTCCCTGCATTTCCAAAACACCCCGGTTAAAAACCACTGAGATAAATAATCAGCTTGTTTTCAGCACGAATTATTAGAAATGAGACCTCTACATTTTATTAAATATAACAAATCGCATGCAGCACCAGGAAAATGTTCAAGATAAATTCAAAAGTTTTATTGCACCAAATGCCACAGAAAAATGGATCAAAATAATACATAAACAAGTTAAAAAAAATTCCCACACAATGACATTGGTATCTATTCAGACTGATCAAAAACGAAGTCCTATCAATTTCTCTTATGGAGCTTCAAATGACAAATTCCAGAATTTTCTCGTTTTTGAAATACCACTTAAGTTTAAGCATATTGCAATCTCACTTTCAAGATATATCGTTCATCATATTTTGACATTTAAAAATTAACATTCAGAGGGGACTTCTTGATTTAGGCAAAAATTATATTAAAATACCCTCTCCCCCAAGCACAATAAAAAACAAATGGTTCACATTTACCAAGAGAAGCTGAAGACATTTTCAATTTAACGTGGAAGTATGCATGAACAAAATATTCTCTAAAGTACATATTAGCGGAAAAATCCAGACTTTAAAAGAATTTTGGGATACTTTATATTCTTTATTATTTTTATGTACAACCAACTCTAGTGAAGAACCTAAAAAGCTACAGACTAAATTTTTATAAAATCTCAGGACCTAATTATAAGAGCCCAAACAACGGTTTAGTATCATTTAGCAAGCGGGGATTTTTCTCCCTCCAAAAACGTTAATTTTGAAAAATATGGTTAAGTTTAAAAAGTTGCAATGTGTAAACGGCAGTTCCATGGGATGTGAAAAGATTATAGTTACTTTCATTAAAAAACAGCACACTTCGAAAAATGGATTGAAGCCTGTACAAAAAGCTATTTAACACTGATTGATAAAAAATAAAATACTTTGGAATTATGCACAAGTATGGAAGCTACATTTTAAATTTTCATTGTCATGTCTAAAACGTACACAATTACCTTTACATTCATTTCACTTACCAATTTATTAAAAATAAAACTGCAACATGCTAGAAAGAGGTCCATCACAGGGACATTTACAGACTTCTGCTCTGTCATGCCTCACTAGCTTGCTTGGAAAAGCAAGATGCTACAAAAGTTACACTCAACAGGTAAGACTTAAAAGTTGAAGAAACCCTAAAGGTGGAATCCTGTCAACTGAGGTAGATTTCTTTTCTTTTTTAAAAAAAATTGTTTTATGTTTTTTCTTGAGGTGGGCATGGGAGCAAGTGGGGTCCCTTTCTTGCCTCTGCGGCTAAGCCAGAATGAAGCCACTGGGTGGTGTACGGCGTGTGAGCGGTGGATCTCAACACAATTCTGTGAGGTTTTTTTTTTCTTTTTTGCTTTTAGGAAGAGGCTGAATTTAAGACAAAGAAAACTTGAATGTTAAATATTTAAAGGATTATAAAAGAGCAGCAACATTCTTGGTCTATTTTTGTAGGCAATAGATATGAGGATTAGGTTCTGACTGGAATCCTGAGTGTCACGGAGACAGCCCCCACATGTGACCCACCTGTAGTTTTCCAACAGGCATTTTTCCAAGAGTGAGTTTTGGAACATTAAATTAAGAGCAAATTAAATTTTCTCAGGCTTTGAGGGGCCTGGGCTGAATTTTTTTAATGTATAGAGTTTAGAATCAACGATTTAAAGCTCAGTGTCCCCTATATGGGTCTAATTATGAACATGCCACTATGTCCACATTAGAATTGAACTGATTTTGTAACAAGTTATTTTCTATGAAACCCTGGAAGGTGGTGAATGAGGGAAAGTGCCCAAAACATGTAAACAAGAAAAAAGGAACTAGAGACGAGGGGAATGCTTTAAACTGTAAAAGCTGTAACATCAGCTCTGACAGTTTATTTACACGTAATGAGAAACGGATGTGGGGTGAGCTGAGCCACAGGTGAGGTTCCTTCTCTCTCTGTAACACAACAGCAAACAATGATGTCATGGAACTACAGAACTTAAAACACCAAAGTCAAATGCTAGGCAAAAGGAAATAGGAAAACATTAAAAAGAATGAACATTTCAATTTTCAATGAATGACATAAAATGATAAAGATCTTACAAAACTTAATGCACTCATCTACATTTTGCATCATTAAAAAAGGGAAAGGTAGCAGTTCTGATTTTTATCAAATGAAAAAACTGAAGTCATTCTAGTCCCTAATAGGGAAATTACTTCATAATCTTAGGTTCAAAGATACATGAAAAGAACTGGAATTAATTCATAAAACAGTGGAAGGGAATCAGAGCCTGGTTAACTGCTTGAGATCTGCAAAGTGCTAAAGATGTTTTGCTTTGCTAGCTTAGCTCCTGTCCTTTAATGACCAATATTTAAAAGTCTTTTACTTTACCCTGGATGTCAGTACATAGTCTGTTTCACGGTCAGTAAACTGAAGTTTCTTTTATATTAACAGAAAATTAGGTTGTTTTTTTTTTTTTTTTGCATGAACTTTAGGAAATCATTTTGGTCGGTTTTATACAATGTGTAAGTTAATGTCTGGAAAGATGTTTTGAAAAGGATGCAGGAATTAGAAGGCACAGAAATGATAATATAAAAATTTAGATCATATATGAATTTTTTCTAAATGTTCAAGCTAATTGCTTTCATTAGTCATCCTGAACTGCTGCAGGTTTCATTTCCCACCAGGACAGCTGTGCCTTTTAAAGTAAAAATAGTCATTTGTATTAACTATAAGGAAAAAGTGGCTTCAGCTGGAAGAACTTACCAACCGAAACACTCTTGAGCTTATAGAAATAACTTTGGTAAGTGGCCTCTCTTAAAAAGGCTGCTGAAAGCTCTAAAATATAAGGATAAAACATACGGTTTCAGACTGTACACTTTGCTGCTACAAACTACATCTTGATGGGATTAAGAGGCTACATTGATTCTTGGGTTTATTGCACCAACAATCCATCTCTGACCTACCCATGGCTGCATCTGAAACAAGGTAAACTCCAAGAAGAAATGAAAACAGTGGGTCCCTAAAGCACTCTTCCCAACAAGCAATTCTTACATGTTTTATGTCAAACAGTCACTGCTAAAGCCACTGGAGCTGAAGATGGCACAATGTGGCTTTCTTTGCTTTACCTTGTCTAAAAAGCAAACTGTGACCTGGAATCCAAAGTCTGTATTCTGATTGTTGTCTCAGAATAGCAAAATATGTTTTCTCCAGTTTGGGGAGCTCATGCTTAAACTTGGAAGCAGTTTCCTACTGGAATATTATGTACACTGCTGACCACCCCGCTCAAGTCACTTGTCTTTATTCTGCCCAAACAGCACAAGGCAATCTGTTGCAACAGCTTAGTGTTTAGTGCTTATGTTTCCTCCTACCAAAAAGGTCAGTTTCTTTGTTGATTCATGGGTAACAAATGGCCTAAAGTGTTCACGACAATCACAAATGCTATTATGTCAAGTAAACCTAAGTCTTCAATGAAGCATCAGCTTGACAGCAAAAACACAAAACAAAAAGGTGGAATGACTGTTTCTGTTTGCTCTTCTCATGCTTTTGACATCACAGAGAGCTTATTCCTTTCTCCTTCAGTTGAGAATTTGATTTTTTTCTTCCAAGGAAGAACTGTCCTGAGCTTTAGCTTATAAGAGTATTTGAGCCACATAAGGAGAATGAGTACTGGCAATAGCAGTCAACAGAGGCAGGTCGTTGGATTCAATCCTGAATATTGAGAAAAGAAAAGAATATTACTTTAAAAGAGCATGGTTTTATGAGAAAGTATTATTTCTTTTTATGAGAAAGTATTATTTCTAGGTACTAAGTTTGATAGATTATCATTTAAAACTAATGAAAAAGCAAAACAGATGGAAGGATAATAAACTTACTCTTTTAATAAAATATTCCAGTGGACACTGACCAGGGAGGCAAAGGGAGAGAAATACAGGAAGTGTGTTGTGCCTGTGTGTGGACATAAAGCTCTTTTTCCCTTGGCAGGGGTCACCAGACTTTCTAACTTTCCTGTATTCCCTATATAACTTCATTGTATCATACTTTAAGGTATTCTCCATTATAAACTCATTCTTCCAGTCAACACTTCTAAATGCATACTGATTTTTCACCTAAGTTCAAATTGGTCTTAGAAAAACGATGATGGTAGCAATTTCTTAAAAAACATTGGGAATTTGTTCAAAGTTTATACTGGGATCCTCACTGAGCATTTAAGCCACAAGATTCTGAGAGCAAAGTGACACTAAAAGGTACTGGGTTAAGAGACATCATGGTTTCAAATGGACACAGCTTTGGCTGCCTCTCTTACAGCAGAGGTGGATACAGTATGGGCACTGGCTAAAAATGATGCCAGGTGTCATGAAAAAAAAAAATTGAACTGTTTCAGTTTGTGGACTATGTCCTAATCCTTACCCTTGAATTCCTCAAAGTAAAAATAAAACAGTATCTGGCATTACCTCATGGGGTTTTCTAGTCCTTCTCCAGTAATGCTACATACAGATCTGATTTCAGAGTGCACAGAAGTTCTCTAGTACTTTTAGTGCTACTGGCCCTGACTACGGGAGGAAGGGGATAAAGGAAGGATGAACATGAGTCCACTAATAATGCACTAAGAGGACCTAGAGATGAGTGCAAAGGGGAATAAAAGCTTATGATTACACGTGTTGATGCACACCTGTAAGGGTCAAGGATGGGGTAAAGCCCTTGAAATGTAAGGCACACATTTGGCAATGGAAAATCTAATAAGGCAAGACGGCCGAATAGGAACAGCTCTGGTCTGCAGCTCCCAGCAAGATCGACGCAGAAGGTGGGTGATTTCTGTATTTCCAACTGATGTACCCGGCTCATCTCATTGGGAGTGGCTGGACACTGGGTGCAGCCCACAGAGGGCAAGTAGAAGGAGGGTGGGGTGTTGCCTTACTCGGGAAGTGCAAGGGTTCAGGGAATTGTTTCCCCTACCCAAGGGAAGCCGTGAGGAACTCAATATCTGCACTGCAGTCTGGATACTGCACTTTTCCCATGGTCTTCATGACCCACAGACCAGGAGATTCCCTTTGGTGTGTACACAATCAGGGCCCTGGGTTTCAAGCACAAAACTGGGCGGCCATTTGGGCAGACACTGAGCTAGCTGCAAGAGTTTTTTTTCCATACCTCAGTGGCACCCGGAATGCTAGCGAGACAGAACGGTTCACTCCCCTGGAAAGGGGGCTGAAGCCAGGGAGCCGAGTGGTCTGGCTCAGTGGGTCCCATGCCCACAGAGCCAGCAAGCTAAGATCCACTGGCTTGAAATTCTCACTGCCAGCACAGCAGTCTGAGGTCGACCTGGGACGTTTGAGGTTGGTTGGGGGAGGGGCATCCACCATTGCTGAGACTTGAGTAAGCGGTTTAGCCTCACAGTGTAAACAAAGCTGCCTGGAAGTTCAAACTGGGCGGAGCCCACTGCAGCTCTCAGCAAGGCCACTGGGGCCAGACTGCCTCTCTAGATTCCTCCTCTCTGGGCAGGGCATCTCTGAAAAAAAGGCAGCAGCCCCAGTTAGGGGTTTATAGATAAAACCCCCATCTCTTTGGGACAGAGCACCTGGGGGAAGGGGCGGCTGTAGGCACAGCTTCAGCAGACTTAAACATCCCTGCCTGATAACTCTGAAGACAGCAGTGGATCCCCCACACAGCGTTTGAGCTCTGCTAAGGGTCAGACTGCCTCCTCAAGTGGATCCCTGACCCCTGTGTATCCTGACTGGGAGACACCTCCCAGTAGGGGCCGACAGAACCTCATACAGGAGAGCTCTGGCTGGAATCTGGTGGGTGCCCCTCTGGGACGAAGCTTCCAGAGGAAGGAACAGGCAGCAATCTTTGCTGTTCTACAGCCTCCGCTGGTGATACCCAGGCAAACAGGGTCTGTAGTGGACCTCCAACAAACCACAGCAGACCTGCAGCAGACAGGCCTGTTAGAAGGAAAATTAACAAGCAGAAAACAGCCACATCAACATCAACAAAAAGGACGTCCACTCAGAGACCCCATCCGAAGGTCACCAACGTAAAAGACCAAAGGTAGATAAATCCATGAAGATGGGGAGAAACCTGGGCAAAAAGGCTGAAAATTCAAAAAACCAGAATGCTCTCTCCTCCAAAGGATCACAGCTCCTCACCAGCAAGGGAACAAAACTGGATGGAGAATTGAGTTTGATGAATTGACAGAAGTAGGCTTCAGAAGGTGGGTAATAACAAACTCCTCTGAGCTAAAGAAGCATGTTCTAACCCAATGCAAGGAAGCTAAGAACCTTGAAAAAAGGTTAGGTGAATTGCTAACTAGAATAACTAGCTTAGAGAAGAACATAAATGACCTGATGGAGCTGAAAAACACAGCACGAGAACTTCATGAAGCATACACAAGTATCAATAGCTGGATCAATCAAGCAGAAGAAAGGCTATCAGAGATTGAAGATCAACTTAATGAAATAAAGCGTGAAGACAAGATTACAGAAAAAATGAAAACAAACGAACAAAGCCTCCAAGAAATATGAGACTATGTGAAAAGACCAAATCTACGTTTGATTGGTATACCTGAAAGTGACAGGGAGAATGGAACCAAGTTGGAAAACACACTTCAGGTTATTATCCAGGAGAATGTCCCCAACCTAGCAAGGCAGGCCAACATTCAAATTCAGGAAATACAGAGAACACCACAAAGATACTCCTCGAGAAGAGCAACCCCAAGACACATAATGGTCAGATTCACGGAGGTTGAAATGAAGGAAAAAAATGTTAAGGGCAGCCAGAGAGAGGTCAGGTTACCCACAAAGGGAAGCCCATCAGACTAACAGCAGATCTCTGCAGAAACCCTACAAGCCAGAAGAGAGTGGGGGCCAATATTCAACATTCTTAAAAGAATTTTCGTGGCACACGCCTGTAATCCCAGCTACTCTGGACGCTGAGGCAGAGAATTGCTTAAACCTGGAGGGGCGGAGGTTGCAGTGAGCTAAGATCACGCCACTGCACTCCAGCCTGGGCAACAGAGCAAGACTCTGTCTCAAAAAAAAAAAAAAAAAAAAAATTTCAACCCAGAATTTCATATCCAGCCAAACTAAGCTTCACAAGCAAAGGAGAAATAAAATCCTTTACAGACAAGCAAATGCTGAGAGATTCTGTCACCACCAGGCCTGCCTTACAAGAGCTCCTGAAGGAAGCACTACATGGAAAGGAAAAAGCGGTACCAGCCACTGCAAAAACATACCAAATTGTAAAGACCATCAACACTATGAAGAAACTGCATCAACTAACGGGCAAAAAAACCAACTAGCATCATAATGACAGGATCACATTCACATATAACAATATTAACCTTAAATCAAATACGGGCTAAATGCCCCAATTAAAAGACACAGACTGGCAAACTGGATAAAGAGTCAAGACCCATGATTGTGCTGTATTCAGGAGACACATCTCACGTGCAAACACATACACAGACTCAAAATAAAGAGATGGAGGAAGATCTACAAGCAAATGGAAAGTGAAAAAAAGTAGGGGTTGTAGTCCTAGTCCTGATAAAACAGACTTTAAACCAACAAAGATCAAAGAGACAAAGAAGGGCATTACATAATGGTAAAGGGATCAATGCAACCAGAAGAGCTAACTATCCTAAATCTACATGCAACCAATACAGAAGGACCCAGATTCATAAAGCAAGTTCTTAAAGAGCTACAAAGAGACTTAGGCTCCCACACAATAATAATGGGAGACTTTAACACCCCACTGTCAATATTAGATCAACGAGACAGAAAATTAACAGGGTATTCAGGACTTGAACTCAGCTCTGGACCAAGCAGACCTAATAGACATCTACAGAACTCTCCACCCCAAATCAACAGAATGTACATTCTTCTCAGCACCTCATCACACTTATTCTAAAATTGACCACAAAATTGGAAGTAAAACACTCCTCGGCAAATGCAAAAGAATGGAAATCATAACAGTCTCTCAGACCACAGTGCAATCAAATTAGAACTCAGGATTAAGAAACTCACTCAAAACCACACAACTACATGGAAACTGTACAACCTGCTCCTGAATGACTACTGGGTACATAACGAAATGAAGGCAGAAATAAAAGTTCTTTGAAACCAATGAGAACAATGACACAGTGTACCCGAATCTTTAGGACACATTTAAAGCAGTGTTTAGAGGGAAATTTATAGCACTAAATGCCCACAAGAGAAAGCAGGAAAGATCTAAAATCGACACCCTAACATCACAATTAAAAGAACTAGAGAAGCAAGAGCAAACAAATTCAAAAGCTAGCAGAAGACAAGAAATAACTAAGATCAGAGCAGAACTGAACGAGATAGAGACACAAAAAACCCTTCAAAAAATCAATGAATCCAGGAGCTGGTTTTTTGAAAAGATCAACAAAATAGACCACTAGCCAGACTAATAAAGAAGAAAGAAGAGAATATTCAAATAGATGCAACAAAAAATGATAAAGGGGAGATCACCACTGATCCCACAGAAATACAAACTAACATCAGAGAATACTATAAACACCTCTACTCAAATAAACTAGAAAATCTAGAAGAAATGGATAAATTCCTGGGCACATACACCCTCCCAAGTCTAAACTAGGAAGAAGTCAAATCCCTGAATAGACTGATAACAAGTTCTGAAATTGAGGCAGTAATTAATAGCCTACCAACCAAAAAATGTCCAGGACCAGATGGATTCACAGCCAAATTCTACCAGAGTGTACAGGAGCTGGTACCATTCCTTCTGAAACTATTCCAAACAATAGAAAAAGAGGGACTTCTGCCTAACTCATTTTATGAGGCCAGGCCAGCATCATCCTGAAAGCAAAACCTGGCAGAGACCCAACAAAAAAAGAAAATGTCAGGCCAATATCCCTGATGAACATCAATGCAAAAATCCTCAATAAAACACTGGCAAACTGAATCCAGCAGCACATCAAAAAGCTTATCCACCACGATCCAGCTGGCTTCATCCCTGGGATGCAAGACTGGTTCAACATACACAAATCAATAAAGGTAATCCATCGCATAAACAAAACCAGTGACAAAAACCAGATGATTATCTCATCTCAATAGATGCAGAAAAGGCCTTCGACAAAACTCAACACCACTTCAAGCTATAAACTCTCAATAAACTAGGTATTGAGGGAACGTATCCCAAAATAATAAGAGCTATTTCTGACAAACCCACAGCCAATATCATACTGAATGGGCAAAAACTGGAAGAATTCCCTTTGGAAACCAGCACAAGACAAGGATGCTCTCTCTCACCACTCCTATTCAACTATTCAACATAGTATTGGAAGTTCTGGCCAGGACAATCATGCAAGAGAAAGAAATAAAGCGTATTCAAATAGGAAGAGAGGAAGTCAAATTGTCTCTGTTTGCAGATGACATGATTGTATATTTGGAAAACCCCAACATTTCAGCCCAAAATCTCCTTAAGCTGATAAGCAACTTCAGCAAAGTCTCAGGATACAAAATCAATGTGCAAAAATCACATGCGTTCCTATACACCAATAACAGACAGAGAGCCAAATCACAAGTGAACTCCTATTCACAATTGCTACAAAGAGAATAAAATACCTAGTAATATAACTTACAAGAGATGTGAAGGACCTCTTCAAGGAGAACTGCAAACCACTGCTCAAGGAAATAAGAGAGGACACAAATAAATGGAAGAACATTCCATGCTCATGGATAGGAAGAATCAATATTGTGAAAATGGCCATACTCCCCAAAGTAATTTATAGATGCAATGCTATCCCCATCAAGCTCCCATGGATGTTCTTCACAGAACTGGAAAAAACTATTTTAAATTTCATATGGAACCAAAAAAGAGCCTGCATAGCCAAGGCAATCCTAAGCAAAAAGAACAAAGCTGGAGGCATCATGCTACCTGCCTTCAAACTATACAACAAGGCTACGGTAACCAAAACAGCACGGTATTGGTACCAAAACAGATATACAGACCAATGGAACAGAACTGAGGCCTCAGAAATACCACCACACATCTACAACCATCTGATCTTTGACAAACCTGACAAAAACAAGCAGTGGGGAAAGGATTCCCTATTTAATAAATGGTGTTGGGAAAACTGGCTAGCCATATGCAGAAAACTGAAACTGGAACCCTTCATTACACCTTTTACAAAAATTAACTCAAGATGGATTAAAGACTTAAATGTAAGACCTAAAACCATAAAAACCCTAGAAGAAAACCTAGGCAATACCATTCAGGCATAGGCATGGGCAAAGACTTCATGACTAAAACACCAAAAGCAATGGTAACAAAAGCCAAAATTGACAAATGGGATCTAATTAAACTAAAGAGTTTCTTCACAGCAAAATAAACTATCATCAGAGTGAGCAGGCAACTTACAGAATGGGAGAAAATTTTTGCCATCTTCCCATCTGATAAAGGGCTAATATCCAGAATCTACAAAGAACTTAAACAAATTTACAAGAAAAAAACAACCCCATCAAAAAGTGGGTGAAGGATATGAACAGACACTTCTCAAAAGAAGACATTTATGCAGCCAACAAACATATGAAAAAAAGCTCATCATCACTGGTCATCAGAGAAATGCAAATCAAAACCACAATGAGATACCATCTCACACCAGTTAGAACGGCAATCACTAAAAAGTCAGGAAAAAACAAATGCTTGAGAGGATGTGGAGAAATAGGAACACTTTTACACTGTTGATGGGAGTCTAAATTAGTTCAATCACTGTGGAAAACAGTGTGGCGATTCCTCAAGGATCTAGAACTAGAAATACCATCTGACCCAGCCATCCCATTACTGGGTATATACCCAAAGGATTATAAATCATTCTACTATAAAGACACACGCACATGTATGTTTACTGAAGCAGTATTCACAATAGCAAAGACTTGGAACCAACCGAAATGCCCATCAATGATAGACTGGATAAAGAAAATGTGGCACATATACACCATGGAATACTATGCAACCATAAAAAGGATGAGTTCATGTCCTCTGCAGGGACACGGATGAGGCTGGAAACCATCATTCTCATCAAACTAACACAGGAACAGAAAACCAAACACCGCATGTGCTCCCTCATACGTGGGAGTTGAACAATGACAACACACACAGGAAGGGGAACATCACACACCGGGGCCTATTTGGCGGGTGGGGGGCTGGGGGTGGGATAGCATTAGGAGAAGTACCTAATGTAGATGACGGGTTGATGGGTGCAGCAAACCACCATGGCACGTGTATACCTATGTAACAGACCTGCACGTTTTGCACATGTATCCCAGAACTTAAAAGTATAATAATAATAAAAAAAAAACTAATAAGGCAGGATTGAAGTATGAGGCTGGTAGAGAGATATAAACAAAAGCAAAAAAAAAAAACGACAAAGAGACATGTTGCAAGTTAACTGCAAAAGCAAACACCTCATAAGGGGGAAATACTTTGTAAATAAAGTATGTAAGAATAATCTATGACAGGAAATGCCAAGAGCCGAACAACACAGGCGTCACATTCTGGGTGTGAAAGATGAGAAATCTAAGCAAAACACAAAGGCCCCAGTCTCTTAGGAGGCTTAGATAATTTAAACGTCGACATTATAAATATTTTCTTCTCCCAAGTGAGGGGAATCATCATCATGGATAAGCGGGGGCAGTTCCCCAAATGTACAATGTCTTTTTGTTCTCTTTTGAAAAATCAAGCTGACAGTAAAACAGAAGTAAGAATTACTTCCCCTAGAGAAGTTATAGCAAATACCCTCTGGAGGATGATAGGCATTTTTAGTAACATACAAGTCTCCTCTTTGGTGGGCTTATAATAAAGGAAGGAAAGCACTGTCCCCCCACAGACACGCAGGCAGGCTCCTCAAGCCTAGAAGGGCCTTTCCTGCCACCAGGTGGAATGTGCCAACCTACTCCTCCTCCAGGAAGTGAAATGTAAACACAAGCTGCTGCTGCATGTCCCACAGCTTGTGACTTCAGCATCTTATTCAGTTACTAGAAACGGGCAGTGTGGGATTAAATTTTCTTTTCAAGCATAAGATAATCCACAGAGAAGAGCAACAAAGCACGACCAGCCTAAAGTCCTGCGATTGATTGTAGGTGTGAAACCCAGTATCAGATAACGGAACATGCTGTTCATTGGGGAGTTGCAGAGGCACGTATCTGATGGACTCCACATACTTTGATGGGTTACCAGGGCCTGAGGTTTAGGGTGACACAGGCTAAACACGTTAGTGGGTACAATGCTAGGGATACCTATCAAAGGGACAAGTGACGGCACTTCACAGAACTCACCCCAGTACGACACCTAATTCTTTCACATGGACTCGTGTGTGTCCCCGGAGATATTCAGATAGCATTTTACTTTTAAGGTACATCTCCTGTAGTCTATCTTCAAGATGCATGATGCACTGCAAAGCCAAGAACATTCACAATGAGGGCTAGAAGTCAAATCTCTGCCAATATTTTAAGAGTCAGAATTTTCTTAATTCATTTCTAACTACACAGCTTTTATCTCATCAGTTTCAAATACACTTAAAAAATCACAAGCCATCTCAAACCCTACCACTACCAGGTATAAGAATAGGTTCTTGTAAAACAAAGTTTACTTTTGCTAACTATTAAGATTTACATATGTATTATTCTAGTCTTTTTAAACAAGTATTTTTTTCATAGTTGAAATCATTCCAAAAGTGTTTCTTGCCTTTAAAAAACTTTATAATAATCCTTTCCCATATTAAGAACTTCTTGATATAATTTTTATAGCTAAACAATATTGAGAATGTGAATTTACACGTAACCACATAGCAAATTGCATTTTTGTTATAAATAATTTAGTAAACAGTATGGTTTTTGTTTTTTTCCCCCAATAGCTCAGATTATTCTGGCCCAGTACATTTCCAGAGGAGACTGACGGGAACAGGTCATTTTGAACCTCCCCCACAACTTTTTTTTCTTTTGCTTTCAAGAATGTATTTTAACTAGGTCTTTAATAACAATAAAGAAAAGGCAATTATTTTCAGGACATCTTTACCCTTGGAATAGTGTTCAGCTTCATTTTTTTAGAGAATAGCAACCATCTGTGTCTTTCACCAGAGGCAAATGCTTTTGCATTTGGCAGGCAGATACCCGAGCATCTTCAGTAAGACACCTGATGGCTTTGGCAAGGGTAATTCCATCATACCTAATTTTCTTCTAGACCATTAGGCCTGTTATTTTCAAGGTAAAAAGATTAACAGATGCATTTGAAAATGTTGATCTTGACCATCTGGGCTGATCAACGACATGGAAAAAATATCTATCAGAGATGCAATCTTTTCAGTTTTTCATTGGTTTAAAATCTTAAATACATTGTGTCAGGTGGATGAAACACAACTGCTAAGTGACTAAGAGTAATAAAGTAAGGAGGATTTCACCAATTCTCATGGAAATGCTCCTCCAAGTAAACAAGGTGGTAAAAGGATCTTTATTAGCTTTCAGTTCCTTATGGAGTGAAATAGAAAATTTTTAGTAAGAGTCACAAAATATTAAAAATAATATTCATATTACATTGAACCCTTTCTGTTTGGAAAAAGTAATTACAGTGTTCACAGCCTATATGAAAACTGTATGATGCAGTGTGGAAATAAGAACTGTGGTCTATATGAAATATATACTAGACGTGAAATCAAAGCATTTAGACAACTTTTAGCCAGTCATAGTGGCTCACGCATGTAATCCTAGCACTTTGGGAGGCTGAGGTAGGAGGATCACTTGAGCCCAGGAGTTCAAGACCAACCTAGGCAACATAGTGAGCCTCTGTCTCTACAAAAATTAAAAAATTACCTGGGCATAGTGGCCCACACACCTGTAGTCCTAGCTAATCAGGAGGCTGAGGTGGGAGGATTGCTTGAGCCTAGGAGGTCAAGGCTGCAGTGAGCCAACATCATACTACTGCACTATAACCTGGGTGACAAAATGAAACTCTGTCTCAAAAAAAAAAAAAAAAAAGAAAACATTTTTTAAAAGACTTGATTATTCCATTGAACCATGCTGGGGGCTTTTTAAACTCCTCTTTCTGGGATTTTATTCCTGAGATGGATTTCTCCAATTTTTAACTTCTAAAATTTCAAATAGCTACCTTCTCTTTTTGTATTGAAGGTTCTAAAAGCCATTTAATCACAGGTTTCATTCAAGTGATTTTTTTTAAGGAGAATTTTAAACTGCAGATAAAATTTTCTTTGATCTTGGTTTTGTCAGGTTAAATAAGTCATTCACACTAGTAAGTGCTTGAACACACTTCTGTCCAAAGGAAGTAAAAAGAATTAACTATAACAATTTATTGCTTTGATAACCAAGATATCAACTGTGACAAGACGTATGTATTATAGAATGAAATATAAAAGTTTGGCAAATACTTATGAAGTAAACTATGAAGTCTAATATACATTACTTCTCTTACAGAAAAGGAAACATTAACCTCTAAATCAGCATAACTCAACCTGCTTTTAGAAGGAGAAACTGCCTACTACTGTATAACAAAAAATAAGATCATAATAATCCACAAGTGCTTCTCATATTGCCCCAGGACAGATGTCTTGCAAGAGTACGCTTCAGCTTAAAGCCCAAATAAACAGTTTGGAAAAAAGGTGTTGTCAGTCTTTGCAACCATTAATATTGTTTCATGAAACTAATTGTTATTGACTATCATACTAATAGTAGCTGTTTACTGAGTGCTTATAACATCTAACACTATTCCAAGTGCTTTACATTCATTCTCTAATATAATTTCATAACCATAGGAGATAGGTTCTATTATTTCCCCAGCTTTGCAGATAAGGAAATTAAGGCTTTGAAAGAGTACATGGTTAGGAAGTAGCAGAACTTGGATTTGACCCCAGGTTATGGGGCTCTAAAGCTAACATATATGGCTTTTAAAGTATTTTATAATATTGGCATGGTGCTTTAGCAGTAAAAAGCAGTTATATCCCTAATTTTCAGAAGATTCTCACAGCACCCTTGTTGAACAGGTACTATCTTTCTTTTACAACTAAGAAAGCTGAGGTTCGGAGAGACTCGGGATTGTCCATTGTTACACAACTAACCAACGGCAAAGCCTAGACCATAACCCAGCTACGCTCAGTGGTCTTCCTGCCTTGCCACACTGTCCCGACTTTGATAACAACCAGACGGTATTTCAGAGCACCTTCTTCAAAGTCATAAAAGTCTAGACTCTTTTTGAGGAATGGGTACAAGTATAGATTTGGTCATAAAAACCCAGGACAATGACCATTACATTAGCAATTAGCGTAGGTAATTAATATTTAAAAACTTCCTGCTTTGTTGGGTAAACAGGTTTGCATCATTTTTGGAGGCCAGGAAGCAGATAACAGATGTTTTGGTTTGGGGCTGTGCTGCAGAGAACAGCGCTGTGCAGACAGGAGGGAACAGCAGAGAAAGCAGACTCTTTCCTCACACACCTGTCTCTGAGGTCAGCCCATCCAAGCTCTACCCAGCTATATGCCATATGCCCTTAAGCTTCTCTCTCTCTTTTTAAGTGTTCATCACCACTGGAAAAGCTTTTCTTCTTTTGAAACCTTTCCCCCTCCCTCTCTAAATGTATTTTCTCTTTCTTTCAATTTCTCTGCACATACGCAGATACTGAGAAGATTTTGTCATGCATGTTAATTCCAGTGGCTGGGGGGAGCTACTGATACTTTTCTAAGAGTGTATAGGCTCTGTCTGTTGTTTGTATTTAAAGTATTGTTACGAAAGTGATTTTAAAATCCCATTTGGAAAGAAGCGGATTGCTTGAGCCCAGGAACTCGAGACCAGACTGAGCAACATGGCAAAACCCATCTCTACAAAAAATACAAAAATTAGCTGGCATGGTGGCACATGCCTCTAGTCCAACTACTCAAGAGGCTGAGGTGGGAGGATCACTTGAGCCCAGGAGGCGGAGGTTGCAGTGAGCAGAGATCATGCCACTGCACTACTCACTCCAGAGTGAGACTCTGTCAAAAAAAAAAAAAAAAAAAAAGCAACAATTGATATAATCTTACATGTGTATAGTACTTTAAAGCTGGAAATGTTGGAAATGTTTACACAAATGATATTCTATTTTATCCTTAACACCTTTGTGAAAATGTTTGCTTAATAAAAGGAACTACAATCCCTTCAGAAACTGGCCTACTTATTAAAATATCAATCTAATAAAAGGAGAACTCATGAGTTCTCCAGTGGATGATTTACAGTTTCCTTTTATGCTTGATCTCTCCACCCATTCCTTATTTACTGCACCATATACCTCATTCCAAAAAATTCCAGTGCCGCTCCTTGTTATTTGTTTCACGGAAGAGCTATTACTACTGAAATCTATCCTGTTGCGAGTTTTATGCTGCATGTTCTAGTTTTAGTTATGCTAATCTCCAATTATATTAAAACAGTACTTTTGAATTTGTGATTTTATAATCAAAATGTCGTTAAAAGCATTTTAAAACTAGATTTCTTTGGTGATATAAGAACCAGTACTTACAAAATCAGCAGGGAGGTGAAGCTTATAGAGCTGTAAAATGGACTGAAGCAAACTGGACACCTGACTAGAGACCAGGACATCCTGGCCTAGTTTCATGTTGTCCGTCACTTTCCTCTGACTTGTAGCTACCTGCACACTCCATTTATCCGTGTCTGCGATAATACAGACAGCTTCAGCTATTGGCTCATCCAGGACTGGATGCTGAAAAAGAAACACAAAGGGATGGGTTTATTTATCCAGGTGAGTCCAAAAGGTCAAAGTTTCACTACTGATAAATACATTTAAATGTAAAATTCTTGACAGCCAGGCAGTTATGGATAGAGCAGATTTAACAACTGGTAAATTATGCCATAGGGTAAATAGGGTAAACACTGAAGCAGTCACAAGGACTTTTTTAAAGACCTAATTTCTCAAAACAAATCAAAGTGTAACTGCTTGGGAGGGATGGGTGGGGGAGGGGGAGGATAGAGAGAGCCAGAGACAGAGAGACCTGCCTCAAAGCCAATGCACATATGCACATTCTTCTAACCCTCATTTACCAAGGAAAATTAGTACTGGCTGCTTCCGTCCTTACTCCTTTCTACTATCCTGGGGTGACTGCTTGATTCTTTTGGCTGCTTAAATAACTTCCTCCAATAAATCCATCCGAATTTTCCTTTGAAGAATGATCTTTCTTAGACAAGGCCCGGTGAGACTGCAATCGGGTCCATCCTTCCTCTATCACAGTGTGTTTGTATGGCCCAAGCTATGCCAGCTGGATGCTCCTTCCCTGGGAATTCCTTGTTAGTACCAGCACAGAAGACCAAAAATGGTTGGCACCAGCATATTCCTGCCCAGACAGCAATTAGTACAAGGCCTGGTGGGACTTAGTACAAACACCTTCAAGTAGTCCATGGTTCCTGGAACTCCAGAATTGCCTTGTTGCCTATTTGAACCCTAATTCTTTTGACTTCTCATCAATTCTATACATTCCTAATATTCCTTCACTAAAGTCCCTCCTGTTTAAGTTAACAAGAGTTGCTAATTGCAACAAAGAACCCAAAGAGATATACAGCTTTGCCACTGGACCATGGTTACCTGTAATTTTTACGACTTAATCCAAGTAGTGGGAAGGCTGCAAATACAAATCAAAGATGCATGATGCAATACTGTAATTTTAACAGGTGATCTGACTCCCTAGTCTTGGACTCTGTCCTGTGCAGCTTTGTATTCCTTCTCACAAATGGGAAAGAGAGTGGTGAGATGAATGAAAACTTCGTGCGGACCAACATTTTTTCCTACTATTATCCAAGGGGGAATAGTAGGAAAAATAGTAGGAAAAACCCTGGTAATAGGGTTTATATTTTTCCCTATTATCAGGGTTTATAAAAATATAAGGGTTTAAAAAGATATAAACCCTATTATCAGGATTTATATTTTTCCCATTGAAAGGAACAGCAATCAGGCAAAGTCTGATGTTCAACATTTATTTGTCTGTTCAAATAATTTTAAACATGAGAGATAAAGAATTTGATAAAGTATATTTTTGAATTCATAAAGCCCAGTTTCCCAAGACAGTTCTCATTTTGTAGAATTGTTAACTGAAAAGTACAAAGATTTTCTTACACACATAATGACCCCATCACCATTTTCAACCAAAGGTTTTCATGACCCTTTCACCCCTACGCTTCTTACACATGCATATATACAGTCTCCAAAACGGACAACTAAAGATACAAGGCTTCAGTGACTTCTCTTTACAAGCTCCTCCAAGGTCTTGTTCATCCTGTGTTATAAATTTATATCAAGATGATGACGACTTGCCATCAATGAGTCTGGTCCTTATGGAAAAAAAAAAAAAAGGAAATTTGAACACTTCAAATATTTGTATTTTGAGCTCAAACTCCTTCACTGCTTTGCATTTGTCAGAAATCCACAACATGCTGGTCATGCCACGGGACAGATCTATATTAGAGACCTTTCTCTCATACTGACCATATGTCAACATAGAGACAATGAGTTGAACGTATGCCTGTCACCTTTCACAGTGAATTCTAGCTTTTGCAAAGGGCAAGGGGAGGAGGAGGATTGATTTGCAATAGGTAATTTGGACCCTAGGTTCAAATCGAACTTAGTCTTCTAAATGATCTTCCCACTGCAGTGGTAGGGAAGGGAAGAGTGTGTCAATCCCCAACAGTGCATAGACTATAAGTTATATAGTACCACTACCAACACAAAGTGCTTTGTTTTAAGCAACTAACTGCTGGAATAAGGGCCAAGAGGCATACTAGGAAGGTGATGGATGGAAGATTCTGCAAGCTTAGGTTATATCAGAAGGCTGTAGATTTACATGCAATAACAAAAAGGGACAGAGAGGTTGGCTCAATTATTTTAAAAGTAAGCATGCAAGAGAAATGTAAAACTAAAAAATACTAACATGAAAAATCAGCACAAGTCTTTGTATTTATTTATTTTTTAGAGACAGGGTCTTGCTTTTGCCCAGGCTGGAGTGCAGAAGTCTGATCACAGTTCATAGTAACCTCAAGCTCCTGAGCTCAAGTGATCCTCCTGCCTCAGCCTCCCAAGTAGCTGGACTACAGACATGTGCCACCACACCTGGCTAATTAAAAAAAACGTTTTTGTAGAGATGGGGTCTTGCTATGTTGCCCAGGCTGGTCTCAAACTCCTGGCCCCAAGTGCTCCTCCCACCTCTGCCTCCCAAAGAACTGGGATTATAGGTGTGAGCCACTACATTTGGCCTCCAAAGTTTCTTACTTTTTTTTTTTTTTTTTGAGACAGTCTTGTTCTGTTGCCCAGGAGTGATGTGGTGCAATCTCGGCTCACTGCAACACATGGCTCCTGCGTTCAAGCGATTCTCATGTCTCCTGGGTAGCTGGAATACAGGTGTGCACCATCACACCCACCTAATTTTTGTACTTTTGTTAGAGACAGGGTTTTGCTGTGTTGGCCAGGCTTGTCTCTAACTCCTGGCCTCAAGTGATCTGCCTGCCTTGACCTCTGAAAATGTTGGGATTATAGGCTCACAAGTCATTTTTAAATCACTGGAGCAAAGAGGCAGAATCTGAGGTAGAGACCTGAGTAAAGACGAAAGAACAATGAGTACACAGATTGAGACAAACTGACAAGAATTTGCGGGAGTCCATTCCTTGAAAGTGGGGCTGAATCTTCTCTCTGCATCCTTAGCCTCTAGCACAGGAGCTGGCATTTGAAAAATGTTACTTGCTGAATGAAAATGAGACAGATTAAGCACAAGCAAATGACAAGAGTCGATGAGCATCTTGTGTTCCTTACAGCATGGATTGCTGACTTTTATGCATGCAGGCCCCAGGAACAGAAAAGAACCAGCAGAACCTTTTCAAAAGAGAAAAAACTCCAAGAATTACATATTCTCAGGCTACTAAATACATAACACACAATTCCCTGAATCAATCCAATTGCCTCCATCTAACTATATCACTTAGTAGCTACTTACTTATTTACTAAAGAATAAACACCTTTTAAAGGAAGAACAAACTAGAGGGAAGTCTAAATATTCAAGAAAAGAAATGAATGCTGGAAAGAGATAAAAATATCATCAACTACTTTTAGTTACAATTCAAGGGCCACCGGGGCCACTGCTGGCCATCCCTGATCAGGCCTGAACTTGCACAGGGTCAGAGAGTTGAAGCTAAAGTTCTGGTGACTGGAGATTTCTGATCATCTTTCCAAAGGAAACTCAACCCCATTAGAGACTGGGCAGTGTAAACATATTATGATCTGGCTTATCAGTCAATCTCTAAGTTTTCAGAATTTAAAGAACTCTAAGATCTAGAAAACTATGTTTGGATTTGTCACAGAAATACATACCTGCACACTATGCCCTGGAATTCAATTTAACATTCCTCTTGGGTTTTTTTTTTTTTTTTTTTTTGAGACAGAGTCTCACTTTGTCACCCAGGCTGGAGTGCAGTAGTGCATTCTCGGCTCTCTACAACCTCCGCCTCCTGAGCTCAAGCAATTCTCCTGCCTCACCCTCCGGGTAGCTGGGATTACAGGCACCCACCACCACACCCAGCTAATTTTTTGTATTTTTAGTAGAGACGGGGTTTCACCATGTTGGCCAGGCTGGTCTCGAATTCTTGACCTCAAGTGATCCACCCACCTCGGCCTCCCAAAGTGCTGGGATTACAGGCGTGAGCCACCGTGCCTGGCTGGGAAGACTATTTTTTAGGCATCTATAGAACCACAATAAACAAACACTGAATTATATGTATGCTTCTTTATAATACTATTTCTTACTAGCCATACCTTAATAGTAGAAGTTAGTAAATAGTGAAATCTGTCAAGTAAGTTTTTTAAGTTCACAATTTTATCAAGTTCACATGCATAGCAGGTTTCATACATACACTTATTTGCAGTAACATACATGTAGCAATACTTTTAAGAAATTAAGTATTCTAAAAAATACGAACCTAAGATTGACTGATTTAAACACCTATGAAAAGCCTAATCCACTATCTGCTCTTCTTAGGACTTGGAGTTTGGGCATGGGAACTAAAGAAAAGGAATAGGAAGGTGGGGCATGCCTGTACCCCAACGCTGACAACTGAACCATGGTGAGCCTCACTTTGGCCTCCCATACACCTTAAGGAAAAGGGAGATATGCTATGGATACCTGTCAGTTTAGTAAGATTACTTGGTAAAATTTCTCTTCTTAATGCTAACATCTTTTTTCCCAAAGGGTTTTGTTACCTTGACTAAATATCTCTAGAAAAACAAACCAAAAAGCCTACGTTGTATAGTTACCTTTTTTAAAAGTTCTCCTGCAAACCATTATTGTCTCAGATTAATCAGGTCCTCATTTCAGAGTTCCAAATGAAAATCTGAGAGAAACACTAATATTAAATATAGTCATTCCACTTAAGATGCCTGTTTGAGAAACTTTACAAACCTTATGGATGCTGACATCAATTACCCTCTTTTCTCTCAAGCTAAGGAGAATCAATTTTGAAATACGTTTCCTGTCCAAATAATTTATCAAATTCTCCTATTAGAATGGATCTGCGATATGTTTGTACTTCCTCCATCAGCTGAGAAAAGCACTGCCCTATCGCCACCCTCCTGAGTGCCCACACCACACTGAGTGTCCAACGGCAGCCAGGGTATCAATGCAGAGCTGCCAGCCCGGCACCTTCCTGCCACCCTCTCCAGACCACTAACAGCAGGTTACATGCCTCCCACAGAAACTTAATTGGGTAACTCGGAAACTTCTGACAGGGACTTGCGGATAGAAGAACATGGGAGGTGAGTAAGGAGCTGCAGACAATTGTTAAGGTGGACAGCCAGTCTCCAGAAAGAAAGGAGGTAGAGGCCATATGCCATTATCATTTTCCCCTTGCTGCACTCATATGAGAAGTTAGAAACAATCATTTATTCATTTCTACCTTGTCAATATCTTGTTTACCCAAACTACTTTCCTGTGAAGATTTTTCAAGATAGAGTAACAAATGAAATACCTTGTTTTATAAATCTTTAGAAGATTATTGAGTTTTCTTTGCTATTACAGCTTGTTGAATCAACAGGATCAGCCTGGTTAATTTGTAGCCTCTAAGGATGGGTCCATTTCCTGGGAGTGTTAAATGCCTAGGACATTCCAATTTCAAGGTTTTAGGTCAGATTGCCGCACACACAAAATATGCTGCCTTGATTCATATACACATGACTTCTGCTTAACTTAAACTTCCACGAACAAGAAATTGTCTACAAGGTTTAGAGAATCGCAAGAGCTGTGGTTCTGATAATTCAACAAAGGGCAACAATAAGATGACAGCAAGGGCTCTGAAGTCAGATTGGGCTTGAATACAACCACCGTCACTTACCAGCTGTGGAACCTCAGCAACTCAATCTGGGCCTCAGTTGCTATGTCTGTAAAATGGGATAGTACTTAGTTCAGAGCTTCTGTGAGGCTTAAATGCCATTTAAAGCACAAGTTTTCTGTGAGAAAAATGTGTTGAAACGTGTAGCATAGAACCCAACACATTAGGTGCTCAAATGTTCGTCCTGCTGTCCTGAACCACCCTCTCTCTGTATTGACCATGTCCCCTGAAACCTCAGACTCAGGAGCTCACAAATAGTGCAACTGTGGACAACACTGCCCTAGTTTATGTACTTTACCTAAAACCTCAAACTTCTTAAAATACCACATGATCATTTCCTTCACCAACTCTAAAATCTACGCTAGCACACATCACCCAAACCATTAAGTTAAAACTGTTCTTTCTTCCACACTTACAGCTCTTCACAGCCTGGGCCCACCCAATCTGTACATATTCAGTTCCCAATAAGACCCCTGATATGGTTTGGCTCTGTGTCCCCACCCAAATCTCATCTCCAATTATAATCCCATGTCGAGGAAGGGGACAGGTAGGAGGAGTTTGGATCATGGGGCAATTTCCCCCATGCTATTCTCGTGATAGTGAGTTCTCACGAGAGCTGATTTTTTTATTTTTTTTGAGACAGAATCTCACTCTGTTGCCCAGGCTGGAGTGCAGTGGCACAATCTCGGCTCACTGCAACCTCTGCTTCCCAGGCTCAAGTGATTCTCGTGCCTCAGCCTCCCGAGTAGCTGGGACTACAGGCACACACCACCATGCCCAGCTAATTTTTGTATTTTTTTTTTTTTTTTTTTTAGCAGAGGTAGGGTTTTGCCATGTTGGCCAGGCTGGTCGCAAACTCCTGGCCTCAAGTGATCCGCCTGCCTCGGCCTCCCAAAGTGCTGGGATTACAGACATGAGCCTCTGTGGCTGGCCGAGAGCTGACGGTTTTAAAGTGTGGTACTTCCTCGCATACGCTTGCTCTCTCTCCTGTTGCCTTGTGAAGAAGGTACTTGCTTCTCCTTCACCTTCCGCCATGATTGTAAGTTTCCTGAGGCCTCCCCAGCCCTGCAGAACTGTGAGTCAATTAAACCTCTTTCCTTTATAAATTACCCAGTCTTGGGCAGTACTTTACAGTTGTGTGAAAGTGGGACTAGTACAGCCTCCTTCTCCAGGCCAAAAAGATTCCTGCTCTTACCTCAGGTTGTGCCCAGAATGCCTTCCCTGCCACCCCATCTCAAGTCCACAATCCCTCAAGGACCTGGCGTGAGTCCATCCCTCGCCCTGGAAACCTTCCCACATGCACTGCACTGCTCTTCCTTTGACCTCTGAGAATACTTGCTGTCCACACCATTCATTTTGGCACTTCATCACACACTGTCTTAACTTGTTCTTGATTTCACATGTTTGTCTACTCAGTGATTTTATAAGTAACTCAAGGAGATAAATCACATTTCTTTTTCTTCTGCAGCCTTTGAAAGGAACATAACACAGTGCTGGGCATGTGCAAAATATCTAATACATTCTAGCTGTGGTGAACAGTTTATTTTTGGATGCAACCCAGTTCCTATTAAGTAATCTGTGCATTTCTTATTTTCTGGCAATATTATACCTCCAATGCACCATAATTAATATATTTCTTTTCTATGTACCACATTTAAATGACTAGTATTTCACGTGATTATCTATTTTTAACCCAATGAAGAGTGAGGAAATGCCGTTCTTGCATATATGCTTCCCATAACTACTTATTAATTCATCATGCCATTTCTCCTGAAGGGGGGCAGGAACACAGTACTGCTCTACAGATAGGAACACTCAGGACAAAAAAAAAAAAAAAAAAAAGAGCTTATTAAGTATCTTGGCATGTAAGAAATAAAGTCTAGGAACTCACAAGTGTTTCCGACTTTTAGCCCAATGAGTCTCCCAAGCCCTCTACTATAAAATCCAAGGAAATCCCTTAGAAGACAAGAGTGCAAGAAGTGTGAATGATGGTCTGAATTTATTGTCATTAGGAGAAAACACAGCCACTTCTATCATGCATGTTGCTACAAGTTCCCCATCTTTATGCTGCTTGACACTGACCCTTTATCAATCTTCAGAGATGTCTCAGCCCACATGTGTATTACAGAGAGCAGGAGTGTGAAGACTTCTGTATTCATAACCAGATCTAAAATCTGCACAATAGTTATAACAGTGTGGGTTTAACTATCAGGGATAAGCCACTGGGAAGCCTCTTTAAAACACAAAGGGAGGCTGGGCGCGATGGCTCACGCCTGTAATCCCAGGCTTTTGGGAGGCTGAGGTGGGCGGATCACAAGGTCAGGAGATCGAGACCATCCTGGCTAACACGGTGAAACCCCGTCTCTACTAAAAATACAAAAAATTAGCCGGGCATAGTGGCGGGCGCCTGTAGTCCCAGCTACTCGGGAGGCTGAGGCAGGAGAATGGCGTGAACCCAGGAGGCGGAGCTTGCAGTGAGCCGAGACTGCGCCACTGCACTCCAGCCTGGACGACAGAGCCAGACTCCGTCTCAAAAAAACAAAAAAAACAAAAAACACACACACACACAAAGGGAACAGGCAACTTATGATTCAGGTAATTGGAAGCACTTCTCTCTATGTTTTTCTCTGAGATATTCTGGATAATAAAACACATGATTCTTTGGCTTCATTTTTTTTTTGTGTGTGTTAGCTTGATTTTATTTATTTATTTTATTTTTTTTGGGTGATAGCTTCTTGTAGTTTCTGATTTATTAATAAATGAGTAATATATAAATTTTTCTTTGCTTTTTTTTTTTAATTGATCATTCTTGGGTGTTTCTCACAGAGGGGGATTTGGCAGGGTCATAGGACAATAGTGGAGGGAAGGTCAGCAGATAAACAAGTGAACAAAGGTCTCTGGTTTTCCTAGGCAGAAGACCCTGCGGCCTTCCGCAGTATTTGTGTCCCTGGGTACTTGAGATTAGGGAGTGGTGATGACTCTTAAGGAGCATGCTGCCTTCAAGCATCTGTTTAACAAAGCACATCTTGCACCGCCCTTAATCCATTTAACCCTGAGTGGACACAGCACATGTTTCAGAGAGCACCCGGTTGGGGGTAAGGTCATAGATCAACAGCATCCCAAGGCAGAAGAATTTTTCTTAGTACAGAACAAAATGGAGTCTCCTATATCTACTTCTTTCTACACAGCCACAGCAACAATCTGATTTCTCTATCTTTTCTCCGCATTTCCCCCTTTTCTATTCGACAAAACCGCCATCGTCATCATGGCCCGTTCTCAATGAGCTGTTGGGTACACCTCCCAGACGGGGTGGCGGCCAGGCAGAGGGGCTCCTCACTCCCCAGAAGGGGCGGCCAGGCAGAGGCACCCCCCACCTCCCGGACGGGGTGGTGGCCGGGCGGAGGCGCCCCCCACCTCCCTCCCGGACGGGGCGGCTGGCCGGACGGGGGCTGCCCCTCACCTCCCTCCCAGATGGGGCAGCTGCCGGGCGGAGACGCTCCTCACTTCCCAGACGGGGTGGCTGCCAGGCGGAGGGGCTCCTCACTTCTCAGACGGGGCGGCTGCCGGGCGGAGGGGCTCCTCACTTCTCAGACGGGGCGGCTGCTGGGCGGAGGGGCTCCTCACTTCTCAGATGGGGCGGCTGCCGGGCAGAGGGGCTCCTCATTTCTCAGACGGGGCGGCCAGGCAGAGACGCTCCTCACCTCCCAGACAGGGTTGCGGTGGGGCAGAGGCACTCCCCACATCTCAGACAATGGGCGGCCGGGCAGAGACTGGGCAGAGACACTCCTCACTTCCTAGACTGGATGGCGGCCGGGAAGAGGCGCTCCTCACTTCCCAGACTGGGCAGCCAGGCAGAGGGGCTCCTCACATCCCAGACGATGGGCGGCCAGGCAGAGACGCTCCTCACTTCCCAGACGGGGTGGCGGCCAGGCAGAGGCTGCAATCTCGGCACTTTGGGAGGCCAAGGCAGGCGGCTGGGAGGTGGAGGTTGTAGCGAGCCGAGATCACGCCACTGCACTCCAGCCTGGGCAACATTGAGCACTGAGTGAACGAGACTCCGTCTGCAATCCCAGCACCTCGGGAGGCCGAGGCTGGCAGATCACTCGCGGTTAGGAGCTGGAGACCAGCCCGGCCAACACAGTGAAACCCCGTCTCCACCAAAAAAATACGAAAACCAGTCAGGCGTGGCGGCACGCGCCTGCAATCACAGGCACTTGGCAGGCTGAGGCAGGAGAATCAGGCAGGGAGCTTGCAGTGAGCGGAGATGGCAGCAGTACAGTCCAGCTTCGGCTCAGCATCAGAGGGAGACCGTGGAAAGAGAGGGAGAGGGAGACCGTGGAAAGAGAGGGAGAGGGAGACCGTGGAAAGAGAGGGAGAGGGAGACCGTGGAAAGAGAGAGAGAGGGAGAGGGAGACCGTGGAAAGAGAGGGAGAGGGAGACCGTGGAAAGAGAGGGAGAGGGAGACGAGACGGTGGAAAGAGAGAGGGAGGGAGACCGTGGAAAGAGAGGGAGAGGGAGAACGTGGAAAGAGAGGGAGAGGGAGACCGTGGAAAGAGAGGGAGAGGGAGACCGTGGAAAGAGAGGGAGAGGGAGACCGTGGAGGGAGACGGAGAGGGAGAGGGAGAGTCTTTGGCTTCATTTGAACTCCCATTTGTTATTCATTTTATATAATTCTGGTAAGTTTAATACATTTATTAAACTGTACTTTAATAAGAGGATGCTACATGACAAAATACCTTTCCACAATAATTCTCCTTATGTTACAGCACCATGACTTAATATTAGCTTTTATGTAGCTGTAAGAAAGGCCTTTAGTCAGTCATGCAAAGAGCTCATGATGAATGTGATGACAGTCACCTTCTCAGCACTACTCTTAAAGGTCCTCAGATCCCCTTTGGTATTCCTCTGCCTCCTCAGAGGAGAAGACCCACCTATATAACTGCATCCTCCATAGCCTTGGAACTGAAGATTCAGACCATACAAGGTCGTCCTTGGCCAACACACCCCACTAGGATGACTGAGAGCCACTAAAAGGACTGCAGAGGTGTGTGAATTGTAGACCAGTTTTTAAAAAAATAAAAACAAACCAAAAAACCCCTTCAGTCTCAAATCCATCCAGAGAAAAGAAATCTGGTTATCACTCATTATTCTTAAACCATCTCCTCCAATATATAAAGTCAGCTAGAATTTTTTTTATTATTATTATACTTTAAGTTCTAAGGTACATGTGCACAACGTGCAGGTTTGTTACATATGTATACATGTGCCATGTCGGTGTGCTGCACCCATTAACTCGTCATTTACATTAGGTATATCTCCTAATGCTATCCCTCCCCACTCCCCCCACTCCACCACAGGTCCCAGTGTGTGATGCTCCCCCTCCTGTGTCCATGTGTTCTCATTGTTCAATTCCCACCTATGAGTGAGCATGCGGTGTTTGGTTTTCTGTCCTTGCGATAGTTTGCTGAGAATGATGGTTTCCAGCTTCATCCATGTCCCTACAAAGGACATGAACTCATCATTTTTTATGGCTGCATTGTATTCCGTAGTGTATATGTGCCACATTTTCTTAATCCAGTCTATTATTGATGGGCATTTGGGTTGGTTCCAAGTCTTTGCTATTGTGAATAGTGCCACAATAAACATACGTGTGCATGTGTCTTTATAGCAGCATGATTTATAATCCTTTGGGTATATGCCCAGTAATGCGATGGCTGGGTCAAATGGTATTTCTAGTTCTAGATCCTTGAGGAATCGCCACACTGTCTTCCACAATGGTTGAACTAGTTTACAGTCCCACCAACAGTGTAAAAGTGTTCCTATTTCTCCACATCCTCTCCAGCACCTGTTGTTTCCTGACTTTTTAATTATTGCCATTCTAACTGGTGTGAGATGGTATCTCACTGTAGTTTTGATTTGCATTTCTCTGATGGCCAGTGATGGTGAGCATTTTTTCATGTGTCTGTTGGCTGCATAAATGTCTTCTTTTGTGAAGTGTCTGTTCATATCCTTTGCCCACTTTTTGATGGGGTTGTTAGCTTTTTTCTTGTAAATCTGTTTAAGTTCTTTGTAGATTTGGATATTAGCCCTTTGTCAGATGGGTAGATTGCAAAAATTTTCTCCCATTCTGTAGGTTGCCTGTTCACTCTGATGGTAGTTTCTTTTGCCATGCAGAAGCTCTTTAATTAGATCCCATGTTGAGTAGACATTCCTGACAGCAGTTTTACTGAAAGAGGGGACAGACAGACCTCCTGTTGGTGGCAAAGCCAGCTCTGAGATATGCTGAAGGGGTCATCAGCGAAAGGGGCTTCAGTTCCCTGAAAAAGCCATACTATGCCCTGCACTCTTCCCTGCTTCTCATCCTCACTCTGCTACTGACCCTAGCTGAGTCCTCACCACAGCCGCCTTGTGCGCACGTTCTCAGCACCCTGGCCTCCTGCTGCCACACACTTGACCACACTATTTTCACTGCTGACTTATTTCTATTTCCTGTTAGATCGCAAACTCCCTGAGGACAGATGCCATGTCTTCTTCTCTCTAGCTACTTCTAAGAGTTTTCTTTATCTTTGATGTCCAGTTGTTAAGTGTGAATTTGTTAATATTCTCCCTACTTGGGAGTCAGTGTGCTTACTTAACCTGAAAAATGCCAGCCATTCTTTCTTTGAATATTACTTTCCCTCATTTTCTCTATTCTCTTTCTGCATATGCTATAAAGTCTCTTCACTCTGGCCACCACATCTTTTACTTGCTCTTTGATATTTTTCATGTCTTTTTGTCTCAGAGCTCAAAAACATAATTTCTTAAGTAGCCTCCATTTCAAATTCTAATTATCTTTAGCTGTATTTAATCTGCTCTGTTCTTTAACCTATACCTGGAGTTTTAATTTCAGGGACTATTTTTCAATTTTAGAAGTTGTTTTTAGTTCTTACATGAATCTAAATGATCATTTATCACATTATCCTCTCTTTTTTTTAAGGTTCCAATTCCTTCTTTTTATCACCGTAAACACTTTAAACATGGCTACTTTAATAGTTATTGCCAACTGGAGGAGTGCTGATTCTCCTGCTTGTATGCGCTTGCCCTCCACTCATGATGATTTCCTGGTTTCCCACATATGTTTGTAATTTCTGAACGTGGGCCTATCTTACTGGAGCTATGTTTCATTTTCCTATATGCGTCTCATAAGCTTGTGGTTGTAGAAGTGTCTAAAGTAGTGTGCTTCCTTCTGCCAGAGTCCTAAAGGTTTCTATGCTTCTGGTTTTATGTTTATTTCTTGGGTAGGGATTCGCAAATCACTCGGGTAGAATAAATCTGGACCTGAAACCCACAAATAGCACAGACAGGGGGTTTTGATTTCTCATGGGTGACTTTATTTTCCCTAACCTGTTTCCAGCCTGTTTCTTTGCTGCTTCACTGCTTATGTCTGGTGATTTCTAGTCTCCTTTTCATGGAAGAATAGTTCTTTGAAGCTCCAGACTTTAGGTAAGGGGCTTGATTCCAGGTCTCAAGCCTTACATGCACACAAGACCACAGTCTTTCATCCTCGGGTGAATCTGAGAACTCAGCACCCAATTCCTAGGACCTGTATCAAGACTGAAATCCTGGAGGACCAGCTCATGCTTACTGCTTTGGTTTAGATTTCCATTTATCTCTGGCACAAAAGGATTTCCATTTTTTTTCATGACAGGAATTATAACAATGGGGCAGCAGTGAGGATGGTGATATTTTATCCATCACTATATAGTTTTAGAGGGGAGGCATGCCATCCACACCAGTTTAGTACATGTTGCTGGAATCCTCCTACCTCAGATCTTTTTTTTGGCTGGTCGGTGGGTGAGGGGGGGTGGGGGAGGAGACGGGGTCTCACTCTTTCACCCAGGCTGGAGTGCAGTGGCTCCATCATAGCTTACTGCAGCTTCGACCTCCAGAGCTCAAATCATTCTCCCACCTCAGCCTCCTGAGTAGCTGGGACCCTGGGCACACAGCCATCACGCCCCTGCTAATTCTACTTCAGATTTTGACTACTGCTATAAACACAGTACCAAGCACATAAAAGATACCTGATAAGTATTTTTCAACTGATAAATCTCTCAGGTGTGACTCTCCCCACTCTAACCCAAAAGCATCTCTGCCCCATCAGGTGACACGAGTTATCTCGACCACCTGAAGTGCCACCACTGGAGATTTCTAGTGCATCAAACATATTTTTAACACATGAAAATACCAGAAGGGGTAACAATCACATATGGCCTTATCATAACTCTAAAAGCATTTGCTTATCAGAAATTTTTCTCTTGGAAACAGGTTTAATGTCAGTCACTAAAGGCTTAAGAGTTGTACTAAGGTAAACAAGAGGAAGAGGAAAATTAATCATTTTGGACCTTGGGACATTGCTAAGGGATCCTTGTAGGTATACATGAAGACAGTATGAAGACTTAGGGGTAGAGGGAAAGAAGAAAGGGTTCAAAGTGTGGCAAGATGGTCTGGAGGGGTTCCGGGAAAATGTCTGATCTTCTGTGTATCTGTGCCTGTGCTCACCTGATTAGGGCCCAAATTCAATCCGTGGCCTTGAAGATACCGTACATAACTTCTGGAATGGCTGCACTTTCAGGCTGGCCACTTGCTGAGTAAAATTCAGTCGGAAGTTGAGAAGAGGTGCTCAAGGTCAGAAAGGGTATCAGAATCAAGTTACATGATGAGATATGGAACTCCAAAATAAAATGAGAGAGGGTTGGTAGCTTTTTTGCAGAGAATGGCACAGATGTTCAAATATCTTGTAGGTAGTAAAACATTTTGGGAAAAACATCAAAATTAGACATGTGTCTAACTCTGACACGATGCAAGAGACATGAAGCCCAAGAGACCTATAATAAGCTTTTATTTTCCTTTAGGTAACGACAATGAACACACAGAGCTGCAGGCATGTCTAAACATCTTACTCTTCCCCTTTAAGTTTCTTTAAAGAAAGATCATCTCCCATCTCTCTTTACTTCAGAAGAAAGGGCCACACTAAAGTAATAGACACACATGACTCTAACCCCAGTTTTATGGGGAAGAGTCAACTAACGTTAGTGAGCACTTTCTATGTGCCAGGCACCAGGCAAGGTGCTGGGAATATAAGGAAAATAAAGTCCCTGCTTTCTGCTTCAAGGCACCTGAAGCCCTAGTAGAGGAACACATCTGGAACAGAACAGGGATATGGGGCCTGGAATGATTTTGAAGAAGAGGCAACATATGAAATGGGTCTTCAAAAATGTAAAAAAGTTTGTTCAATAGTGTCCTAGGCAAAGAAAGCATAATCTGATAGGCAGAGAGGTGTGAGGAAAGGTGGACTATTTAAAGAATGGCAAACAGTGTTACTGGGGCATAAGAGGAGATACAGGGGTATGTGTGTATATTTGAAGGACATAAAAGGGGCAATTCCAGCTATGGAGTTTACAGTTTAGTCTCTTAGAAAATAGGAAGCTATTCAAGCAAAAGAGTAAATGATTGTCTCATGCTTTAGAAAGTCCTCTTGCAGCACTGCACAAGGCGGTGGAAGTGGGTAAAGTGGACACAGGGATGCCATTTGGGAAGATCAAAAGGAACTTTAAAAAGACTAGTCACATTGAGAAGGCGAGAGAATCACAATGATTTCAGATTGGAGTTGGGGATACCCAGAGATCAGTATTTTTTTTAACCACAATCCATGATAAGAAATACATTTTAACATCATGACCTGGCATACATGCTTATATGACATAACCTGGCATGACATGCCATATGCATACAAGTGTGACATGTGTGCACATGTGTATAAATACACACACACATAATACAAAGGTTTCACTAATCAATAAGAAGCCTAATGTGTGATGATTTTAGTTCTATATCATTAAAAAAACTGGTAATCAAAACCCATTTATAGGTCAAAATATGTAGTTTTAAAAGTGCTCCATAGGCCAGTGGACATAGGTAGTGTTGTATTGAGGGCTGTGGCTATAGAAGACAGTGCTAGAGGCCTGAGGCACTGCCATGTTTATTATCCAAACATGGGGAAAAGAAAACAACGAGAGATGTTCCAAAATAGTGGATTTGTCCTACATAGATGTTTTCTTTGTATCCTATTGATTTTAAGGTTGTTGCTGACCTGAGGTATTTAATGTTATCTGTGTTACTTAAGTAATGATTTACCATTTGAAGGGACTTGCTGTTCTTTTATAGTCCTACAGGTTGATTGCACTGCATGGACTAATTAGGTATTCATGAGCATATATATATATATATATATATATATCACAGCCAGGCTTTTAGCAAAGCTCTTTATCTGTGCTACTGATTCCTGCATGATATTTCTGGAGTCAATCTGTTGCTACGCTTAAAATTAAATGGAAGAGGCTGCTGTATCCAATGGTTACTTCATCTTATAAATTATTCTGTAAAATGCTTGAAGCCCTGGAGCATAGTTGTTTTTTAAAAAACATCAAAACGTAGTGTTAATTTTGGTCTTGATGACCCTGCCCTGCAGAGTTAGAGCTGTCCAGTCTGCTCCTGGGCAAAGCAAAAGTGAATGCTTTTAGCACTCAATGAATGTGTGTACAGGTTCTGTTCAATCATTCCCAACAGTAGTCCCCTGGGATTGACAAGGCCATTGACTAGTTAGGAGAACTTTAAGTACATACGCATATAGCTTTCTTTTCTCTTTCTTTTCTTTTTTTTTTTTTTTGAGACAGTCTCGCTCTATTGCTCAGGCTGGAGTGCAGTGGCATGATCTCAGCGCACTGCAACCTCTCTGCCTCCCGAGTTCAAGCAATTCTCCTGCCTCAGCCTCCCAAGTAGCTGGGACTACAGGCACCCGCTGCCACACCTGGCAACTTTTTTTTTTTTTTGTATTTTAGTAGAGACGGGGTTTCACTGTGTTCCCCAGGCTGGTCGCAAACTCCTGAGCTCAGGCAATCAGCCCACCTCGGCCTCCCAAAGTGCTGGGATCACAGGCATGAGCCACCGTGCCTGGCCCATATATAGCTTTCTTATCTCTGACAGTAATTTTCATTTTTACGAAAATAATGGTTGTCATTCTGCTCTCCCATATTAAAAACATGATATATTGCTGTATCATTTACAAAGCACTTTTACATATATTATTATTATTATTTACTGAGATGAGGTCTTGCTCTGTTACCCAGGCTGGAGTGCAGTGGCAATGATCACAGCTCACTGAAGCATTGAACATTTGGCTTAAGCAAGCCTTCTGCCTCAGTCTCCTGAGTAGCTGGGACTACAGGCATGTGCCACCATGCCTAGCTATTTTTTTTTTTTTGCTAGAGATGGGATTTTGCTATATTGCCCAGGGTGATCTCAAAGGATCCTCCCAAAGCTCTGGCATTACAGGGGTGAGCTATCACATTTGGCCCACATTTATTGGGCACTTAACAATGTGCCTGGCAAAGTGCTAACCACTTGATATGCATTATCTCACAGAATCTTCAGACCAAACCTATGATGTAAGTACTGTTCACAGTATAGATAAGAAAATTAAAGAAACTTGCCCAAGGCCACAAAGCCACTAAGGGGTGAACCATGATTCAAACTTAGGTTTGTCTGTCTTCAGAAGTTAACTTCCTAACCACTGAATCATATTTCATCTGTTCCACTAAATACATTTTTCTGGGGCTTAGCAATGCCAGTTTATTTACCTAAGATTATCAACAAACGAGTGGTAATACCAGGACTCAAACTCAAGCCATCAACACTAAGTCAGTGAGATCTTCATCACCTTACACTGCCCCACAATAACCCCAACAGTAACCCTGTATACAGTCAGCTGTATTCACAGGCCAGACACAAGAGGAAAAAGGAGAGGGAAAAGGCTACTCAGGAGTCACAGGCATAGAATGCTGCTGGCGCATACGCCTGCTCTCTTTCCATTTAAAGTCAAAAGGAAAACAGAGGAAAGAATGCACAAGATGTGGCAAGAAAAAAACTGAAACCGTATTACTTTACACTAATTTAAGGCAGCTGTATAACCTATATATTAGGAGGCAGAGAGAGTTCAAATGACAGAAAAGAGGTAGTATATGGACTAAACAAGAATACGTGTTTAAATATTTAAAGAACTTCTGAATCTTGATATGTGAAAGTCAGTAATAAAAATGAAAATTGATGAAGTAGTTACTATATCTTTCTTTCATAAGAGACTAGGATAAGAAAAGTACAAAAAAATTCTTAACATTGGAAGCATTACAAAGCAATCTCTCAATGAGAGAAAAACTCCAAACTAGCAGTTATAAAAGTGTACATTTAGAGCCAGGTACAGTGGCCTGTGCCTATAATCCTGTCTACTTGGGAGAATGAGGCAGGATCACATGAGCCCAGTTCAAGTCCAGCCTGGGCAATACAGGAAGATCCCACCTCAAAAAAAACAAAAACAAAAACAAAAACAAAACAAAACAAAAAAAACCACCACATTTAATTTACATAAGACAGATTATTAAATCCAAATTGTGCACAGGTCTAGAAAAGAGATCAATAACTGGAATCAATTGCTTTTAAACAGTTAAAAATCCTTCTCTAAAAAGAATTATGAGTACCAAAGCCTGCTGAAATCTAGCATGAGCACTGAAATTAATGTTCAAAAAATAGGTTTGTTTTTTCTTTTTTTTTTTTTAACGCTATTTTATTTTTGAGATGAAGTCTTGCTATGTTGCCCAAGCTGGTCTTGAACTCCTGAGCTCACGTGATCTACCCACCTTGGCCTCTCAAAGTGCTGGGATTACAGGCGTGAGCCACTGTGCCCAACTTAAAAAACAGGTTTTGAAAGCAAGTTTGATAAAGCAATTTATTACAATTTTCTCTTCTTCAACAAGCTATTATTTCAGCTCTAACTCTGGTCATATACTTGTTTTTGGATCTCTGCTTCTTTTTCTGGCAACATATTCAAGAATTTAAATATTCACTAGGCTTTATGGAGCAGTAAATTCGGAATAATGTTTAAACAAATACTCCTAAAATATTTTTCAACAAATGTTTGTAAATGGATGTTGAAAGTAAGCCTGTTTTTTAAAAAAAAAAAAAAAAACACTACCATAGACCAGAGCGCCAGTTTAAACAGAACACTACTTCAAAAGCAAAATTCATTATGATGAATGTGTCAAGTGAAATTAGAAATCCACTAATGCTAATTGGATATATTCTGAATGTATTAAACTTCTGAAGATATTTTTATGAACCCTTTGGAATTTCCTATTAACACCCACGCATGGCTGCACTTTGGATGTACCCACAATTTGACACAATATAGGTTATTATGCTTAATAACTTTCGATCTCTCAGGGTGATTGCATAAAGAAATGAGAAAAGCTACAGTGTGAAAACACTCCTTCTAAAAGGAAGGGAAAATGAAATACGAAAAAGCTTGAAGAGTAATGACAGAGTAAACATGGTTGTGTTTTTTCAAATAAAAGAATTATAGAGCC
Organism: Homo sapiens; assembly: GCF_000001405.40. Classification (NCBI taxonomy): domain Eukaryota; kingdom Metazoa; phylum Chordata; class Mammalia; order Primates; family Hominidae; genus Homo; species Homo sapiens. The sequence continues at coordinate 158,872,337 of NC_000004.12, read as the reverse complement.
AGAGGGTCACCATGAAAATCTAACACACAAAAATGAGAACTTGCCAGCCTATGGAAACATAAAATATTTCATGAATGGTTTTACAGATAAGTTCAAGGAGGGTTATCAATCAATAGATTGCATTTCCAGAGTGGTCAGTGAGTAAATCCAGGGCATTCAAACAAAGTCCCCAGCTGGTAAAACTGATGTCACTGAGGACAATCCCATTAGTTCCCCTGTAGTCTCTTGGTACCTCTGTCAGAAGCAGCTCACTGGGCTTCATGGAAGGAAGGTCCAATAACCAACACCAATATTGTTAGAAATCAAAATGATAGCAGAGCAGAAAAAAAAAAACAACTCACAGTTTGGCATGTGTGAATATAAACAATAGGAGCGGACAGAAAAGGTGCCTTAATGTTATAGGCAGTTACTAAACACACATAAATACAGCCTGTGAAATTGCCAAAGCATCAGACATCGTTTTGGACAACTTAGCATTATACAATGAGGGCATTTTTCTTACAGGGGTCATTGATGCATGGACTCATGAAATGATAAATGACTATATGGTGTTCATAACTATAAAGAGAAATTATGATATTAAATAATTATGATATTATAGGGACAAAAGCAACTTCATAGTTTCATCCCAGGAGTATCCTGGTGAGGGGTGGCATGTGACCACAAAGCAGGGGTGGGGTTAGGAACGTTTGGCCACACACGTGTACACTGGGCTGGCTTTCCCCAGCTTCTGATGGCCCTATCCTCATCTCTTAGCCCTCCCCATTGAGGGAGGTTATGTTGACATCTGCTTCACTACTGAGTTTTTTTCCCACTTCACATAAATATACTTAGCCTGTTTAGCCTGTGCCTGATGTTTGGTCTTCACAGAGGAGATGCTCAAGGCCAAAGATAACATGCAATGCCTTTTGTTCCACCTCAAAAAAAAAAATACTTGTTGGCCAAGGAGGTAGGTAACAGGCCAAATTCTGATTTTCTTAATGCGATGAGGACTTTCCCTATTGCACAAGATACAAAATGTTTCTAATACAAAATGTCTATTTTTGCACATCTGCCCAATAACAGCTCAGTTAAAAACAGGCCCATCAGATTGACAGTTTCCTTAACTGCTTAGTTCCTGTTGCCCTGCAGATAGCAGAAAAGCACTTAATAGCAGCCACGAGGCAATTTTTTCAGTGAGACTTATTAATCTTTATACAGTCATCCTCATGCAGCCATCAAAGTGAACTTAATGACAAATCAGTTAAAATAAATTACTTTTAGGAACTTGTTTAAGCATCAGATAAAAAACAAACCACATGTGACACCTCTTCGGTCCTCACCGTGACGGCATATAATTGTCACCATCTGTGCTGTTTATTCCATTTGCCCAGCCTATCTGCTAACCCACCACCCCCAGAGCAGCTCCTTGCCCTTCTGTGTTCTGTTCTGGGCCCCAGGAGGCTGACCTCTATGCACCACAAGGCTGTGTGTCTGCATCAGCTGTGCCCCTGCTCTCTGGCTTTCAGCCGGGCTCAGCCAATGAGAGGCACCAGAAAGAGACCAGAGAATGGGAGGAGGGATGGCAGGAAGTCACCCCCTCCTCACTGCTCCTGCAGCCAGGCCGCCCCTCGTCCTGGCTTAGGTTCTCCAGGGCTCTGATGTCACGCACCCTCCCCTTACTCTGTCAGGCCCAGGTGTGCTTTCTAGCTTCCAGCTGCTGCTAGGCCCCAGGTGCCTCACTAGCCCTAGCTGGTTCCCATAACCCTGCCCACATCTCCATAAACAACCCCTTAACTAGTCTCTCTTCAGTCTAAACACCTGTTGTCAGCCAAGACCTTGACTGACACACTGTCAGCAGCCAGAGGCTCCACACTGGGATCACTTACATGGACTGTGTGGACAAGGTCGGCCACCAGGCACTGCTTCAGCTTCTCATCACTGCCGGTCCCATGAAGCACAAGATCAGGCATGTATGTGGGGCAGTAGCCCGCCAGAAGTGAGCGGCCAAAGTTCCTTACATTCTGGGTGCTGATGCTCTGAGACCTAAAACAACATGTGGCCCATTAAAATGCACAGCTAAAAATGTACTTTTTTCTTTCATTATAATTGGTACAAGCACTCCAATGATACAGGTAAATAAAATAGATTCAGGGTGGTCCATGTCACCAACCCTCAAGTAAGTGGATCACAGGTGGGAGAAAAGGGAGTTTTTTAAAGTGGAAGGCTGGAAGAAAAAAAAACTATCCATGGCTAGTTATGAGTTTGTTTTTGTACCTCATATTGGACATCCACCAGGCAGTCTGTGTCAAAATACTGACCAAAGAAAATGTTTCAGGAAGGGCTCTTGCCAAAAGCCTGGCTTTAGGAATCTGACATATCTGCACAGAGTGGTGCCCACGACAGTGCGGAAGAACAGAAGAAATTTCTAATTACTGCTTTCAGTCATTACAGACCAAATAATCAACCTGATGGAGTGTTAAGAAAGAGGTGTTGTTTCCCAACCACCTCACGCTGCTCTGATCGGCAGGAGAGAGGCCACACGGCGAGTGTAATCCACCACCTCTGAAGCAAGGCATCTGCTGCCAGCCACGGACCTTCTCTGCAGTTGACAGAAAATTAAACTCCCTATTCCCTCCCCCATCTCCACCACATCCCTTAGGCTTCCCCAAAGGATCACGATAGCTGCAAAGACAACCACTGGCCACCTGTCCCAGTGAGCTCAGTGGTGCTAAGCCAGTGACCATCCTTGGAAGAAGGACAGGTGGGAAACCGTTTGTATAGAATTAATAATACTTCTAGTACTTTGTGGAAAAAAAGATACTGTGTGTAAAGCAGACAATAGTAGTGGCTAACAACATCACAGGTGTCAGGCCAGGAAAGTGGGATTTGAACCCAGTTCCCTCTACTTCCCAGCCTGCTGGAGTTACCTTGGCAGAGGCAGCTCCACTTCCAAGGACCCTCCAGTCCTGTCACCACCGTGACCCAGATCTAGCATGGCTGAAGCGCAGGCTTCGTCGTCACTGTCTCCCAGGGCGCTATCTGAGCTTTCATTTCGGGGAATGTCTCCTTCAGTCCTGAAGTTGGCCTTCTTGTTGTCATCCCCACAGGGGATATTCGCACCAGCCACGAGGCCAGGGCCCCGCTGGACACACCTGGGGGCAACAGGCTCCAGCACAGGTCCTTCCGCAGCCTTCACATACAAACCTCTAGTGGCCTCCAGCCTCCTCCCTCCCGTTCCTCCTGCACCGTGGGAGGCTGTGCCCAAGTCAGCAGCGTGGCTGAGCTGCCCAGCAATATCTGCTGCCATGTCGTTTCTGCTGCCTCTGTCCTCTGCAAAACCCTTGTCAGACTCGCCTTCATCCCCCTCTGAAAGCCGATTCTGAGGACAGCAAACATTCTCCTGAAAGCCAGGTTTAAAAGGGCTCCTAGAAACCTGCGGGTCCTGAGCCACATCAGCAGCCTCACTGGCCTCCAAGGAGGGGCCACAGGCCTTCACCCGTTCCTCCATTTTTTTCATGCGGCTTTCAAAGTCAGACTCTGGAGATGCAAAGCTTCCAATCTGGAAAGTGACCTTTTCTAAGGAAGGTTTCTCCCGGAGATGTCTGTCAGGGCAAGGCCAGGCCACTGACCGGTCTGGCAGTCTTGTAGGCATCTCCACTTTCAACAGCTCACAGACAGCTTGCTGGTCCATCTTCATTCCTGCCCCCAAAACTTCACAGCTGGGAAGTCTTGAAGAGCCATCTTGCGGTGCCTCTTTATTTTTCTCATCCCCACAAAATGCATTCTGAGGTTTCCAGGAAGCGTCTGATGCTGGCCCCAGGCACCCTGCGCTGCAAGCCTCAGAACCCTGCTCTGGCCTCCTGTTAGCTTCTTTGTCAGGTTTAAGACCCAGGTCTCTACTGTCAGTGCCCTCTGGGCACTCAGGAAACCCTGTCGGCCAGGGGTTGTGTCTCTCTGCTGCTGTTGGTGGTAGGATGGGGGGTACAAGAGCGGGCTCGTTCCTCACCGTAATGACCACATACTCAGACTCCTCCACCTCTCCTTTCTCCAAGGCTGTTATGATCTTGCTCCCATTTAAAACTTGGTCACCTTCACCATGATTGCCACTCCAGGTCAGCTGGTTCTCTTGTAGCTCAGAGCAACGGAGAAAGTAGGTCAGGACATAAAGTATTCGCTGGACTAAGTCCTTCTGCTTCCCTACCACTACGGTGCGAGTCAGTCTCACTGGAGAGCCTATGGCTCCGTAAAGATCACCTAGAGAGCAAAGGTGGACACAAAGGCAGTGGTCTCTGGGGTTAGCATGTCACAGATATATCCGTCTTTACAAGAGCAAAACAGATAACTTATATTCCCAATCTGGAGTCCCTGCTTCAGACTCATGATTTCTACTCTCTAGTAAGGACCACGTTTTAGTTTTGCCACTGTAAGTGAGTCAGTCTGGACACAGGCTGTGGCCCACCACCCCTGGTGTGTGGGAGTCGTGCTGCTGTGCCCACAGCCCCTCCCATTGCCTGCTGGGTCTTCCCTGCAGCTCAGTGGGTCAGCCAATGAGATGGCCCAAAGAAGGCTAAAGCCAGAGCTCTGAATATGTGACCAGATCTAATACTATATCTTGGAAACTAGAATAATAAGAATTTGTTGGAAGAATCCCAGGACATTGGGCCTTGGGATAAAATCCAAATTTAGGAATTTCTCAACAGAAGTGCAGTGAATTAATTCAAAATACTTAATGAGGTGGTCTACACAGAATTATCTTAATACGCATACACACACCAAGTAGAATCAGCTTGATTAACAAGAAGAAAATCACTTAGTCATGAATGAGTCTGAAGGTTTTATTTCATTTCGCTTGAAAATTCAACTGGGCCAGGCGCAGTGGCTTATGCCTGTAATATCAGCACTTTGGGAGGCTGAGGCAGGCAATCACCTTAGGTCAAGAGTTTGAGAGCAGCCTGGCCAACATGGCAAAACCCCGTCTCTACCCAAAATACAAAAATTAGGCGAGCGTGCTGGTGTGCACCTGTAGTCCCAGCTACTTGAGAGGTCAAGGCAGGAGAATTGCTTGAACCTGGAAGCCAGAGGTTGCAGTGAGCTGAGATGGCACCACTGCACTCCAGCCTGGGCAACAGCATGAGACTCTGTCTCAGAAAAAAACAGAAAAGAAAATTCAACTGGAAAAAAGTATGTCCCATTAGTTATATATCCTGACAAGTTGATTAAAAACTGACTAATGTACTGTGAGCTCTACAGTCAGCTTAAGGAGGAGACAATAAGGGCAAATGTGTCATCCAACCACCCAGCAATAAGCTTTTCATCAAAAGTACTTCAGTGCCTAACTATTAAAACTACTGCATTTGATAATTTGATTATTACATTTTATAATAAGTTACACATTTGATAAGAAGATGGACAATTATAATAAAGAACCTATGTTTACTAACTGGACAGGCACTGTGTTAAGACCCTAAAGATGTATCTCAGCTGGGTGCGGTGGCTCATGCCTGTAATCCCAGCCCTTTGGGAGGCTGAGGCAGGTGGATGACCTGAGGTCAGGAGTTTGAGACCAGCCTGGCCAACATGCTGAAACCCTGTCTCTGCCAAAAATACAAAAAATTAGCCAGGTGTGGTGGCAGACACCTGTAATCCCAGCTACTAGGAAGGCTGAGGCAGGAGAATAACTTGAACCCGGGAGGCAGACATTGCAGAGAGCCAAGGTGTCGCCACCGCACTCCAGCCTGGGCTACAAGAGCAAAACTCCATCTCATAAAAAAAGATGTGTCTCATTGTATCTTTGTATAATCAAACTGGAGTTAGAAACCCATTAAAGAATAATCAGAGGGCTGGGCACGGTGGCTCACACCTGTAATTCCAGCACTTTGGGAGGCCGAGGTGGGCGGATCACTTGAGGTCAGGAGTTCGAGACCAGCCTGGCCAACAGGGTGAAACCCCGTCTCTACCCAAAATACAAAAATTAGCCAGGCGTGGTGGCAGACACCTGTAACCTAGCTACTCGGGAGGCTGAGGCAGGAGAATCGCTTGAGCCCGGGAGGCAGAGGTTGCAGTGAGCCGAGATCACGCCACCGCACTCCAGCCTGGGTGACAGAGCAAGACTCTGTCTCAAAAAAAAAAAAAAAGAATAACCAGAATATTGGAACAAATCAAAAGCTGAAAAGATACTAAATAAAGGAGAACTGATACATGGTAATCAGTACAAATCAGAATGTAGGAAGTTAGAAACCCTCTGAGGAATGCATCTAGAGAGGAGGGAAAGCAGTTATAAGGGCATATACTAGATAAAACTAATTAAAATAGATGAGTATGGGAAAAAAGTTATGAGAACCATCGGAAAGTACCTCCCCCTGGGACCCATTAAGAAATACCTCCTTCTGCGAGTATTCCCTTGTGTACGGTTCCTAAGAACATTCAAATGGCAAGACATAAATAATAATAAACAATCCTCTCTATAAAATGACTAGATTATAGGCTGATAGAGCTTTAACTGAGAGGCGTTTGCAAGTGACTGAGAAATCAGCCTAGAATTCAAGAGAGTAACTCAGAATTGTAGGCTGAAGCTAGGACTTTTGTTTGAGAAAACCTTTCTAAGAGCTCATTACTGTTAACACTTTGATTACATCTGCCTATTGCCGCAGGATATCAACAGTCATTTCAGGAATTCATGAAATATTTTTTGTTAAATCAGTTTCAATATTAATAAAGAAGAAGCATTACTTATCCAAAATCTGGTATAACAAACTACAGGGGAAAGACCACTTAGAATATTATTTTTTAGCAATGCATTTGAGTATTGTATATTTTAATAACTAAGGAACAAATGGAAATGGTAAAACAAGGAAGGTTATTAAAAATACAATTTATAATCATTTAAACTATATAAAATAATGAGTGCAATGTGAGTGGAACCAGTGCTATTACATTATAGCCAAACTTCATAAAATAAAGCATTTTTAAAACAGTAGACCCATAATATTAAATATTTACTGGAAGTTCAATTTTTTTTTGAGTCTTGGATAATTGAAGCTAATTTTTAGAATAGATTTGTTTTCATGAATATAATTTTTTAAAATGTAGAAATTGCACAACAATGTGAATGTACTTAACATGACTGAACTGTACACTTAGAAATGGTTAAGATAATAAATGTTGTTATATGCTTTTTACCTCAATTAAAAATAAAAATTTAAAAGAGAGGCAAATGGGGAAAAAGCAGAAGAAAAAGTGAAGGAGTCAAGCGTGCTTCCAAGTGAAATAGGCCAAAGACAGAGTGCATGGAAGCAGGAAAGGTGCTGGACAAAGTAGGAGAAGAGGTCACAGGAAAGGAGGACACAGAAAGGAATGGTGGCAAATGGGGACACAGAGTGGAGACTCAGGGAGGGAGAGACGGAGAGAGCAGAGGAACAGACAGAAGAAACTTAGGAAGAAAGAGGGAAGAATAGAGAGAAGGGAAAGCAGAAAGAAAAAAGATGGGATGTTAGAGAGGTGCAAAATGATAGAGAACTGGGGTGAAGCCAAAAGAGGATGGAGAAGGAGAGGAGATAACAGCCAGGAGGGTAAAACATGTAGAGAAAAAGAAAACAAAGAGGGAGGAAGAGGGAGAAGAAAGGAAAGAACTGTTGAGGGGAACAATAGTGAAAAGTTGGAAACTAGAAAGAGGAGAGGAAAGAATGAGGTGGAGAAGCTGAGAGAATTTAGAAGCCCTGTAAAGGAAGCATGGTGAAAGAAAGGGGGTTAGAGAGGTAGGGGACTATATAGACAGAAACAAAAATAAACCAGGAGAAGCTGAGAGAGAACAAAAATAAGGAGACGAGAAGAGAGTTTAGTATCTTAAAGGCACACTTATTCCTGATCACATTCTAATAACGTCTATGTTGTAGAATTCCCCTTTCAACAGTGTCTCCTTATACCCTACACAGTTTAACTTATTGCATCTTTATTATCATTATTTCAAATGTTTTCTAATTTCTTTTGTGCAATTTGTTTGGCTTGTGGGTTATTTAAATGTGGTTGTCAGCTGGGTATGGTGGCTGACACCTGTAATCCCAGCATTTTGGGAGGCAGAGGCAGTTGGATCGCTTGAGCCCAGTTCAAGACCAGCGACCAGCCTGCAAAACATGGCAAAACTCTGCCTTTACAAAAATTAGCTGGGCATGGTGACGCACATCTGTAGTCCCAGCCACCAGGGAGGCTGAGGTGGAAGGATCACTTGAGCCTGGGTGGTTGGGGCTGTGGTGAACCTTGATTGTACCACTGAACTCCAGCCTGGGTGACAGAGCGAGACTCTGTCTCAAAAACAACAACAACAACAAAAATACATGGTTTGATTTCTGAGAAAGTGAGAACTAAAAAAAAATTGATTTGTAGTCTAATTCCACTGTGTTTTGAAAAATACAATGTAAACTTCTGAGAAAAAAATTTCACACATTTTAACTTATATTAAATCAGTGGTCCAAATCTCTTTTGGGTAGAAAAGCTCCTTTTCATTTCTACAAACCCTTAAGATCATTAGGTCAAAAAGAGACCTATATGGAACTACTTCAGTCAGTGGTGTAGACAGTGGCATTTAAACTTTGTATACCTATGCCAAGAAAGAAATACATTTTATACTGCAACCTCAATGCATCTTTTGGAACAGACATTTTACAAAATATACATGTAAATCACTGATATTTTCTATTCTATTATACCAATTAAATGCTTTTTAATTAAACCCACTAAATTGCTTCTGCAGCCCACTAATGGGTGGCGATCACATTGTACACAGGGAAGTGGCTGGGCAGAAGCAAGGATCACCGAGCTCCTGAGCAGCAAACCCGTGAAAGTGGCATCCGGCTTCCCTCCCTCTTCCCTGGTAGTGCTGAGCAGCCATGGAGGGGGAACGCACAGTGGCACCTGTCCTGGAAAGCTCTCAGAGGAGTCTTTGGAATGATTCCAGATAGTCTTCTCTATACTTAGGAACCTGGATTGAAATTTTATCTCCATCATTGTGTATTCCCAGCAGTTTCTATTTTCATGTTTACTGTGACTTGCTAAATACTGAATGAAAACAATAAAATGCAAAGCAAGTGCTTCTACCTGTCAAATTATTGAAGGCCCCCGACTTCTTTGTAATAATGGAAACTCGGCCATCACTTACACTTGGCTTTACAAAGCTATCACAGGCCTTCGCCGACCAGGGCCTCGTCCTCGTCCCCTCCTCACACTCCTCTTGTCAATAGCCAGACCCCTGATGGATTGTTTGGGGGAAGGGAGGACTGAAGACTTTCAACAATACATGATCTCCCCTGAAAGATGAGGATTGTGAACCCACAGGAAAAAACTCTTCGTTATTATGCTGAACATAGGGAATTAATGGCTCTCAGTTATGTTTCAAATAAGAAGCACACCTAATTATGAATACATTTATCTAACTAAATGCACACTACTTAATTAGCATTGTTTTAAAATGGGTGATCCAGCAGCATGGAATACAATGTTTCCTTAATATCCAGCCCCCTTTCCTTCTCCACTTAATGAGACTAAGTTTTTTTCAAGACTATTATTATTCCATAACAAAACAACCATGTTCTGTCTTCCCCAGGAAAAACTTCCCGTATGACCAAGAATGAGTTAGGCATGTTCTGAGTAATGATCAAATCAGGGCAATTAGCATATCCATCACCCCAAACTTTTATCATTTCTTTGTGTTGGGAACATTTGAAACCTCTCTTCTAGCTTTCTCTGAAAATAAGCTATTCTTAACTATCGTAATCCAGTGCTAAAGAACACTAGACTTTATTCCTCCTATCCAGTTGTAATTTTATATTTGTTAACTAGCCTCTCTCCATATCTCCCCTTCCTTAATTCCATTTAAATATCCACAAATTCTTTAATTGATTTAGAACACGCCTTTTACCCCCTAACCATGAGGGAGCTTGTATTCATTTATACATCTCACGACCAAGAGCACAAGGACAAGACAACATCTGTATTGTTACAAAATGAGGCTGAGAGTAATAAGGGTAGGGATGAGAATCTAATGACTATGTGTAAAACCAGGGCTTGGCTCACAGTGTCAGCTTTCATTATTGTTATTATAGCATGCTGCTTTCCAGGATGAGGTGCTTTTCTGTGGATATTTTTGATTGTTACAACTTGGGGCGGGAGGTGGGAGGGGCAGTTCTACTGGCATCTAGTAAATGGAGGCCAAGGATGCCACTCAATATCCATTAATGCGTAAGAGAGCTCTTCCCACACCCCACAACAACTCAACCAACAAAGAATTACCTGGTCAACAGTGCTGAGGTTAAGAAATCCTGCTCTAGGGTGAACAGCCACTGTGGAATGGGAGAACACAGTTGGCTTATACTGCTTTAAGAGTGTAGCACAAAGCTGCCAGTAGGGGAAAAAAGAGAGGAAGGTCGTGGGTCTACAATTAGAATCCAGGGACCAACTTCCTATTCCTCATCTGCCCAAAGACAACCTATGAATTACTGGGTGAGAGAGCCGGTATAAACTACAAATTCTAGCATTTTTTTCCTATTCCATCCCATATATTCTCTGAATAGTCAAATTAGGTACTAACCCAGCTGTGCCCAAAGAGGATTATACGGATGTGTTTTGGCCAGCATGTTCACTGACTGGGAGGTACGTTTCTCTGAGAAGGCTTTGATGGGAGGGTGATCCACAGGCATGACAGTTGGGACCCAGGCCAGGTGGTAGGTTAACACCGCAGTCAGTAAGGCAGCAAAAAACCTTGGAGAAATGGAAAAAGATACAACCAACTTAGTCAATACAGAAAGAGGCACATCCTATGCAGTACACACATTGGCCATGAGATTTGCATACAAGTCTCCAGAGAGTTGAAGCTTACTGGTTTTTATTTATCTGTTCTATCAGAAGTGTAAACTCCTTGAGAAAGCGCTGGCAGAGCTGGTTTTTTTCCAAAGTGCCGGACATCATAGTAAGCCATACAGGTTCAGCTATCCTTGGAACAGAATATAAGTTCCAGATAGTTCCTCTATAGAACAGAAAGAGAGGGAAACACAAAAGTGTCAGAAATACTATTTTGGATAATCTTGGTGTAAAAGAATAAAGGAGAAAACAACTTGAATCTATGTAGTCCTTAAAAGATTCAAGCTCCACACATAACAGGGGTTGCACACTATGGCCCACGGGCCAAATCTGACTGCCACCTTTTTTTGTAAATAAAAAGTTTTACTGGGTCACAGCCGTGCTCATTTATTTACTTATTTATTGTCTATGGCTGCTTCTGTGGGACAACGGCTAAGTTCAGTTGCTACTACAGAGACTCTACAGAAACTGAAAGTACAGAACTAGAAAGCCTCACTTTCAGCTTCTTGACCTTTGAAAAATAGACACCTCATTAAAGTAGGACCCAGATTCTCAGCCGGGCGTGGTGGCTCATACCTGTAATCCCAGCACTTTGGGAGGCCAAGGTGGTGGATTACAAGGTCAAGAGATAGAGAACATTCTGGCCAATATGGTGAAACCCCGTCTCTACTAAAAATACAAAAATTAGCTGGGCATGGTGGCGCGCGCCTGTAAACCCAGCTACTCGGGAGGCTGAGGCAGGAGAATCGCTTGAACCCAGGAGGTGAAGGTTGCAGCGAGCCGAGATCGCACCACTGCACTCCATCCTGGTGACAGAGCGAGACTCAGTCTAAAAAAAAAAAAAAAAAAAAAAGTGGGACCCAGATTCTCAAGCGCAAGCCAGTGAGCGTCCAGTCTGACCACAGCAGAGCAACAGGCAAATCTCCAGTGCTTTCCCAAAAACTATGGAAGGTTTACTAATCATCAGACTGCCATCAAAGAGCACAACTTTATGTCATTCTCAAATATATGACTTAAGTCTTAGCAATCACCAGATAATAAGTAACATGTTACTTGAGTACTTTAACACATAATCCACAGTAAAAAAAAGGCTTGCGATTTTGCTCCAGGTAGCATTACTGAGTTCATCAGCATATACTTTAAGCATCATAAAAGTGTTCTAACATTCAAAGGATTATAAATTTTTTTTTTATCCTTCCTCTATGGAATAACAGTTTGACTCATTCGCTCATGACTGCTTTGGAGTGGGATTCCATTCCCTATCAAGAAAGTGGCTCTAAATGGTGCAACAATCCCAACTCAGCATGATCAGAGAGGATCCCACCTGCTACCCAACACAATTTACCTTTCCACACAGATACTAGGAGCAAGGACTCTAGACACCAGTTTCCAGAGGACACTTGGTGTAAACTAGGACTGTCCTGGCAAACTGGAATGTATGTCTTCCCGACATGCATAACCTCTCCATCTGTGCTTTGAATAAGCATCCCTGAACTCAAGTTTCCACATCTGTAAAATGGGGTTAGTAGTGCTTAGGGCTTTTGTGAGGCTGACATAAGATAATGAATAGACTGGTGAGAGATACCTGAACATTAGTTTTCCCCATTCATCCTGTTAAAAACAATCCTATCAGGGACTGTCGGTTGAGCAATAGTGAGGATTACTCAGCGGTAAATTATTTAAATTTTTTGCTTCATTTGTTCTGTTTCCATCTTGAAGGGCGGAACCACAAAAGTGAGGAATAACTGCCAGGCCCCCAATTCTTCCAAGTCACAGTTTATCTTTATCCATGGCTGCTCATAAACATCTCCTGTTGGATTTGCCAAACTTTGCCACTTTACCTGAATTCTCCCAGAGCTTCCATCAAACGGCTGACATAAAACTGGACTCGGAGACTTGATTCTGCTATTTTCCTACAGGAGATCATAGCCTTTATTGAAGAGAAAGCAAGTCAAATTACTGAGAAGAAATTTTATAACTTATCTACTGGGCTGTATTAATAAAAAAAATTATGTAATCAATTAACAACACTCAAGGTAATAATGCCTTCAGTCACGAAAAAGCAGTCATTTCCTTCCCTAAGGTAACCCAGTATCTGGTAACTAACATCAACATGCCTAAAATTTATCACTGCTACAGGTGATTTAACTTCCTTAGGAAAGACATCTGATACATCGGCAAAGAAATTCTGCCATCTTCAAAGCCCCACAATCACTTCTCTATTTGACTTTGGATTACATCCTTATTACCTTTTCAATTGCACTCTTCAGCCTGTTCATGTGAGATTCAAACAGGGGAAAATGAGAAAAGAAGAAGTCCTGGAAATTCCTTTGTGCTTCTTCTTTCTCACATAGGGAAAAGATGATGCTTATGGCAATTTTCTTCCTCCTAACCATAGCTGGATTAGAGCTACAGGTTTCTTCAGCCAAGCTGAATGTCTCATCAGTTGACCTGGAGGGAAATATAAGTTTGAAAAGTTGCCATGCATCAGTGAGTCACACTGAAGGTCAACTGTAATGACTGGGGATGACACCCAGAACATTCAGTCATAACTAAGAGTATCTCTGCCTTTAGTTCATTCTTTTCTATAATTCCCTGGCATGAAGATGAGAACATCAGCTTGCCTGCCACACGGTATTATCCTAACATGGAAAGAAGCTCAAATGAAAGCTACAAGTAATTTAAATTTCCCGTTGTTACTCTTGTCCTTTTCCTTTGAATCGTTTTATGTCAAATTGATGATATTTAGGAAGGAATGTGAAATATCTGTTTATCCAAAACATAGTCAGATACCAATAGATAAGACATCAAAAGAGGAATGATACTACGTGGTATTCTATTGAACAAGAGTAAACATTTGAACATGTACTGGTACTTCCAGGATTACTTTCCCAGGGCTATTAAAACTACTAGATCAAGTAACTCTTCTAAATGCTCAGATTAAGCCATATGATTAAGCTCTCTGAAAATCCTCCAAGCAGAAACACTTACCTCTCTTCTGCTACAGTAAAATTTTCAAAAAACCTGATTCTTTTGAGAGACTCGGCTTCTATGATGACAGCCACGAAGCCCAAAACTTCTAAATATATATTTAATTTGTCTTGTGGGGTAAGCCTCACAAAAATGGCCTAACCATGTCTCTTACTTAACTACTGTGAAAAGCCAGTGTAGCTACCAAATAGCTACTAACAGCAAGAGTACAAATAAAATAGTTTTTTCCTACAAAAACACCAACACAAAGGACCTAACATTGCAAATGAGAGCCCTAGACTGGCGATACATTTTCTCTTTCTAACTCCATCATCTAGTCTCCTATCTCTGCCAAATATAGAAAGGAACTGCTTCCTCCATTTTCTTTACTATAAATTACAACATAACAATTACTCATGCTGGGCAGAATATGAGAATTAGCCTTCTGCCCCCTGGTCTTCAACTTATTTACTTAGGGCTCTACTCATAGCTTGTATGATTTCAAATAAACCTAGATTTTATTATTAAACATACATATGCCAAAAGTGTTATGGTCAGGAAAGCTATTAAATTAATTAATTAATTTTGGGGGGACAGGGTCTCACTCTGTCACCCACGCTGGGGTGCAGTGGTGTGATCATGGCTCACTGCAGCCTCAATTTCCCAGGCTCAAGCGATCCTCCCACCTAAGCCTCCCAAGTAGCTGGGACTACAGGCACATGCCACCATGCCCGGATACATTTTTTTTTTTTTTTTTGGTAGAGATGGAGTCTCCCTACATTGTCCAAGCTGGTCTTGAACTCCTGGGCTCAAGTGATCCTTCCACCTCAGTGTCCCAAAGTGCTGGGATTACAGCCGTGAGCCACTGCACCTGGCTATTTTATTTTTAAAGGAAAGGAGATAGACATCTTATTCTAACCTCATTATGTGTTACTATTTCCCTTAACTTCAAGCAAGATCCTGGAGATGTAGGTATGGTTGGTAAATCAGTAAAAGGTTTTCACTCCAGATGTTACTGATGGCACATGGTGCTGTTATAAATGCTACACATTACAATAAACCATCAATTGCTTTCCCTGGGAAATTCCCGGATTCTAATCATCAGAGAAAATTCTTGAGGTTTCCTTAGAACTTCACACAATTTCATACAATGTTCTCTCTTCTTTACCAAGGTACTGGCACTAAAGCCTTGTTTTCTTGCACTACAGTAGTTGATTTCTGTTCTGTATAGGAAATTCTTCTGAGTTTATATTACAATAAGGCTTGCTTGCAATCCTTTCCACTTTGTCTGTCATCTTACATTTCCCTTCTTTTTCAAAAGTAAAATGACTGTATCAGTCCACTCATCTTTAGGCCAGCTTGACCTTTAATAATCAAATTATAATAAACACTGAACCCAATACAGTTTCTCATCAACATCTCCACCCTATAAACAATAGCCAATGCTCTCATCAGTTTTAATGTAGGAGAGAGTGCCACCTGCTGAAATTTCTGAAAAACTTCCATAGCTATAATAGAGTGGAGAACTTACTTGCTTCACCATAACCCTCCACTGAATTCTAAATCAACTGAGTTTCATTCTGTAGTCTTGCATCAACCATGCAACGTGGAATAAATCAGGTCACGTAGTATCTTACTTATAATTTAGAAATTATTCTACAAAAAATGATGTTTAAGAATGTTTTCAAAAATTTAAGTGTGTGTCCCAGTACTTCATCAGTACTTTATCTCCATGTCACCAGAGAAGGTACACAGGCTGTACTGCAAATGTGGAAACTGAGGCAGAGTTCTACCTCAACTTTCCTCAGGAACAGAAAGGTTCTTAGTAACAATGCTGGAGTTAGAACCCAGGATTCCTATCTTCTAGTCTAGGCTCATGACTTGGATACTGGCAATGACCAGGGATTCTGACCCCATGCCTAATCTGTCTGCTGGTGCTCATGCTAGTCAATGCATCATGCCACGCAGAGCACTGAGGAAAGGAGCTGGAAGCAGTCTGATCAACCGACAGCCCTGAGAGTCAAGGAAAGGCTGCAGCTACATACAATTTTTTTCCTAATAAAGAAATCAAATAGAATTTTGTTAACACTTATCGATAATCATTTATATACATTGTAAGTACTTCAAGATCATAAATAATTAAAGCAAAAATGGCTATTTAAGTACATCTCAATAATCTATCACTGGTATCAGGACTCCTTAGTCTAATTGTTATTTATGTCAGTTTTGAACTTATACTGAACCTATGTATTACATTGGACTATATGAAATTAATGTTTTGTAGGTCAAAGAACATCCCATCAGCAACTTTATAAAGTTGGTCCAATTTAATAAGTCAAATCAAAAGGCTTCCTGGGACATTACACCTTGCTCTTTAGGGTTTCAATTGCCTCGGTAAGTGATGGAATCCTTGAGGTTAGCTGTTAGATGCCCAAGCCCCATTCCCCATCCAGTAATCAAAGCCTACCACTTGGCACAGCAGGGGGCTCTGAGGTCAGCGTGGAGCCAACTGTTAAGAATTGTGAATACTGAAAACATTCATTCTATTTTATAGAATAAAGTGTTGCCCGATTCTAACAAAAAACAGAAACTGTGACTATCATCCCTGCTACCTTTAACTCTCTTAGGAAGGACATTTTTAATTACCATGAATTTTCTGTCAAAGCCAGAAGCAATCATAGTGTTTGGTACCCACTATTCTCCTGTCTCTAGCATAAAAAACTAATTTTCCCAACCACATATCTGCCAAAAGGGAGAGATCAACTACAAATCCTTTAAATGAAGGGATCTTAGGCCGGGTGCAGTGGCTCACGCCTGTAATCCCAGCACTTTGGGAGGCCGAGGTGGGAGGATCACGAGGTCAAGAGATCGAGACCATCCTGGCCAACATGGTGAAACTCCGTCTCTACTAAAAATACAAAAATTAGCTGGGCATGGTGGCACACGCCTGTAATCCCAGGTACTCAGGAGGCTGAGGCAGGGGAACCGCTTGAACCCGGGAAGCAGAGGTTGCAGTGAGCTGAGATTGCACCATTGCACTCCAGCCTGGTGACAGAGTGAGATTCCCGTCTCAAAAAAAAAGGGATCTTCACGGGCACAGTAATCAATTCAAAACGTCTGCCACACTCATGTTCTCGGTGTTCAGCAGTACTCTATTAAGGGCTGGCTGCATGGGCATGCGACCCCACACGCACAGCGTCCCCCCTCTCACAAGGGCCCCAGGCTTCATTTAATGTTCTGTGATTACCATTTTGAATTTTAAATAATTTTATCTTTGGACTTTTGTGCTGTAAGTGAAGTTTAATGGGACAATGAAGCATGTGTTCGGATGAAGTCTAATGAGACAATGAAGCTCAGAAAAGGATACCCCAAAGTATGACACTTTGGTATGCTGAGTACTTTGAACTGAAGGACAGGGGCTCAAAAGCAAGACCTTGCTTTTCTGACCTTATTCTGCCCTTCCTTCTCCTACTCCTCTTTCTCCCCAAAGGCATAGAAACTAAGATTCCTGTTCCCCAAGGTAAATCAAAAAAACATGAGCCTCTTTTTTCCCCAAAGCTAACTGTAAAACCTATTATAGAAATACTATTCTAACTTTCTCCCACCTTTGTAAGTGCTGGTCACAAATAATTTCTCTGACCTACCTTGCCTGAAAATAGATCATAAGACCCTCCCATTTCGGAGGGGTCTTACCCTCTACCTGGGAGGAAGGAATGCCATACAGAGAGGTCAAAAAGAATTCCGACAAGACAGGTCCTGCTGGGTTTTCCTGCTTAAGTCTATTACCATTAGATCATATTTCTTTGTCCAATCACATTTCTACATGGCAGTCCATTCTGTGTTGAACTTAAGCATAAAAATACAGTTTTCCTTGGGTCCCTCAATCTTCATGTCTGAAGGCTCCATGTCATGTGAAACTTTGACTAAATAAAATTGTTATGTTTCTCTCTTGTTAACCTGTATTTGTTACAGGAGCCATGACCCTTATGATGGGGAGGGCACGGATGAACTCAGAACCCAGGGCTTGCAGCCCAGACACCGAGCAACTGGCCCGGCAGTCAGGCACATACCCATAAGCCTGGGGCAGGACACGGTGTTAGAAGACTCTAAAGCGGCACTGCCAGGTCTTGGACCCACACTAATGGCTGTGACTGTGGTGACAACAGAAGCTGCAGTAGCCATGGTTGTGGGTGATAGGGGAGAGGAGAGAGGAGGGACTCTGGTAGCTCCAGGAACCAGGGTGGGAGGCCAGTTTGCCCATCAGTCACCGGAGCCTGTCCCTATAGAGTCTGCACAGATATTTAACTCTATGACCTGAGCACCAGGACAGTAAATTATCACAAAGTAAAAGCCTACATGGGGACATTGCAATAAAGAATATCAGGGAGTTATTATAATTCTGCAGAGAGTTTAGTCTCTGTTTTTGAAAACTGCTGCAACACTGCAAAGTAAATATTCATAGGCATAGAAATAGAAATTGAATGTAAAGATTGTTATACTGGACAAAAAAATACACTGTTTTCATATGAAGCTTCAGATGAACAAATTATTAAAGAGGAAGGCCATTTTAAAATTAATTTTTCCTTGTAATTGAGGACACAGTGATAGAATGCATAAACAGGCTTTTTGAATTATATATAACTCATGAGAACATTTTTAGTTTCTTGTAAGATCTCCACAAGTTACAGGAAATGTCAGAAGAAATATTAAAATAAGCTTGTATAAATTTACATCTAAAATTAAATTCAGACTTACTCAAAATGGATTTGTGTGAAGAATTAAATCTTTTAAAAAACTGTTTAACAAGAATCATCTGATCCAGATGTACTAAAATTTACATCTTGAAAGTTTATCAAAAATTTATCCATAACCATCATTCTGAGCAAACTATCGCAAGGACAGAAAACCAAACACCGCATGTTCTCACTCATAGGTGGGCACTGAACAATGTCCCCACTTGGACACAGGGTGGGGAACATCACACACCGGCGCCTGTCGTGGGGTAGGGGGATGGGGGAGGGATAGCATTAGGAGATATACCTAATGTAAATGACAAGTTAATGGGTGCAGCACACCAACATGGCACATGTATACATATGTAACAAACCTGCACGTTGTGCACATGTACCTTAGAACTTAAAGTATAATAATAATAAAAAAAATTTATCCAGATGTTGTCATAGTCCATAAAGCTATGTAAGACTGCATCAGCAGAAAGATCCTTCTCCAAGTAAAAAATTATCAAAAATTATTTGCCACCTTGCATTTGCCAGGAGTGACTATCACTTTCAATTATATCCACTGAAAGCCAAGTTGCTAAAACTATAAACTTTGATGACTAAACAAATGTATTTGCAGAAAAGGCTTACAACACAAGATATCACATAATGATATTATAATATAAAATTATGACATCAAAAATATTATGTTTGGAATTTATTAGTTTATATTATTATTCATCTATCACTATCATCTCTATTATATCTTACATATAAAGTATTCTTAAAGAAAAACTTTTTTTCTTTTTAGTCCCTTTAATAACTCTTTTCTTGTTTTTTGGGTAAGAGGACCACATTTTTATTTTGCACTGGCCCATAAACTAGGTAGCCAGCCTTGACCATATTCACAACCTTTCTGAATGTAAGATACTTATTTTAGGTGTATTATTTCAACTTTGGATTTAAACCTGAAGGGATAAAAAAACATTTTCAGAAAAGAAATGTTGAAAGAGGATGGTTTCCAAGACCTATCTCTTCCAATCACAGAAGCTGTCATAATGACAGTGAGGATGGTGGCGATGCCGTCTCCTGACAGTTGCAGTAATGGTAATGACAATGACAGCAATAATAATAGTAAATAATTCACATTGGCCACATTTTATTGCCCATATCCTATGTCTTGGCTAAACACCGGACTTGATTTATCTCATTTAACCCTCCCAGCCACACTCGGAAGCTGTGCTAGTATTATTATCATATTGCAGATGACGATGCAACACTCAGAATCCAGGTTAACTTATTCTATCAGACATCTAGTGAGTGACAGAGCTAGGACTTGTGTTCACACAAAATTCCAAGCTTTTAATCATCTCATTCAAAGTCCACCAACCAAAAAGCAGCTTCTTGATGGGTGACAAAGCTATAATTTTTTCTTTCCAGCTAGCTCCCTAGGATTGTGAAAGGAACAGAAGCGAGGCAAGCCACCTGACATGTGCTGCTCACACATCCTGACCCCTCAGTTTCTCAGCTTGTCCCTGCAGTGTCATCTCTTCCAGGAAGGGCTCCCTAATTCCCCCCATGACCATCACTGTATTTTCTCCATCCTGAGTCTCATGGCACTTTATGTCTCCCTGTGATATTTATCATGTACCATCTTGTAAACTATCCAAGTACAGGCACATAGCTGAACTGTCTTATACCTTCACGGATCTCTACGTATGTTGAGTACTAGTCAATTTACTAAATCAGTTAATTGACATGTGAATTTTTATAGGTACATATAAAAATTCCACTTCAAGTATTTGGATTGTAGGAAGAACAAGTTGGAAGCTATGAATGTAACATCAAATGTACATTTTGCACACAAAACCAGCTGAAATAAAGACAGAAAATACCTAGATGCCATCTCTATTTAAAATCATGTTCATATCTGTTTAGTTGAAGAATTTACATTTTACAAAGAGAATATATCACAAACCCTTGACTTCATATATTTTTGAATACCACACTGGTATCACTGTAGCCAAGGAAGAGATTGATCCACCCTTCATTACTTATACAAGCTACATCTGGAAGGGACTCATTTTAAAGAGAGCACACCATTTTAAATGAACACCCAATCTAGCTCAACATGATACAACTACCCAGATACTCCCCAGTGTCTTCCAAAGGAGGAGATTTTAAAATTTCAGCTTTTATTTATTCTTCCCTTTAGAACTTCCAATTTGTAAACTTTCAGGCTCAGCTGAAGCTAATAAAAAAGTTTTGGTTTTTTTTCCACTGACAATAGGCACGAACAGCCTCCCTGCCAGTTTCATCAAGCTGCCTACACTCCTACTTTTCTCAGCAAGAGGAAACTTGCAACTCACCTTCTTGGGATGATGCCATTTTCCAAACTTGTTGTCTGACTTCGAAGCCAGCGGCGCTGGTAACTGCTGGAAGAAGATGTAGAGGAGCTTGGAGATGGGAAAGGTGTGATCAAAAGACTGCTTAGTGAGGCTGTAGGAAGAATTTGGAATTTGAAAGTTGAGGTCAATTAGTCCTCATGTAGCTACATAATGCACAACATTAAGAATGTATTTAATATCACTGAACTCTACATTTATTATGTATTTAATATCACTAAACTGTACACTTCGCCACTAAAAAAATGACAAAACCCGCAATTACCTTTGCACCAACCTAATAAAATGGTTGAGATGGTAAATTTCATATTATATGTATTTTAATACAATCCAAAAATTGGAAAAAAAATATCTATGCCAAGTAATCTAAAATTTCAGGTTCTACCAGTCATATCCAGCAGGGGGAGACTATAATTTCTCTCTTCCTAAGATTTCTGAACAGCAAAGAAAACATCCTTTAAAAAGGAACACAAATTAAACGAAATAAGAGTCACAGATGTAGCAAGTGCACAAATTAGCAGGCCCATATTACAAATGCAAAATAATCATTGCTCAGACTGTAGATTGCAGATTTCTACTAAAATGGTCCACACAACATAACTATATTGCCACCAGGTAACTAATGCCATACATAATGCTTACTTTACACATATTTCCTCCTTAGTAATCCTTCACTCTATACTTTGAGGTAAAATTAGGCAAATAAGTTTTTTCCCCATCTAGTATCCTGTCTCCCAAACTTCATCTCCATATATACAATACTTATCCTCCTTCCCTCCAGCCCCCACTGCTACTCTGTTGTCTGTGAAAAAGAAACCTCTACTCTCCAATATGCTTTCTGCTTGGATTACTTATTTGCCTCTGAACCTTTCTCTGCTTCCTCCTGCTACATATTAGATGCCTACACCTGTGTCTCAGGAAGTATGAGCTGACAGTGCCATCCCAGACTTTTCTAACAGGCAGGGAGGAGGGACTAGTCCCTCTCAGGTAGGCAAAGGGTTTCTTTCAAGTCAAGCTGCTTGATGAACATCTACTGGTTTGAAAGAATGGAAGAAAACAGACTTGTTCTGCTTTTACTTCCCTAAGGCTAAGGAATTAGACATTGAAATGTCACTCAGTCCAGTGGAAAATAAAATAGGGTGCTACAGATGGCCAGTCAACATTTTCTGAAACAAATCACAGGGCAAAGGAAATTGATTTTGGTAAATACAGTATACTATGCTCATGAATATCACTTGATAAAGCAGTGTCTCCACATGAACTATTACATTTATACTTTTGTAGGCAAATGTAAATAACCTGACTTCCCGACCTGAGCTCTTAAATACTACAGGAGTTACTTTGCTATCAACTAATAAGTAATGCCAGGTGTGGTAGGCAACTGGGGTAAGTGGTGGACAAGTCTATAATAGTATCAATGAACATGATGACTCAAGTTTCTTTCCAAAGCAGAGGTCTCTGAGATGCTTTTCCTTTTATCTAGCTGATATTCACAGAAAATTTGTTTGGTAGGTCTTAATCATCTTTGCATCCATTGTACCCATAACGGTGCCTTGACCACAGTAGGCAATTAGCAAATGCTTCCTGAACGTATGGCACTTTTTTTTTTTTTTAACCAAACTGTTACATGTGGCTGGCCCCAGTAAGCTGACCTGGTTGCCATCTTGAGACCAGACTTAAATCCCCAAAACCAAATCCACATTTCAAGTATCAGTGAACAGGTAATTTTTCTGAGAATTTTGAAAGGAGTTAGAAGAGAGCTTTTCCTTGGAGTCACACAAAATTACTTAATAAAACATCCTAATTAGACGTTTCTGTCCTGCCCCCTAGTTCCTAAAGTCCCCTACAGAATCCAGAAGCCCCCTCCCACATCTCTAGGGTCCTGCCTCTCTCCTTCCCTTATGCTGAGCAAATCAACTTCTGGCAGGCAGAGAACAAGGTTGACAGATGGTACTTGCTGGATAAATACTTTTCTCCTGTCACAGTATTAGGGCTCAGAAAATGATACCCCAAAATATGGTGCCCTGGCATCCTGAGCACTTTGAACCAAAGGACACTGGAAGGCCTCAGAAGTCAAGTCTGTCTCAGATCTTCTCCTGACCTTCTTTCTCCTGCTCCCCCTCCTCCCTGCAAGGCAAACCACAGAAACTAAAATTCCTCTTCATTAAGGCAAGTCACAGAAACTAGATCCCCTTTTCCCCCAAAGCCCGCCATGAAACCTAGAAATATTACTTTAACATTCCCTTGCCTTTCTATGTAAGAGCTGGCTATAAGGAAATTCTTAGGCCTACTTTATCTGAAAGTAGATCGTAAGACCCTTAATTCCAGAAGGGGTCCAGTCCTATACCTGACAGGAAGAAATGCCACACAGAGAGATCAAGAAGAATCAGGATGGGCCCTTGCTAGGTGGGTTTTCCCCTTTGGTCTGTGACTATAAGATCAACCCCCTTTTGTCCAATTACAATTCTACCTGGCTACCCACTCCTTCATCAAATCTAAGCATAAAAAGGGACAGTTTTCCCTTGGGTCTTTGGGTATCTCTGAAGGCTCCCATGCCATATAAAATTTTGATGCATTCTTCAGTATGACAATTGCATTTTTCAACTCCAGAATTTCTGCTTGATTCTTTTTAATTATTTCCATTTCTTCATTAAATATATCTGATAGGATTCTGAATTCCTTCTGTGTTCTCTTGAATTTTGAGTTTCCTCAACACAGCTATTTTGAATTCTCTGTCTGAAAGGTCACATATCTCTGTCTCTCCAGGACTGGCCCCTGGTGCTGTATTTAGTCCATTTGGTGAGGTAACGTGATCCTGGATGGTCTTTATGCTTGTAGATGTCAGTCAGTGTCTGGGCATTGAAGAGTTAGGTATTGATTGTAGTCTTCACAATCTGGGCTTGTCTGTACCCACCCTTCTTGGGCAGGCTTTCCAAATATTTGAAGGGACTTGGGTATTGTGATCTAAGTCTTTGGTCACTGCAGCTGTATCTGAACAAGCCAGCTGACACTGTGCTCCCCTTGGCTGATCTTGGATAAGATCTAGAAGAATTCTCTGGATTACCAGGCAAAGACTCTTGTTCTCTTCCTTTACTTTGTCCCAAACAAATGGAGTCTCTTTCTCTCTCTGCTGAGCTGCCTAGAGCTGGAGGAAGGGTGAAACAAACATCCCTGTGACCACCACCATTGAGACTGTATTGGGGCAGACCTGAAGCCAGCACAGCACTGGGTATTGCCCAAGGCCTGCTGCAAGTACTACCTGGTTACCGCCTGTATTTGCTGAAGACCTAGGGCTCTAAAATCAGCAGGTTGTGAAGCCAGCCAGGCTTGTGTCCTTCCCTCAAAGGTGGCAAGTTCCCCCTGGTGAGTCCAGAGATGCTGTGAGCCAATGCCTGGAGTCAGAAACCTTACGAATCTACCTGATGCTCTGTTCTGCTGCAGCTGGGCTGGCACCCAAGCCACAAGACAAAGTCATTCCAACTCTTCCCTCTCCTGTCCCCAGGCAGAGGAGTCTCTCTCCATGTCCACCACCACCACGGGCCCATAGTGGCTACTGCCAGCCTATAGTGATGTTCACTTAACGCCCAAGGGCTCTTCAGTCAGCTTATGGTGAATGCTGCCAGGCCTGGGACTCACCCTTAGGGCAGTGGGGTCCCCTCTGGCCCAGGGCAGGTCCATAGATGCTGTCCAAGAGCCAATGTCTGGAACTGAGGACCCTAAGTGCCTGCTTGGTGCTCTACCCCACTATGGCCAACCTGGTACCGTTTTCTCAAGCATAAGGGGCCTCTCCTCAAAGCCACCACAGCAGTGACTGTGCTAGGTCATGTCACGTCTCAGAGTCTCACCCAGGGCCTTAAGTCAGCAGGTGATGAATCCTGCCAGTACTGGGTCCTTCCCTTCAAGGCAGCGGGTTCCTTTGTGCCCAGGCTGTGTCTGAAAATGTTGTCTGGGAGCTAGGGCCTAGAATAGGCACCTCATGACATTGCCCAGTGCTCTATCCTACTGTGTCTGAGCTGGTATCCAAGACAAAGTCCTCTTTACTGTTCCCTCTCCTCTCCAAGTGGAAGAAAGGAGTCTCTCCTGGAGCTACGAACTACACTGCCTGGGGTTGGGAGATTGGTGGCACAAGCATTCCCTTAGTTGCCCCGGCTGGTGTATCACTAAGCTGTGTGCACCCCAAGTCCACTGGCTCTGAGCCCAGCACAGCATCAGAACTGGCCCAGGAGTTGCAGTCCTTGTGGTCTAGACAGCCTTTCAAGTTTATTTATTTAGGACCCCAGAGCACTTTAGTCCGTGGTGGCAAGGCTTTCTGTAACTCAAGTTCCAGCTGCTGGGATGGGCGCTTCCTTCTGGCTAGGGCTGGAGTAAGTGCTCCGTGGGCACCAGCTGAGCTCTGCCTGGTGTTGGCAGCACTGCATTCCAATGCAAAGTTTCTCCCCAAGTGCACAGATTCCCTTTCTGCACCACACGTCCAGGGGATTGGGGAGGGGTGGCGCTGGCAATTCAAGACTGTCTCGCCTACCCTCCCACCCTCTATGAAGTTAAAAGCAGGTTCTGTGATCGTTCACCTGATTTTTGATTTTTATGAAGTTATTTTTTTGTGTGTGTGGATAGTTTTCAAATTTGGGGTTCCTGCAGAGAGGACGATCGGTGGAGGCTTCCATTCAGCCATCTTGCTCTGCCTCCTCTTCACGTAAAATTTTGATTAAATCATTTGTTACGCTTTTCTCTTGTTAACCTGTATTTTGTTACAGGTGTGTCAGCTATTACCCTTAAGAGGGGTGAGAAAAGGTATCACAACCTTTCTGCCCCTACAACACAAGACAGAGAAGACCCTGAGGTCCAATTTATTCTGGAAATTATCTGTATTATATAATTCAGGTTAGCAAACTGAGTAAGAGTCCAGGCTCCTAGTTCAAATCCTGCTTCTGTGTCTAGTAGCTGTGACACTTGGCCAGCAGTTTACTTAACGTGTCAGCTCTCTCATCTGTAAAACGGGGACAATAAAGTACCACACCTCAGTATTTTTCATGAAAGCTGCTATCTGCTAGCGGATTCTGAATTGTCTAGTGGATCAAAACCAACATTTAAAAAAACAGAAAAGAAAACAGAGTATATTGCACTGTTAATATTAATCCATGAAAATTCTCTGTAATATATAAAGATGTTTCTTACTAGATCATGATGTAAAATGCATTAGCATGGGTTGCAGATCAAAGAAAAATCTGAAAAAACAGCTATTTCATAAGCTTCCTGTGAAGATTAAACAAATCAATACACATACAACACTTAACCCAGTCACCCACACGATAAATGTTAGCTTTTCACTCCTTCTAATCATTCTCGGAAAAGGTGGGCCAAGTAAGACAACTTGGTGTACTAGAAGATTATTAGTTCTAATTAGTTAATTATGAGAAGAACTTATAACTTGTAAAAGAGACATAACAAGAGAAGGCAAAAAATCAAAGAGAACATTCCTTTTTTCCTGCTGAATGACACTTTTTATGGCATGCAAATGAGACAGTTTATATTACAGTGTTGGCTTAGTGCTATCCAGCGTTTCCTCATCAAAAGTATTTTAAGATTTTTATGTAAAAGTGCTGTGGCACATCATTGTTAATCATATACTCTAGATAACAATTCAGTACAACTTTCAAATGCAAGAGGACTAACCTTAACCTGAAAACAACTGCCATTTTCATGACAAAAGGGTGGATTCAGTCAACATCAGTGTATCTGAATGTTGGCCTGGCTCACTATCTGAATGGCAGGGCCTTCTGATGCAATGCATGCAATGCTCGAGTGCTAGTATACATCTGAGCCACCTGGGGAGCTTGTTTAAAAAGAAAGCTTCATGAAGGTGGTGGTGCAAGCATGTTGTCCAGTAACTTGGTGGCCTGAGGCAGGAGGATAGCTCAAGCCCAGAGGATCGCTTGAGCCTAGGAGCTTGAGTCCAGCCTAAACAACATAGTGAGACCTCATCTCTTTAAAAAGAAAAAGACAAGACAGCAACATGGGCTCTCCCCTAGTTGATTCACTACCTTTGGAATACGGCCTAGCATCTACATGATAATGAAAAGAACTTTTGCATGAGTTCAGTGCTAGCTGTGCCTCCAGTTAACTCTGTGTACTGGATAAAGAAATTCTCCAATTGGTACCTCAGTTATCAAATGCCAAGACTTTTAGTTAAATTATTCACAGGCTCAGTTTCAGTTTCAAAAGTGCTATATCTAAATGTTCCTTAATATTTTTAGGAGCTTTTCTTTTACAATACTTTTATAATTAGAAAAAAGTTAATGCATATAGGTTGCAAAGACTTTGGCAGTTTTGTGCATTAAGAAGAAAATTAAAATTAACACTAGTCCCATCACCAGATTACTGTTAACATTTTATATCTGGTTAACGCCCAGCTTAAACACAACTGTGCTTTTGTCCCAACCCTCCTATCTAAGGAGGTATCTTCAACTAGCATCCATTTATACCTGCAGAGATTAACAACAAGAAAAGAGAATCAATCTAAAGATTTTAAAATGCTGCTTGCTGCTGTTCCTGGCATGTGCCAATCAAGTTCAAGATTAATGTTTAACTTTCTCTGAAAAAAAATTTTTGCTACTTGTGACAGTTTACTAGAAAACACTGTAGTGATTATTTGATGAAAGAATTTAGATTTGACCAAATAAGGCCCTGAAGCTCTTAAATCAAATCCATTCACTCAACGAATATTTACTGAACACTTACTAAGTGCCTGCACCATGCTAGGGACCTAGGATGGAAACTGAAGGGACATAGGCAGAGTAGTTGCCCTTAAGAGACTTACACTCATGGAATAAATAAGATTATTTCAGACAGTGGTAACTACTATAAAAATAAGTTACCATGATTTTCTCTAAATAACTAGCACAAAGGTTTTTGGGGGTGGTAGACATAAATTCTTTAATCAGTGGTCGACATCACCTTTATGAAAATGGGTCATCTCAACTGAGACTTAAATGCCAACAAAAGCCAGCCATGGAAAAGGCTCAAAGGGAGGACATCCCAGACATCCTATATGAAAAGAACCAGATAATATCAATATTTACCAAAAAAAATCCAAGCATACTCCTACTTATATATATGGATGGATTTATTTTCCCCCCCTCATTCAAATATTCATTGAGCATCTACTATATGCCAGGTACTATATGAGCTGCTGGGAACAGATCTGTTAATATGACAGATTGGGTAGGTTTCTGCCCTCATGGAGCTCACACTCTGAGGGAGAAGAAGAACAAACAAAAGTCTTCAAGGATTTAACAACATAACCACATAATGTGGTAAGTCGAGAAAGAAGGTGCAGAAGTCAAGCACTCAGAAGCAGCTCCAGTTTCTTCAAAGGAAAAAGTTTTGAGGTTGGCTTATTTATTCTGCCGAAAAATGTGATCACGGTTCCAAACAGGCAGCACCCTCAGACTTTGTCCAGGAAATAGGGCTACAGCAAATGATCAGGGCAGGACCCTAGAACAGATCTATGCCCTGCCAAGCATTTTCATTTGCAAGGAGACATCTAGGGAAAGGATGCTGCAGAGAACTCCTAACTCTTCTCTGTCTTCAGCAGCCATTCAAATACATGTGGAAACAATCCCATCAAAATAAAAAATGTAGCAGTGGGATCAGACCCCTTATTTCCTCTCCAGGCTCATTCTGCACCACTCTCCCATCCCCACGATACATCTTTGCACTAGCCCTAGCCCTTCCCGTACCTAAGATGCTCTTTGTTGTGATCTTCACATAGTTGGTCCCTACTGCCATTCAAGTCTCAGCTGAAATGTCATCTTCTCAGAGAGGCCTTCCATAAGTTTTCTTTTCCTCAGTGGTAAGTGGTTGCCTACATTTTATTGTCTATTATCTGTCTCTCCTTTATTGAATATAAAATCTGTGAGATCAGGGATAATATCCATTTGACCACTGATCTATTCTCATATCCTAGAAAAAAATGTCCGCCACATGAGGTGCTCAAGAAACGCTGCTGGATGAAGAATGAGCAAACAGTATGTGCAGGATGACAGTGATACCCATCTCTTCAAGTGTGACAGAAATGAAGCATTAGAGAAACACATTTCTGGACAGAATTCAAATACTGAATTTGTTAAAAGTTTCCTGTGGCCAACACAGTATATACGGCATTTAGATTTTCTTTTTTCCCCTGTCTTCATTAAAAACAATTTTTTGGATGGCATAAGTGATAGTATGGCTCTGAATCTGAGCACTTTTTATATATGTTTGACGCAGGGGGTATTACATCCACAACACAATAATGATCTTTGTTTACTGTAATATGACACTACTTATCTTCAAGTTTTAGCTTGAAACACTGGCAAAAATACAAGGTTCCTCGAAGTTTAGCAATTGTATTTCTCAACACACAAACACAGGAGCATTTAAAAGGTAAATGAGTATAGCTGTAATTATTGTCTAGCAGGAAAATTTCATTTAAAATAAACCAAAAATGTTAATAGGAAAATCAAATTATAAGGAATACATTATAGTTCCCAAATCACAAAATGATTTTAGGACTTTAAAGGGTCCTCAAAAGCCAAACAGGTACTTTAAAGTTTTAATAAAATTCCTATAAAGGCCCTTTAATAAAAAGCCAATGTTCTTACCACCTTGATTTCAAAACATCTTAAATTTTTTCCTTTTTAAAAAATTTGTATAATTAAAAAAAATTTATACAAAGGTTTTAAAAATTTATAAGGGGTACAAGTGCAGTTTTGTTACGTGGATATGTTGTATGCTAAAACACCTTAAATTTTAATTTATCTAAGGTATAAATGCTAGCCACCTTGGTAACCAACTCACTCTGCGCATTTATATGTCAAATTATTCTAGTGTACTGTGTCTTTTATTTATAGTTTGGGCTCTAAGAAAGAGGTGTCTACAAAAGACTTACGGAGGGCATAAAAATGTGGTCCTTTATTATTTCATTTAAGTAAAAGTTATTTAGTCTGGCTTCACAAAGGATTTTAATTCAAGTTACACTAAACTTATAGATTAATTTGCAGAATTTGATGTATCGCTCCATTTATTTAGGTCTTCTTTTAATATAAGTTATTACAATTTCTCAATACCAGTATCACATATTTTTTCTTAGATTTATTCCTTTATCCCTTACAGTTTTTATTGCTATCTTCATTACTTTCTAATTTTTCTTTAACAGGTATGTAAGAATGCAAATTTAGAAAGGAAAAAGCTAAGGCAAAAGACCAAGTAAATTTGTGGAAATGAAAAAGATAAATATCCATGCCAGGAAAATACCAAACATCTGAAATAGGAGAAATATAAAGAAATAAGAAACTGAGCCACACTACAGATTATCAAGCTCACATATATAAAGACAAGGCAAAGCAAGGCTAAGGCCAAGGCCAAGATTCGATGGTTAAGATACAACCAGGCACTTTTAGATTTGGATAGTTTATTACTTACATAGACAGTGAAAAGAAGAATAAGCCAAAGGTGCCAGCTCCCAGTGATCTTTGCCCCATACATCAAAAAGGACAACACCAACACAAAAGGGGCCAGATGCCTACAAGGCAAGTTGTGGGATATCCCGTTGCTGGGGAGTCAGTTCTAGACTGCAGCTACATGCTTTTATATACTGCAGCTCTAGTCTGAGGCGGGTAGGGCAGAAAGTCCCATACCTCATCAGAACTCTGGAGTGGATGAGAAACTATCATGACAGCCTCCCGGGGAAGTTAGGGAAGTGTTCCAAGAGGATCAAGTTGTACTGCCAGGGCTCAGATAAGATGCAGCTTAAGCCTTTGCCTGTATGGAATTGTGCAAGGTCAATGGGGTGTCACAGCCTTTTCCCTGACACAAAGAATAAATAAAAACAGTACCCTCCTTTGCTCTTGCTCCTCTCTACAAAGCACTCTATCAGTTCAGTTGGTGAAGGGTTCACGTACAAACGGGATGCCATCCTTCATTATTCAATGGTCCCACACTGTAATAAAGAACCTGACTTGTTTCTTGATGTTCAACTCCTGATAGCTTTTAAGCTTTACCCTCCTCTCCCTCTTCCCTTTCTGCTCCACACCTGGGCAAACTGATGAGGAAAGCCCAGGTGCTCACTCCTTTGGTACCAGTGAGAATTTCAAACCATATGCAGGAACCCTCACCCCAGCCTTATCTCGCAACCATCATAAAATCCCCAGTGTAATCCCCTGTCCCATTCTCTGAAGACATTCTCCAACCAGCTTGAGAAGCCCCCACCCTGTTGTCTCCCCAGAACAGCCTCATTATGTGAGTAATAAACCTTTTCATATCCTCTTGGTGTGTGCATGTAGAGTCATCAATCTTGACATCTACACCAAATTTTGGATGGTTATACATCCTGTATCTGCAGAGTGACCAAAACACATGTCTTATTTGAACACTATGATAATGTAGATTCTTACCCTGAAAGTTCATTTCAAAGCATTTAAATAAAAATGTTTAAAAGTATATATTGTAAGTTCTCCTTATACTGACTTTCTTTATTTTACCACTTTTAAGAACAGAGGAAATGCAGTTGCAGACAGAATGGAAAAAGTATTTTTCTTATCAATGATGTGAACACCTTGACGAGGAAGAGTTTAAAGCTGAATTCAGGTCAATAGACAAGGCTTGATGACACTGGTCTCAATCCCAGCCCTCTGAACCTTACTCTACTCATGTACTCAAGACTTCCAAACTTTAGCTTCTGGCTGGGCACGGTGGCTCACACCTGTAATCCCAGCACTTTGGGAGGCTGAGGTGGGTGAATCACCTGAGGTCAGGAGTTTGAGACCAGCCTGGCCAACATGGCAAAACTCCGTTTCTACTGAAAATACAAAAATTAGCTGGGTGTGGTGGTGTGCGCCTGTGATTTCAGCTACTTGGGAGGCTGAGG
Organism: Homo sapiens; assembly: GCF_000001405.40. Classification (NCBI taxonomy): domain Eukaryota; kingdom Metazoa; phylum Chordata; class Mammalia; order Primates; family Hominidae; genus Homo; species Homo sapiens. The sequence continues at coordinate 158,840,508 of NC_000004.12, read as the reverse complement.
CAGGAGAATAGCTTGAACCTGGGAGACGGAGGTTGCAGTGAGCTGAGATTGCGCCACTGCACTCCAGCCTGGGTGACAAAGCGAAACCTTGTCTCAAAAAAAAAACAACAACAAAAAAACAAATTTTAGCTTCTACTCCAACCCATCTCACTAGAGCCAGTTTCCTATTTCTAAATTACAGCTGACTATGCACAACTGGAGAACATGTAGACATTTCTAGGTAAAAATGTATCCCAATCTCTGTAGCTAGAAAATTATCTCAGTATCTGTCTCCCTGACCTGGCCTCCTGCTTTCCCTGTACTGGATAATGCTCACCTTCCACTCGCTTTCTCAGGTTAGAAACTGGAGATGCATCCTTGGTTCCTCCTTCCTCCTCCATAACCTGTGTCCCATTAATCACTGAACTTTGCTGATGCAACCTCCTAGTATGGCTGACACCCAACCCTCTTCTCTCCCAAGACCCTACTTGAAAATTTCTAATGGGAACCACTAGAATAACCCCTTAAAAAGCTATCTTTTGGATCTGTATATGTAAAGAAGACATATTCAAAATATCCAAAAGAGAATACAATGAGGATGCATTTCCCTCCATACCTGCCCCAGCTTGTGCTGCTTTTTCCAAAGACATTCTATAAGTGGAGAAATGGCTGATTCTAGGACAGGGATAGGAAATACATAAGATGACTCTGGAGCATCTTGTCTTGCCAGAAAGTAAGGAAGTGCTCAAAATACTCACCCCAACCCCTCACAGATAGAGGTATGTTAAAGGAGCATGGGAGCCTACTGAGAGAGCTCCCAATGGTCAAAACCGAAACAATTTGAGCAACAAATAAATGAAGTTGTGGGGTGCTGTGGCTCATGCCTGTAACCCCACTATTTTGGGAGTGTGAGGTGGGAAAATTGCTTGAGCCCAGGAGTTTGAGACCAGCCGGGGCAACATAGTGGGGCCTTGTTTCTACATAAAAGAAAAAAAAAAATTCTGGGTGTGGTGGTGCATGACTGTAGTCCCAGCTACTCAGGGCGCTGAGGAGGGAGGATCCCTTGTGCCCAGGAGTTCGAGGCTGCAGTGATGCAGTGAGCTATGATCACACAAGAGCACTCCAGCTTAGGGACAAGCAAGACCGTCTCCAAAAAATAAATAAATAAATAATAGAAATGAAGTAGTATTGGGTTTTAGCCAAAAGTGAAAAATAAATATCTTTGAGTCCATAGTAGAATAATGACTAAACAAATAAATGGGAGAAGAGATATATCTCCACACAGGAGAAGTCCAAATAATTTATGTAGGTACTCTGTCCTCAAGGAGGGGCAGCATAATTCCCCACCCCTTAGGTATGGGGTAAGCATCCTGACTTCTCTCCAAAGTACACAGCCTGGACAGGAGGAAATAAAGAGTAACTTTACAGTGGAGAAACTGACAAACACTTCCTCAGCCAGGTAATCAAGGCCAATATTAACAGTCATAAATAATGTTGGTGATATATACCCTTATAGGATGTGACGAAAATGGCACTTTACTTCTATGATCTTCCTTCCCCAAACCCACAACCTCAGTGTAATCATGAGAAAAACATTAAATTCTAATAATGGGGCAATCTACAAAATACCTAACCAGTACTCCTCAAGATTACGAAAAACAAAGAAAATCTGAGAAACCACCACAGCTAAGAGAAGCCTGAAGAACATGACAACTAAGTGTAATGTCCCAGAACCAGAAAAGGCTATTAGATGAAAAACTAAGGAAATAAAAAAAACTGTGGACTTTAGCTAATAGTAATGTATCAGCATTGGTTCATTAATTGTAACAAATATACCATACTAATATAAGATGTTAATAATAGGGTAAACTGAGGGCAGGTTATATGGGAACTCTTGTACTACCTTCTCAATTTTTCTGTAAGTCTAAAACTTCTAGAAAATAAAACTATTTTTAAAAATTTCCCCATTTATCAACTATTTGGACAGGAAGTTAAAAATTGCAGGCCTAGGCTAGGCGTGGTGGCTCACACCTATAATCTCAGCACTTTGGGAGGCTAAGGTGGGTGGACTGCTTGAGCTCAGGAATTCCAGACCAGCCTGAGCAACATGGCGAAACTCCATCTCTACCAAAAATATAAAAATTAGCCAGGTGTGGTGGTATGTACCTGTAGTCCTAGCTACTTGTGAGGCTGAGGTGGGAGGATGGCTTAAGCTTGGGAGGCAGAGGTTACAGTGAGCCAAGACTGTGCCATTGCACACCAGCCTGGGCAACAGAGCCAGAAAAAAAAAAAAAAAAAAAGCAGGCCTAAAAGAGAATAAATAATATCTTTATGTCTTTAATTTCTCTACATCTTCTACTGCTAACTTAACTCTCACACTTGGAGCTCCTGCTCTGTTTCAGAACTTGGGCCTTCATCCCTACACAATTTTAGATGGGTATAAGGAGATGAAATCTTAGCGAACAAATTACAGTGTGAACATAAAGAGTTCTTACATTAAAAGAGTGCTAAATGCCACCACAGGTGTGAAGCTCACACTAGTCTTGACGTGGACTCTGTGACTTCTGAACCACTCCTAGGTATGATATCTGAAGGTAAACACATCTACCAGGATAGCAGGGAGAGCAAAATGCCACTCAGGGCCATTTGCAGCCCCCTCCACCATCTGTGCTCCCTTCCTCCCAACAGGAGAACCAGAGACTGGAAGTAAAGACTGCCCAGAATAGAAGTCAAACTACCAAGGAAAGCCAGCCTTCTCCAGCTTTCAAAATTCACACTGGTATCAACACCTATCCCCCATTTCCTCCAATCTGGTCAGTCCCTAGTTCCTCTCATGGACTGCAAAAAAGCATTCTGATCTGGCTGAATCTTTACTTTTAATCTGACTTTCTACTTTAATTTGAACTTGGCTTCCCAACTTTCCTGTTTCTCAAAGAGCAAGGAAAAGTAGTTTCAGGAGCAATTTAGAATCTGAATACAAAACAAGTAAGATTTCAACCTGTACAACATGAACCATTTATATGAACTATATTATAAACTGAAAAGTTACCTAGGAAAATCCAAACTTTTCCTAATAATGTTTCTTTGTTAGGTCCCTCAAATTCCCTGAATCTTTTCTCCACAACAAAAAGGGGCATAAACAAATAAATAAGGTTACAGCTGTGCAGAAACTGTGATGTCAGTGTTCAGAACGGGCCCCAGTAGAATGTTGCTCATCTTTCTTTCTTTCACAGAGAGCTAAAGAGCTCCCACCACACAGAGGCAAATATGTTAAATTCTGTCACCCACTAAGACAGCCATTTTGACTAAGAGTGATCTTGGTTCTAGGGGCTGTGCTTCCCACTCTGCGACTTCTGGTAAGGCCCACATACATCTTCTTGCCAGGAAAGTCAACCATAACAAAGCCCTAGTGCCAGTCCTGTCAGGGGCTGGGTCGCAGGTGGTTACAAAGGCAGGGAGCCGAGCTTTGGGACACTAAGCTCTGTAAACACATGCTTATTGTCCTTGAGTAACTGATGGAACTCAGTTATCTGACAGTGTCCCACAAAGACTGGAGGAGTTATCTTCAGCACCATTAAACAGAAACAAAAGCAAAACAGTTTACTTAGTGCTTCATAAGTTTCCCTTTATCTTCTCAGACTTTATGTTATGGCTGTAAGTGAAAATGATACAGGTCTGATCAATGAGTCTCTTTTTTTTTTTTTTTTTTTTTTTTTTTGAGACGGAGTCTCTGTTGTCCAGCCTGGAGTATAGTGGCGCAATCTCGGCTCCCTGCAACCTCCGCCTCCCAGGTACAAATGATTCTCGTGCCTCAGCCTCCTGAGTAGCTAGGACTATAGGTATGCGCCACCACGCCTGGCTAATTTCTTTCTTTTTTTTTTTTTTGTATTTTTAGTAGAGATGGAGTTTCGCCATGTTGGTCAGGCTGGTCTCAAACTGACCTCAAGTGATCTGCTCGCTTTGGCTTCCCAAAGTGCTGGGATTACAGGGGTGAGCCACTGTGCTCGGCCTGATCAATGAGAGTTTCTGACCAAAGGTTCCCAGCTCAACTTTACAGAAAAGATTATGAACACCAAAACACATCGATTTTAACCATAAATAAAATGCTATTACTTTACATTATGTGACATATGTAAACCAAACTGGAGACTCAGTAACAAATCACATTTCATTTATTAACACAAGAGCAGAGTTGCACAGAGTGGGTTAAAAGGCTCTGAGGCTACACAGGAGCACAAGGACCTTGGAGTAGTGTGGACAGAGAAATGAGTGAAAGGCCAAGAAGAACATCATGTGAGGCCTGCATCCAGTCTGAGCAACGCCTGGCTGGCCCATTTGTTGAAGGTGTCATGTATCACAGGAGAAACCAGCAGGGTGCTCCTAGTCTCACTGGAAGGTAGGGGCTGCCTGTACCATATGTATTCATCAAGCAGAGCACCACACACCACCTCCAGTCCTTGAATTTCAGTTCACTCATTCACCACCCTTCTCTTATAATACAAAATCTCAGATCTGAACCACAAGTCAAAACTCAAAAGAGGTCACATACAAAAGGTGAAACCAACAGATCCTAAAAGCAGTAACAGAAAGGTTTAGGCCTTGAGGCAAGGAGAGAAGGGTACCTGATAAAATCTAGATCAGCATGTCTCTAGAACAGAAGAAACGGTGACCAGGTCAGCTGGCTGGTCCTCCCACTGTCACAGGACAGATTTACTTCCACAAACCCTTCTCTTCCTCTGAGTCTATACTCAACAGTCAAGCAAGCACATTACTAGTACAATGGGCTCAAGGAAGCTTCATTCTGGAAAGAAATTTCTTAACAAACATTAGTCTCATATAAATTTGAGTGTTAGAAAAAACTAGTTTATGTTGCACAATCACTCATGGATACTGTACATTAAAGTTTCAGATCTTTAGATATGTCAGACTATCTTAGGAAGGAAAAAACAAAGAACAGGATGAGGGTTATCTACCTGTCTTCTACTTTCCCACCTTCCACACCACTGTAGATAGTTCACTCTGTTAGTTAAACCAATAAACAGAGTACAAGTACCTGATCGAGCAATGCCACTGTCCCTGTCTTCATTCTGTCCTCTGCTTGGCATATCAACTGGTGTGCTGTGTGCTAAGATAAAGGAACAAGAAAACCATGTTATTGGGCTCTTCAGAGATAAAGTTTTTAAAATGACTGCAGTAATTTTTAAATTTCAAAGTAGGCTACTGCTACTGATGATTGGCATAAGCTTTTAATAGAGATTAACTAGAAGGCAAAATTAAATATATAAAAAGATGATGAGAAGAAAAGAGAACCAAGTAACCATCTCATAAAAATCTGCCTGTATTCAATTGTAAGCATACAAACTTTTCTGAGTGATGTTCAACTCTTAAAAAAAAAACTCTGAATAATAAATGATTCGTGCAGTTGATGCAATGAATAAACATTCTCAGGTAATTTTTTTTAGCCATTTTCCTCATTAGTAGTAGTATTTAAATAGCAATGTATTTCAAAATGCTTTATAATCAGTTTTGGTAGTAACTGTAGGCGACTTAGGGAAGAGAAATACTTGAAAACCATTTCATAAATTCAAAAAATGTTTCTCTGTTTATAACCCACTCTCTTGGCAGATAGAAAACATTTATACTCATTTTCAAATATTTCTTCCTCCATTTCTTTCCATATACACCCATACACAGTATTATTGTAGAGTTACTTAGAAAAACTCATGTTCTGGCATGAACTGTGGAAAACACTCTGAAGTATTACAGACTTCTAGGAATGCTTCAGATTGACCTAAGCTGTATACTTATTGTGCTAGAAGGTAGATATGCTGCTGCTGTAGTGAAGTTTTAAATGGACAAGCAGCCCAGTGCTCTGCCTGATTATTATACTTGACAGCTATTTTTTTGAAGCATGTTTATTTTCACAATTTTAAAGAGAGTATTTAAATGCATTTTCCTCACTCTAAGTAGGTAGGAGCGTGTCAATTTTATCAGGGTGTCAGTTAACTATGGTGCTTAGCATATTTCAGGCTACAAAGAACAGAAAGGAAAATACCATTTGCTATACTCACAACTTTAAATGTTAGTAATGGAGGTTCCTCACATGTTTAATCATGCTAAGACAAGTTAAATCTCAGAGACACCAAGATGACTATACCTGTAAATAACCTAGAAATTGTATTTACACTACTTAGAGAGGGAGAGAGAGAGAGAGAGAGAGAGAGAGAGAGAGAGAGAGAGAAGTCTTCCATGCTCTTATTAGAGTGACTTTTAATGAAACTCCGTGCAGGTAAGGATGCAGTTGAATAAATGGATAAAAGACACCAAGGCAAAGGGAAACAGTTCATAGTAGCAGAAGAGGCCCAGAAAAATCAGAAAAAAACAATCCTCTTGGAAATACTAAGGGCTCATTTCAGATCAAAATCAGCTTACACTAGAGTATTAGCGAAGACATTTACAAGAGAGGTTCATTGGCAGAATTTTCGAAACACCATGGATTTGGCCGCATTTGAAACCAATATCTGTGATCACAAGAGCCCCTTGGATTTCTAGAGAGGCACAAGTAGGATTTTTCCTAAGAACCTGCACAGGATTTATTAATATGTGTGGGTCACACTGTACTCAGCATTCCACACAAACCTGCAAAGAAAGAAGCACTCCGGGTGAGCCGGAGAGGTCCTCCTTCAGCTACCCCCTGCAGCAGTTTGCTGCTGCATGCTTGCAGCAGACCTAGAGATGGAAACACATAGAAGAGGGCAAACAAAGTACACATACAAAAAAAATAAACACAGATTAAAGATAACGCAAAAAAAAAAACCCACGACAAACTCAAATAAAGCAAAACACACACCCACAATAGTGTATTCAGAAAGAAAGAATTTGTTTGTATCTCTGATTTTACCTAGGTTACTTCCAGTACGACAAGGACCCAAACTATTTTGATTTGTGTTCAGTTTTCCCAAATTAGGATCTTGGTTGATGTACTCAAAGCTGTCTTGCAAGCTATATCCGGAGATGGGGGGGAAAAGGAGAAAGAGGACAAAAACGTCAAGAAGCTACTAAAGCTGTTTTCTAATAGACTTCCAAATATAGACAACGACTGATCAGTCACTCAATACTTTTCTTTATAAACAAAGTCTCACATCTACCAAAGGGAATTAAACTTGCAACTTCAGGTGAATTTGTTGGAAGAAAACAAAAGCTATTTTGGAGGTAGCTCAACCCGTGTAACTAAACAACTGTACTTCTAACAATTTCATATAATATAATGAGACACCAAACTCTAAATTTTGCTTCAGTGACTGACACCCGAGATACTGTTATTCATTTCTACATTTTGCTTTAGCAACTGACAGCCAACTTGTTGACATTCATTTTAAGTATTTTACATAAACTCTCAAAATGAAATTAATTTTTACTCTTGGTTAACATCAATGAGCAATTCAGCAACTTTTTTCAGGAATAAAATGCAACAGAAATTATAATTCTTACAGGAGTTTCATTTCACAACTTCTAAAAAGAATTACTCATAAAAATGTGAGGGAAGCAGATTTTAATAATTTATTGTATTTATTAACAATTAAAGACTTTTGCTGTGTGTAGAGCTGACAAAAACGACGACAGAAAGACTTTGAGAATAATACAGCATAATGAAGGCAAAATAATTTTTACTTAAATCTGCACGTAAGGGAATTAATGCAATAAACGTTCAGGTAATCCCAAGGGTCTGTTAAAAACAAATCTCGCAAGAAATAAATAAAAATTCTCATATTGGCTTAAGTCATGACATTCCAATGTTAAATGTTCAAACTGTTTTGTTGAAGAGTAAGCCAAGACTCACTTAATGGTATTCAAATATATAGAGAAATATTTTTAATTTCCCAGGATAAGAAAAAACAGCTTTTACTTGACCCCTAAGAATGTCCTTTAATTTATAACAAGCGCTTCTTTCAAACTTATCAAAGTACAACTGGTGTTTTGTTGTTTTATTTAAAAAATGAAGTATATGAAATATTTCTGCTTGAAAGTTCAAAATACATGAATGAATATGCCAAAATGAGTTTAAGTTCTCAGATATTTCAGAATAATGTAGCCCCTTCCCTTTTGTTCTTTATTTTTGATTTCCCAGGAAATTAAAAATTGGTGACTGGGTAACAGATGGAGACTCAAAACATATAAAGACAGCCATTTGTCTTTAGGGCCACCTAATAAAGTCAAAGGTCTTTTCCCACTCACTGTTTATAGGACAGTAGCCACTTTTAAAGCCCCTTTGTTAATTTGGACTCATTCTGCTTGTCATTTCAAAATGCCTTATGGCCCTTAAAGAATTAGTCTATCTAGAAATACACACTTTAAAAAATGGGGGTGGGGAATGCAAAATCCTACACTTACTTATTTGTACTTCCACAGAAGCTGCCCATTCTAGCAGAGAAGACTTTACTAATCATCAGTTGTGGAGGAGAACTGTGGAGGGGAAAAAAGGAGAGGGGAAAAATAAATTTATGAGTTAAGGAGTCAATACCACCGTTCCACTTCTCAAAACTAGTAGAAAAGGAAGCCCAGACTCACCGTATGTAGTGTATCTTTAAGGTGGAGCCTTTGTAACTCATGGCAACTGAGCCAAACATCATTTCCCCTAACATGTTGACATCGGAAGCTGGTCTTGTGTACTACATGCAAGAAAACAAAATCAAAGTTAGTACATGGAACATGACATGCAATGCAACAGAAAATAATGTTTATTAATCTCGTTAGTGTCATCGGTGATTAAAACTATTTCTCAAAGCTTCAAGTGGTCATCTTACAATCTTAACTTATAATGGCGATTGCCTATTTTCCCCCCCAAAGTATTACTAATGTTTGTGATTTCTTCTCTGTACACAACATCATCACCTAGGATCCAAGTGTTTTATTAGAGTTCATTTTTATTTGTGTTATGAGAAACAAAGATTACTATTATCTCCATTTATAAACTCTAAATACAAAGATTAAATTATGAAAATAACTGTAACTCTTCTCTTGGTACTAAGAAAACATCCTGAAAAAAATATGGTTCGGTATTATTCAGCCAAATAATTAACAATGTGGAATAAAAAATGCCCATTGCTGCAGATAGGGTTTTATGAGGGCCCAAAAGATAACAGATGGTCTGATAACTCTGAAGTTTTACAAAAGTATTTCAACAACATTTGACCCCTCTAGCTTCTGACCAGTCTTTCTCATGCCTTTACCAACCAAAGAGTGGACTGCCTGCCTCCTCTTCCTCTACTCTCACTGGCTTGTTAATCTACCACAGCCTGACTTTACCTCTTAGCTCAAACTAGTTCAACTGCTCCAATGATGACCTCCTCCCTCTTGGTCAAATCCAATGGACCCTTTCCAGTTTGCTTTATTAAACTTCTCTCAATATATTTGATGCTGTTCATGACTCTCCATTTTGACTCTCTTCTTTCTCAGATCATCCCTTACTGTGGTTTTGCCTGGAGGTCAACCCTACTAACTGCCCGCCTTTTCAACTATTCTTTTGATTTTGATTATTATTTACATAGAATACCTCCTACATCTTTGTCTCTAGACCAAGAGCTCTCCTGGAGCTCTAGAATCGTATACCCCAATACATTCATTCACCTAGTGACATCTGAATGAGTGTCTTGGGATGCAGAATTCTGAGCACCCGTGCTAAGTGCTAGTGACACAATGATGAACAGGACAGGTATGAATGCTGAGCAAACCAGTGTGCCACCAAAGCAACCATGGTTCTGCACCCCGACCTGCCAACTATATTCTCTGTCAGTGTGCTTTCCACCCAAGGAAAAACATGGGAATCACCCTTAACATACTCTTCCAAATCTTTTTTTAAAACTCCAAATACATACACACACACAGACACACAAGCATACATACGCTGACGCACAAATACACACTTACTTATGCACGGTTGCAGAGGCGGAAAGAGAAAGATAAATCTGGGCCGGGCGCGGTGGCTCACGCCTGTGATCCCAGCACTTTGGGAGGCCGAGGCGGGTGGATCATGAGGTCAGGAGATCGAGACCATCCTGGCTAACAAGGTGAAACCCCGTCTCTACTAAAAATACAAAAAATTAGCCGGGCGCGGTGGCGGGCGCCTGTAGTCCCAGCTGCTCGGGAGGCTGAGGCAGGAGAATGGCGTGAACCCGGGAAGCGGAGCTTGCAGTGAGCCGAGATTGCGCCACTGCAGTCCGCAGTCCGGCCTGGGCGACAGAGCGAGACTCCGTCTCAAAAAAAAAAAAAAAAAAAAAAAAAGAAAGATAAATCTATCAGCCCTGCTCAGCTAGGTTCCTCTCTCTCGTTATAGCTCAAACCAACTTCTTCCCACTATATGCAGACAGAAACCAACTGGTTTTCACATTCTTTATTACTAACTTCCACCCACCTCCTTCATTTATAATCTGCTTTTTCTTGGGGTACAAGGGCCACATGCCAACTGTGATTCTCAACCTGCTGAAAATTCTACTCCATACTTTTTAAACTGCAGACTGCTGTGAGACCCTGGAGCACTGTGTCTCAAAAAGGGCAAATGCATGGCACAAATCCTAACTATGAAAAAACAAAGTTCTCCAGACCCATTTGCTGGTAACTTCCCTAGTATTGTTTTTCCAGCAAAATAGTAGAAAAGATTCTACATGGGTTTAAGAAAAAGTTCAATATATCCTCCATCAATTAATATTCTTTTGCCATTCAATATTTATAAAACATTTCTTCCTTTTTATCTTGTTAGCCAATATTTCTCAATAACCTTAACCCCTATCCTTATACACACACACACACACACACACACACCCCACACACACAGTGTAAAAAATGCCATCAGCCTTTTATCCTTCATACTCAGATTAGATCTTGCCATTTCTTTCTGTTCCCATACAAGGCTTTCTTCCTTTTACTGGTATGTTCTATTTTCTTAGGATGCCCATATACATTCCCAGAATCCTTAGGAATTCTTATAACAAAACTGGAAAGTACATGTTTATTATTCTGGATCAGAGAGCAAAGGAAACAAAGCAAGGTAATTTACCTGACTGGCAATATTTCTTCCTCATCCAGTTCACAGTAGGCTGTATTACCTCTGCTTGATTACAGTTTTTATTGGAGATAAAAGCCAAAGAGCAAAAACAACATCGATGTGAAACATTTAAGAGTACTCTGTTGAATACTTGTCCTCATATTCCTGGAGTAGAGCCCTCGAGCAGGCATTATTTCCCAAGGAGAAATTACAGTAAATAACTTTAACCTCAGGGGCTATTCCCACAGAAGGGATGGTTGTACCTGGTACTTTGGAAGCTGTTCCTTAGCATGATGTGAAGATCCCCCAGAAGAACTGTGGGAAGAGATGCTGCTGCTGCTACTGCTGCTGACACTGCTGCTTCCCTGGCAGCACTTGGCTGATATTTTAATAGGAACATCCTCTGTTTTCTAGGTTAAGAGAGACAGGCAAGGTAAAAGATTACTAAGTATATCAGGTTCGTCAACAGTTCTTCATTGGGAATTCCTTTTTAAAAGCATTCTGGTGCCTAGGTTGCATTAAAAAACAGAAGCTTTTTTTTTTCCCCAATAATGACAAAAACATGGTTTGGGATGGCAGAATGCTGAAGAAGGGTTCTAGACAAAAGGAGGTAGGTTATGTATTAAGACTTTATCCTCTTTTAATAATTTAACTATTATTTACACTTCAATTCACATAATTGACCTCTGTTTTGGTTATTTGAGTTTTGATTATTAGCTTTTTAGTATTATGTAGAGTCATAATCCATTACATTGATGAGGAGAAAGATGAGGCTTCAAATCTAAATTTTTACTAAGCAAATGGAACTAATAAAACAAAACTATTAATTTGGGCAGACTGGCTCGTAGGGTTTTTTGTTTGTTTGTTTGTTTGTGAGATGGAGTCTCACCCTGTTGCCAGGCTGTAGTGCAGCGGCATGATCTCGGCTCACTGCAACCCGTGCCTCCCGGGTTCAAGCAATTCTCCTGTCTCAGCCTCCAAGTAGCTGGGACTTACAGGTGCCCACCATCACGCCCAGCTAATTTTTTTGTATTTTTAGTGGAGATGGGGTTTCACCATGTTGACCAAGATGGTCTTGATCTCTTGACCTCGTGATCTGCCCACCTCAGCCTCTCAAAGTGCTGGATTACAGGCGTGAGCCACCGCGCCCGGCCTACTTGTGTTTTTAATGACACACCTCCTCTACTACTCCTTTAAAGGTAACAGGAAGGAAAATCATGAGGTTGAATTTGTAAGGGATGAAACCAAAACCCTGAAACAGGAGCTACTGTGAATTACATAGCATGTGATGGAAATATGGTCTTCAAAGGTTAAAGACAACAGAGGATGCTCTACTATACATTCCCTAGAGTTTGCCACTAATTTTTATCACAGTGACAAACGTATAAGGATAAACCTTTATTAATATTTACCTCTCCCCAAACATATTACTCCCTACAGAAGCTTCCTGCACCCTCTATGATAAGTTATTTCTATTCTGAGTCTTCTTTGCCTTTTTTTTTTCCTTGTGTAGCTTTTGCTTGGAAAAAAACATGAATGCAATTGCAGCTTATCTAATCTCCAATGTGACAGTCACACTGGTGGTCTAATGCAAATGCCTGCAGTCATGTGCTTGATACAAACTCATGACGTTTTGTGCTTGCCAAGGGAGGCTGGGGCGGTGGGGACTGAAAATGGGAAAAGAACGTAAGGAAAACACAAAATGTGCTGGACCACAACTGTCACTCCAGCAATGATGGCATTCAAAGTGGCACTTGATTATTCCTGAGCACCCAGCACTCCCTCAACACGCTAAAGATAAAGCTGTTACTCAATCTCACTTAAGCCAGAAACACAGCCCCTCAGAGGGCCTAAGTGACACGAGGTGCCACTGCTTCAGACTGCTAGACCCTTTGGCTGGAGTACAATGCTGAACAGTCTATAATTGGAGAAACCACCTGGTGTAGTGAATAGAGCACTGACTGGATTCTTTTGTAGCCTTGGGCAAGCTACAAACCTCCTGAACCTAAGATGCCTTTTTGGTTAGATGAATGCTTCTAAGAAAGCCTATGTTTCCAGATTCCAGCATTATCAGTGCTCTGGTACACTGAAGATTCCAGTTCCTTTTGAAAACTTGTGTTTCTTTTCCCCTCCACCTGCCACCACTATGAGCAGCCCCAGTGATAGCTGCTCAACTAGACCATCCATGTGAGGCCTTCAGAGAAATGGGAAATAATTCAAGAAACTAAGAGGTAAACCATCTCCTGTCCACCAAAGGGTCAAGTGCTGGCTCACCTAAATTTCTGTTACAAATCTAACCTGGAAAGCCTACAGTGAATCACCTGAGAGATTTCTTGGTTTCCCCCTCCCTCCCTTCACCTACCTAACAAGCCCAACAACTACTGTAATGATTAGCCACCTGGCAGAACTCCACTTTAAAACACTGTGGAATCCACCCAGCTAAACTGTGTTTAACCAAACACTTCCTTCCTGCAGAAATGATCCTTATCAAAAGCAGGAAAACAACCCCTTGGCCCTGATGAGACAAAGACTGCGTTATAAACTGTTCATTTACTTAGCTGCACATTCTACAAACTGCCAGTATTTGGTCAGTATGGGTAGCAACTTATTGAACATAAAAAGAATGAATACAAGTGGATTTATTTAATTTGTAGGCATCTGAACAAATACTGAAAAGAGAATGAAAGGTCTAAAGTGAATTTACAAGTACCCTGGTATCATATCCAAAAAAGACCCAGAAAGGATCAGACTCTCCTCACCTTAAACATGTTACTTTACCATTCCCATTCTGGTTCCAAGGGATCAAGAGCTGCTCTATCCTCACTCTACCCATTGCTTGTCGCCCACCCTACACCACCACCACCACCACCACTACCACCCAACTCTCCACAAAAAAAATGGGAAATAAATAAAAGCTCCCCTGGTCAGAAGGGTTTGAGAAACAATCCTTTTTGAAGATAACAATGCAGGTTTGCATATGGAAGTCCTGTAAATAAGCAAAGCTGTTTAATTTTGTTTAACCCAGTGCTACTTATTATTATCCATGAGAAACACTGGACAGAATGATCTTCACACTAACACTTTATCACTTTATGAATTTTAGAGTTCTGCTTTCCCATTACATTTGAGGCACTCACTTGGCATCAAAATCTTACTGGATTGCAACTCACCAGCAAATTTACCTCTAGTACTATTAATAGTACACTGCTTAGCTCCTGCCATGATTACTTGCTAACAGTTTCACTTGTGTTTAGCAGTGAGCATACTCATGCCTGTTGGGGGTAGGGCTTTGATTAAAGGATTCAATGCTTGCTTATGTTTCTTCTGAACCATTAATGGCACTGTATAATATAACTCAAAGAGAAGATGATAGATTAATAAATGATTGATCAGAAGGGTGGTTAAAAGCACAAAAGAAAAGGAGAAAGCAAATCAGCATTTCATACCTGAGCTGTCACCTCCTCAATCTTTTGAACAGCTTTAGAGTCAAACAAGACTTGTCTGCCTCTCCTGTCACAGTCCTGGTAAACTATCAGGCGAATCTCATTCAGGTCAAACTCCGAACATGACCAACTGTGGATTAAAAAGGGCAAAAGAAGTTATGTTATCTGCAGCACATGAGATGATCACAGACAGATAAGCTTCCCAGTCACCATGCCTGTGTGCACATCAAAAGGCCACAAGCATGCAGGGCTAGTGATCCCCTCAGAACTGGGGCACCAGTGAGCCTGGGACAGATAGCCTTGTATGTGGATTCCAAAGGGCCATATGAAAATTGCCAGTTTTCATGATAAGGGCTGAGAAGACTGCTTTAAATAATAAATCACTGGAGAGAAAGCTTCTCCTTCCAAAGCCAATTTGGACACAGATGGCAGTCAGAAATCACAAGGACATGCAGAGAAGACTAAATTTGGATGCCTGGGTTCTGGGGACAGCATATCCGAGTTAAAGGAGTGTTAAGGCTTCTGTGTTATTGGGCAGGGAACCATTTGGAGCAAGTCGGTAGAGCCTTCTCTTCTTTCCCTCACCCACACTCAGGTCAAATTAAGAGGAATTACATACCCTAAAATTTATTATCTTCCCCGATTATGGCTAGCTCTAATCCAGGAGTTTCAGAAACCAAGTGCATCACTGTAGAGCACTGGAATTGCTAGCAATTACAGTCAGCAAGAAAGGAAGCATGTTTCTAAGCAAACCAAAAGCAACTGGGATAAAACTGCTCTGAGGAAAACATAGGTTCATTCTTAATAAATTACAGAGTGAGGGAACTACAGAAAAGATAATCATTTAAAAGTGCACTGCTTTGGATATACTCAGTTTTTAACCCATCAGTCCAGTCAACACATATTTGAGTGTCTGTGATGTTCCAGGCACTGTGGTTGCTGCTAGAGACTCAGCAATTAATTAACCAGACAGACCTGGTCCCCACCCTTATGGAGTTCATGATTCAGTGGGGAATGTTAGGCAAATAATCACAGACGAATGTATCACTACAAACTGTGAAAAGTACAAAAAGGAGCAGTAAACAGCTTCAGATTTCCAGATTGAAGGGGTAGGGGAAAGGGACAGAGAAGTCCCTAAGGACTTGAAGTGACATGTAAACACAGACCTGAAGAAGCAAAACAAATGATGCGCACCATAGGAACAGAGAAGGAGGTGGTAAGGTGTAAGACTGCTGCACTGGAGAAGGAAGAAGAAAAAAGGCCAGAGAGTGAGTGCCGTGAGGTGGAAAGGACGGCAGGCAGGGGCCAGGATCATGTTCTCCCTCCATGAGAAGCCAAGGAAAACAGACGCTTGATAAGATCAGGTCTGCACTTTTTGAAAGTTCAATCTGGCTGTTAAGGAAAATGGGGGTGGAAGAGATGAAGACTGGAAGCAGGAAGGCCAAACAGAATTCATAATAAGAGTTCTGGCCCTTCATAATGAAGGCTAGAGCTCCAGCAGCAGAGGTGGGGGAAAGGGGACAGACACTGGTGGCATGCTCAGAGGACAGAGTTGAGCCGGTTTCCCAATGGACTGGAGAGGTGCCCGAGGTGAAAGGGGGCCTTGCTTAGAGAAGCTGAGGGGGAGCTCTGACAGGACAGAGGAGGATAGATGGACACACAGACAGACTAACAAAAGCAAACTGTAAAACTAGGAGATGATATAAATGAAATAAGACACATCTGGATTCAAACCCAAATGCCTCTGGCCTCCTAGTTCTTCATCAGTACAATGAGAATATTAAGGCTGCCCTCACAAAGCTGTCCTACAAAGCGTAAAGTGCCTCACACAAAGTGTGACACACAGTAAGTGCTCCAAAATGGCAATAATTGCCTCAGAGGATTGGTAATGTTATGATTTTTAAAGAAAATTAATACAGTGTCTGGTACTCAATCACAAATTGTGCATTTTTGGTCTTTTCCTTTTTCAGGCAGTTAATACTGAACATGTTCTTTTTGGGTAGCAGATTTGTTTTCTTAAATCCCTACGGCAAAACATATAAAGTTCTGGTTGTACCTTCTTTCAACAAGCTGTGCCCTAAGTTATCACGCCCAGCATCCTTTCCTCCTAATCTTGATAATAATAAGCCAAGTTTATTTTCAAACCATCTTCCCTCTACTCTCAGTCCAGAGGGAGTCCATGTTTCAGGTCTGGCTAATGAGACATGGCCACATGACCCAAGCTGGCTGTGTGAGCCAGCCCCAAAACTCAGTTGTTCAGCTTGTAAATGGTAACCCTGGAGTTGGTGGTGGCTATTTTTGCCATCATGAAGTAAGGGCCTGTCTGAAAATGAAGTCAGCAAAAGTCTGCGTGGAGGAAAGTAGAGGTGAGCAATAGAATGAAACAGATTCCTGGCAGTACCCAAAGCCAGCTGTTCCTGAGTAAGCACTATTCCTGGAATTAGTTCACTGTCACTTACAATCAACACAGTCTGATGACTATGACCCAGACCACTAAATTTTAAAATTACACAAGGCCGAGGCAGGCAGAACACTTGAGGTCAGGAGTTCAAGACCAACCTGGCCAACCATGGCCAACACGGTGAAACCCCATCTCTACTAAAAATACAAAAATTAGCCAGGCGCACTAGTGGGCACCCATAATCCTAGCTACTCAGGAGGCTGAGGCAGGAGAATCGCTTGAACTTGGGAGACAGAGGTTGCAGTGAGCCGAGATCGCACCACTGCACTCCAGCCTGGGTGACAGAGGGAGATTCCGTCTCTAAATAAATAAATAAATAAAATGAGGTCATTAAAAAGGCTCTGAAGCTATATATTATTATAACATAGTACATATGTTGATTTTGTTAAAAGTAAAAAAAATCAGATTTAATTGCCTTGCATTTTCTTTTAAATGAATTTTGCCCTAATAATTACATTTTGCCAAGACAGCATTATAATTTATAACCAAGTTGTTCAATCCTTATTTTTGAAGAATAACACATATTCAAATATCAAACTGAAAACAGCTACTTTAGAAGAGATAAAATTTAATCATGATCATAACACCTTATTAAATGTTTCATGTTATTTTTCAATGAAAAAAGGATGGAAATAAAAATCATGGACAATTGTTCTGATTCAGGAGTCTAAAAATAATTTTTTTAATTTAAAAATTTTTAAAAAGACACAGAGGGGAAAAGTATGTATTTCAGATTGTCTCATTTTTTGATCCAAATGCTTTAAAAGTATTTTATAAGATACGAGTGATGGACACAGTGGCTCGTACCTGTAATCCCAGCTACTTAGGTTGCTGAAGCAAAAAGGATCTCTTGAGCCCAGGAATTCCAGACAAGACTGGATGACATAGCAAGACCCAGACTGTTTAAAATTTTTTAAAAATTAGCTGGTTGTGATGGTATACACCTGTAGTCCCAGCTACTTAGGAAGCTGAAGTGGGAGGATCACTTGAGCCTAGGAGTTCAAGGCTGCAGTAAGCCATGATCATACCACTGCACTCCGACTCTGGTCTTGGTGACAGAGTGAGATCCCGTCTGTTAAACAAACAAACAAAAACAAAACAAAACAAAACGGTCAGGCACAATGGCTCATGTCTGTAATCCCAGGACTTTGGGAGACCGAGGCCGGCTGATCGCTTGAGCCCAGGCGTTTGTGGGCAACAGGGTGAAACTCCATCTTTACTAAAAATACAAAAAGTTAGCTGGGCACGGTGGTACACACCTGTAGTCCCAGCTACTGGAGTGCGGAGGCTGAGGTGGTAGAATCACCTGAGCTCGGGAAGTCGAGGCTGCTGTGAGCTGAGATCGCATCACTGCATTGCAGCCTGGGCAACACAGGGAGACTCTATCTCAAAAAAAAAAAAAAAAAAAAAGAGGAAAACTCTATTCTTCTTACATATGAATACTGTCTTTGGTTTAATACATAAATATAATTTTGACATTGACATTTCCTTTTTTTGGAGACAGGTTTTTGCTCTGTTGCCCAGGCTGGAGTGCAGTGGCGCCATCTCGGTTCACCATAGCCTCAACCTCCTGCTCAAGAAATTCTCCCATCTCAGCCCCCCAAGTAGCTGGGACTACAGGCATGTGCCACCATGCCTGGTTAATTTCTTTGTATTTTTTGTAGAGAGAGGGTTTTACCATGTTGCCCAGGCTGGTCTCAAACTCCTGAGCTCAGGCAATCTGCCCGCCTCAGCCTCCCAAAGTGCGGTGAGACACTGACATTTTAGTATTAGTAGAGGAAAAAACAGTTGCATAATTTGGTAAAGGAAACAGAAGCAGGACAAAGGCCACCAGTGCTTCAGAATGAGACAGGCTTGGGATCAAATCTCAGCTCTGCTTCCCACCGGTTTTATAGTTTTGGGAACTTCTCCCCTAGGAGTACTTATAGGTCCTGTTGTGAAGATTAAAAGAGATAATCTATGGAAATTCCCAGCACACTCCCAGCCCCTTTCCCTGCCATCCCTTATACACAGGACTTGAGCTATTGGTAGCTCCATGGCACACATATTCTCTTCATATTCACATTCACTTCTACATTCAACCAACAGTTACTGTGGAGCTTCCAAGAGCACTGACCACAGTTCCTGGTGCTTTACTGATGACATCTCTTCATATGACTGGGGCCACTCGGCATGATTCAAAAGGGGTATGAAAACAAGCCTTGGGGCTTTTGCCTAAAAATAGCTGACCACTTCAGGGAAATGTATTCTAATCTGAATTATTTCATTTCTGTTTTTGCTGAACATAAAGAATGAACACTGTCCTTGGCATCAGGGTATTATTTATGTCCACTTTATGCCTTCAGGCACAGTAAGAGAAGATGATTTGTCTACCTTTTCTTATTGTAAAATTTAAGCAAAATGACTTATACAGACTCTTTTTGGTTTTAAAATTCCATGATGCCAGGATTTGCCTGGTTAGCATTGAAGCCAGGCCTCATTTCTGAAACTACTCATCAAGATTAGAAAAGCAAGGAACCAAAGTCTCAGTTACTTCCCTGAAACATGACAGACACTAGTTCAAGTGATCTGAAACACAGAAAACAGAATTCTCTTTAAAATATCTAGAGCCATGTACTGTAGTTTAAATTGTGTCCCCAAAAAAGATATGTTCAAGTCCTAATTCCTATACCTGTGAATATGACTTTGCTTGGAAACAGGGTCTCTGCAGATATAATCAAGTTAAGATGAGGCCATACTGAATTAGTAGGCACCCTAATCCAATGACTGGTGTCCTCCTAAGAAGGAGAAAATTTTGGACAAAGACACAGAAGGAATAATGAACAGGGAAGTCACTGCAGACTGAGGGCACAGCACAAACACAAAAAGACAGTTATCACTGGGTGCTTGGGATGTGTCTCCTACAGAAGAACCACACAGCAAATGAGGCTAGAAAGGCACCTGAGGACTACTTGTGAAGGACTTTAAATTTTATGCCAAGGAATGCATCTGTTGCTCTACAAGCTGTGGTGTGCCAATTCCAAGATTTCAAGAAAGAGAATGACACGATCTGACCTGTGTTTTAGGAAGAGAACTAAAGTGATTTGAGAAGACCATTTTCAGGGCAAATGCAGAGGTAGTAGTGACTTGTAAATCCTGGGTTTCAAGGAGTAATGGCCAATAAGCAAAAGAGCAGTAGTTGTATAACATGTTGCAGGGTGATTTGCTATATCCTTTGAGACCAGTTCTAGTGTGGGTGTTGTTTCTTCTCTTGAACTTTTACAGGAATCAGAGTAGAAGTGGTCATGGGTATCCCCATGTGGAAAAAGCATGATCTCTGTTTTTCCTCCTGGTCTCACACAAGGAAGCCTCCCCACACAGTCAAAAATAAGTTTACATAAAGAGTTTAAAGAACAGTCTTGTGATCCAAGAAGGTAAATATTTAAACAGTCAGGAATGATAGGAAACTTTCAATGGTCCAAGAAAAGGCAAAATGAAACAAAACAAAAACAAACAATAATGATGACAACAAAAACTGGCAAAAATACTATCCATTTAACCAGCAATTCCTGTATGCCTACTACTTGGCAAGCATTCTGAGATAAAGCAATGAGCAAACCATAACCCTGCTCCTATGAAACGCAGTTACATTTTCCAACCACTCTTTAACCCTATTCTATATTCTTTTTTCTCTGCCAACCTCCACCGTTTCCTTATTCTCTCAAAAAACACCTTCTAAGTACAAACAGAAATCTCTCAAAAGGTTTGCTCAAGAAGAGTGGGGAGACCCAAAGAGTTACACCCTGAAAATAAATGAAGACTGGGGGTGGAAGAAAAGGGAAAATTAAGCTTGACATAGCAATGAGAGTTCACCCTGTCAGCACAAAATACACATTATTTCCCACCCAGTAAAAGCTGTTTATTTCAAGAAAAAACTTACGTAAATAGATGGCAGTAACAGATTTGGAATTCATTTATCTTTTGCTATGTTAGTACTCTCAGGAAGACTGTGTTGGCTCTCCTTTCTTCCCCTATTTTGCACTTATACAGCCTCAGCTGTGTGAATTGCCTGGAGCAATTTCAGTGGAACTGCATAAAAAATCACCACTGAGTTGCTATCCTGTGGTCAGGAGTATAGTGAAAAGTGCTTAAAGTTCTTATCAGAAGCTTTAATATATATTGATAACATAAAGATATTAATATTAATTTACAAACAATTCCAATTAAATGTAGTCCACTGTTATATTACCAACACAGAGCTATACTGCATGTTGGTTACAATTCTTCCATCTTTAAGAAAGTAGGTGATATGTAAATCCTTTATTCCTTTTGTAAAGGAAAATGTGGAATGAAAGAATAAATATGTTTGATCAGCAGCAAAAGCATGGAACCATACTTCTGAGTTCATTCCTTCTGCACACCTTTGAGTGTGTGGCTTCACACAGGCACCATGAAAGGTACCAGGAACAGAAATTAACTATATCCAGTATTTACCTCAATATGCTTACAACTGGGAAGGGAAAGGCCAACATATAAATATTAAGTTAACTATATTTTTACAGGTGCCAAGATAAATGTCTATAGGGACTTATGGGGACTCTACAGGATAAAGAGGTCAAGTCCACACAGTTGGGTGAGTGATGGATGTGAGTCACAGAAGACATGATGCTTGGGACACGGATTAGGATTCACCAGGGTAAACAGGGCTTCTAACTCTAGCTCTGCTGCCTTCAACCCAGATGATTTTAGAATGCTCCAACCCTAGCGCTGAGCTTTCCCAAAATGCATCTGCCTTATCTACCTCACAAGGCTGTTGGGAAAAACAGAGATTAAGTTATGAAAGCACTTTTAAAGCTGTAGAGCATAATTCAAAGATCTACTCAGATACACAATTCCTTAACTGAGAGCCTTGGGGCTAGATGTTTCAGAATTCAGAATTTTTTTTAGAAATCAGAAAGATGCTACACTACATATTACATAATACTTCCTCCAGGGGCTGAGATGTAATCAAACCCCCAAAACAAACAAATTAATATTTCACCAGCCCAAGTTATGAATACTTATGCTAAGTGGATTAGATAGAGACTATAAACAGCCTCACATCAGTTCAGATTAATTCCAAAAGATTTTCCAGAAATTTTAGGATTTTGGAATTATAGGATAAAGCATTGTTGATCACTTTAGTGATTACCATGTCTGAGAAAAGGACAAAAGACTGAAATAACTTTCAGGTTCCCCATATTTTCCTGAATATAACTGATCTCTAACAAAAATAACAGCCAAAAGTTTATGTGTAAGTAGGTTAGTTGTAGCTCTGAACTTGTTTTCCCCCTCCTTGCCACTAAAACAATATGTAAATGGTAGCAAAGGTCACAAGTTAAAACCACATAAGTCTTTAAATAATGTGTTCACACGGCAGTGACAAAACATTATCGTATGTGTCACAATACAGCCTAAGGTTTGGGTGCTATGAACAAGGAACTACAAAGTACAGAGAGGAAAAGACAGAATTTCTTCCTTCCTTTCTGAGTTCAGGATCACATCAAGTGAAACTCTAAAACAGATGAAGTTTGTGTGTGGCACTTACAGCACCACTACCCACATGCCACTGCCCTGGGGCCACCACAGCATAGACAAAATAGCGGAGCACTGCACGGGATGTCAGATTGCCTAGGCTGGAGGCAGCCATCCCACAGTCCCATCTCAGTCACTTCTTCACCTCTTAATCCAGTGTCTCCTCCTCTATAAAAGGAAGGGGTGGGGCCAGGCATGGTGGCTCATGCCTGTAATCCTAGCACTTTGGGAGGCCGAGGCAGGCAGATCAGAGGCCAGAAGTCTGAGACCAGCATGGCCAACATGGTGAAACCCCATCTCTACTAAAAGTATAAAAATTAGCCAGGCATGGCGGTGGGCGCCTGTGATCCCAGCTAACTGGGGAGGCTGAGACACAAGAATTGCTTAAACCCGGGAGGCGGAGGTTGCAGTGAGCTGAGATCACACCACTGTACTCCAGCCTGGGCGACAGAGTGAGACACTGTCTGAAAAAAGAAAAAAGAAAAAATGGGAAATGGGGTGGGACTAAAATTATACCTAAAGGTCTGGTGCTTCCAATTCTAACATATTATAATCCCAAGTTATCTATTAAATGTGCACAGTGTGATTTAGAATAGATGATCTCAGCCAGGTACGAAAAGGAAAGCAATCTTAATGAATTAACCTACATTATTACTACATGGTATCCCTTAAACCTGCTAAACATAATCTGTCTTTGATAAGCATCTTAATATCAACACAACTCTAATCAACAGAACTTTCAAAAGGTGCTCACAAAATCTGAAGGAGAAAAGTACAAGTTCTTTTGAGGTGAGAGGGACACTGAGTGGGCAGGTCACTGTGGCAGTCAAGACTCTGCCCCTTGCCTTCTGATGTTGTTGTTGCTGTTATTAATAGTTCCTTCCTTTTTTCTGCTTAAAAAACCCACAGAGGTCAGGTGCAGTGGCTCATGCCTGTAATCTCAACACTTTGGGAGGCCAAGGCAGGAGGATCGCTTGAATCCAGGAGTTTGAGCAATATAGTGAGATTCTGACTCTACAAAAACAAAACAAAAAACCCCCATAGAATCTCTATAAATGGCCCATTTTTCCCCAAAATGGTTCCCTTAATTCTTAAATGCACATTATTTATTCTTTTCTGATATCTATAAACTAGAAACTACTTGTACTTAAAAATAGCCAAACTGACAAAAAAAAAAGAGCTTTACTGTTCATCTCCATGCATATATTAATTCAATAATCACTGAGCTAATTTTTTTTTTTTTTTTTGAGACAGAGTCTCACTCTGTCTCCCAGGCAGGAGTGCAGTGGTGCAATCTCGGCTCACTGCAACCTCCACCTCCTGGGTTCATGCGATTCTCCTGCCTCAGCCTCCCAAGTAGCTGGGATTACAGGCGCCCACCACCACACCTGGCTAATTTTTTTGTATTTTTAGTAGAGAGGGGGTTTCAGCATGTTGGCCAGGCTAGTTTCGAACTCCTGACTTCAACTGATCCGCCTGCTTTGGCCTCCCAAAGTGTTGAGATTACAGGCATGAGCCACTGCGCCTGGCCGAGCTAATTCTTTTACACCCTTGTCAGCATAATCAAAGCCGTCAACACATTATTATATTCCTGGATTACTGAAATACATATTGGTCTGCAATTATAAAAGGTAACATGCATCAAGATGATTTCATATCTTTCCCCTCCCTCATTTTGGGAAATCATATACTAATAATAGACAACGGAATAAATTTCAAAGTAAATACCCAAGACATTGCCTTATATGTTATTCACTTCTAGATCTAATTAAACCGTATGCAGATAAGGTAATACTTCCATTTTCCAAGAAGTTTCCAGAGGTCAAAAGCATGATTCTCTGTGTAAGGTCTCTCGTTTGCAAGATGAAAGAACCAAAATAAATAGACAATTGTCACCTATTTTGGGTTGTAAAATACTATCTCTAAAAGAGATAGGTTAAAATAAATATATATATATATACTCGTGACCCAGCAAGTTCACTTCTAGGAATGAATCCTACAGATTAATTTGCACAGGCACAAAATGATTATGTACAAAAAGGTAATGACTGCAGCACTGTTTGGAAACAAATTGTCAGCAGGATGATTAAATAAATTATGGTACATCCATACAAGGGAGTGCTATACTGACACAGCAAAGAATAAGGAAGCTCCTTAGGTAAGTATGTAATAAACTCCAAGACATATTTTTGACTGGAACGAAAATAAGTATAAAATATTGTGTATAGAAAGCTACCATAAGTCTAGAAAAAGGAAAAATTGGAGGTAAAGAACTCTGGGTTTTATTATACACGTATAGACTATCTCTAGAAGAAAAACAATGAATTGGTAATACTAGTTGACTCTGGAGTAGAAAGCTGGATTACTGGGCCGGGCGCGGTGGCTCACACCTCTAATCCCAGCACTTTGGGAGGCCGAGGCTGGCGGATCACGAGGTCAGGAGATCAAGAGCATCCTGGCTAACACGTGAAACCCCGTCAAATTAGCTGGGCGTGGTGGCGGGCGCCTGTAGTCCCAGCTACTCGGGAGGCTGAGACAGGAGAACGGCGTGAACCCGAGAGGCGGAGCTTGCAGTGAGCGGAGCTGGCGCCACTGCATTCCAGCCTGGGCGAGAGAGCAAGACTCCGTCTCAAAAAAAAAAAAAAAAGCTGGATTACTGATGAAAAAGAAAGCAGAAGACTTTTCATTCTACACTCTTTACAGAGCAAAGGGAAAGGCTTTCTCTGCACCATGTAATAAACATCCATCAAAACAGCATAGTGAGAAGGAGTGTAGACTGGACCCAGACATCCTGGGCTCAGGTCCTACCTCTGCCTCTTCCTAGCTATGTAACTTTGGTGAGTTACCTAATCTCTTTGTTCCTCAACAGCCTCATCTGCAAAATGGAGATAATATAATAGTACCAACCTTACAAGTGCTGTTTTGGTGACTAAATGTAAAGCACTTAACACGGAGTCAGGCACGCTGACTGTGCTCTAAACATGCACCACAATTTTGTGCCTTTTGAATATTAAGCCGTGTGACTGTATTGTCTCTTGAAAAAGTAAAAACAAACAACAAAGATGAGGACTACAACAGGAACACCCTATTTTTTTAAACCCAAAGAATCTATCATTGCTTTAAGACAAGCCCTTAACTACTGTTTCCTTTAAGAGGCTTCTTGGTAGCTAAAGCATGAGGCAGTGGGTGAACTCCTACAGGGAAACCACCTTAATGAATTCCAGGCATTCAGATTCAGTTTTCAAATATGTAGTTTGGCCTAGACAATGGCATTTATTGAGCTTTCTTCTCAACACTTGTACACTACATTTTCCTGTCCTTCATCCCCTCCCTCCCCCAAAGACAGGAGAAAGTTTCTCTCTAAAAAAGCAACCCCTTTTCTCATTGATTAAACCCATGTATGTCTTTCAGTTTATGATTGCTGTTCTAGTGGTGTATCAGATGGATTCCCATCATATTAAATAACTGCCTTTTTTACTGCATAATTCATGCAGAGCCTAGAGACACCAATTCCAGAAGGTCTGGTGTTTGCATGTAGGCAGGGGAAGGCTGGTGATAAGAACTGCACAGCACATGCACAAATAATTGCCTAATATTTTAGAGTTTACCAAACACTTTTACAGAATTCAACTGAGCTGACCTTCTCAAATGTCCTGTGAGAGTCTGTATTATATAACGTTTTACACGGAAGTTAGGAGACTTTAACAAGGTTATGTCCAGTAAGTGGCTAAGTCAGGACTAAAATCAGTCTCCTGGCTCTAAATTCTGTGCTCATCCAACTCGACTGCACTATCACCTTGATACCAGTAGCAAACAAGTTAGGATAACATTCTCTTCCTTCCAGGACCTTCCTCTGCATGTCCTTCTGAGGTGTAAAAACCTGCACTCCAGCTTGGGCAGAGTGAGGCTCCATCTCTTAAAAGAAGAAGGAGGAGAAGGAGGAGGAAGAAAAGGAGGAGGAGAAGGAGGAAGTGTGGCATTGACAAAAGAATAGGGAAACTGATCAATGGAACAGAATAGAGACTTCAGAAAAAAATCCACATAAATATAAATCAATATTTGACAAAAGAGCAACAGTAATACAATGGAGCAAAGACAGTCTTTTCAACAAATGGTGCTGGAATAACTGGACATCCAGGTGCAAAAAAAAGAATCTCGACACAGACCTTACATCCTTCACAAAAATAAACCCAAAATGGCTTACAAGCCTAAGTGTAAAAAGCAAAACTACAAAACTCACAGAAGACAACACAGGAGAAAATACAGACAGCCTTGAGCATGGCGAAGGATTCTCAGATACAACACCAAAGGCGTGGTCTACGAAAGAAATCATTGAGAAGCTGGGCTTCATTAAAATTAAAAACTTCTGCTCTAAGAAAGACACTGTCAAGGGAATGAGAAGACAAGCCACAGACTGAGACAAAATATTCCCAAAAAATATATCTGATAAAGAACTGTTTTATCCAAAATAAAGAACAGTTAAAACTCAGTAAGAAATCAAACCAACTGATGAAAAAATGGGCAAAGGACCTGAATAGACACCTCACCAACGATAATACAAATGGCAAATAAGCATATGAAAAGTTGATCCACATTGTATGTCATTAGAGAAACAGAAATTTAAACAACAAGAGATACTACTACATGCCTATTAGAATGGCCAAAGTCTGGAACACTGACAATGCCAAATGCTGGTGGGGATGTGGAGCAACAGAAACTCTCACCCATTGCTGGTGGTGCAGTTGTCTTGGAAGAGTTTGGCAGTTTCTTACAAAATTAAACATACTCTTACCTTACAATCCAGCAAAGGGACTTGTTGTTATTTATCCAAATGAGCTGAAAAGCCTGCAGCTGTGTATAGGAGCTTTATTCATAATTGCCAAAACATAGAAGCGACCAAGACATCCTTCAGTACGCAAAGAGATAATCAATGGAATATTATTCAGTGCTAAAAAGGAAATGAACTACCATGCTACGAAGAGACATGAAGGGACCTTGAATGTGTATTTCTAAGTGAAAGAAGCCAATCTGAAGAGGGTACATACTGTATGATTCTAATCAAATGACATTCTGGAAAAGGCAAAACTATGGAGACAGTAAAAAGACAAGTGGTTGCCTGGGGTTAGAGAGGGAGGGAAGGATGAATAGGCAAGGCACAGAGGATTTCTAGGGCAGTGAAACTATCTAGTATGAATAGTGGATACATGTCATTATACTTTTGTCAAAACCTATAGAATACACAACACCAAGAATGAACCCTAATGCAAACTATGGACTTTGGGTGATAAAGATGTGTCAATACAGATTCCTCAGTGGTAACAAATATATCACTGTGGTGTGGGATGTTGATACTGTGGGGGCAAGGTGTACATGGGAATTCTGTACTTTCTGCTTAATGTTGCTGTGAACCTAAAACTGCTCTAAAATTTTTTTGAAGGAAAAAATTCTTTTAATTTCAGTTGTCAAAGGAACTTTTAAGATATAGAAACTTTCAGGAATAAGCACTGGTTTAAAAATTTGTGACAGGATTATTTTCTGAAGATCACTTTTGTCTGTTACAGTCAGCTACAGAATACCCTGTAAAGATGAGAACCAAGGACACATAACTTGAGCTTCAGATGTAGCTATCAAGTCTGTCCCTGTTCAGCAGAATTACAGGCCGTCTCCTCCTTGTTCTATCTACCCGGCTGGAAAAAGGAGGGTCAGTCCTCACACACTGCTCTACAGAATGTACCCAACTGTCACATGTGGTCTTGCTCCTACTGACAGAGGGGAATGTTCCCCTAAGATAGTTCACAGTAAGACATTAGTTACTGCCTAGAGAGAATAATGCTTAAATAGAAAGAAATGAGAATTTAATAATAGGAGTTTTTGCCATCAAGCAAGGTCCAGTGGGAAAGATATTAGGGGCAGTGACCTCTGCCTCCCTCTCATATCACAGTGTGCAGCCGCTAAACCATCCACCAGTACACCTCCACCCCATTCACATTCCCACGAAGGATCATTTACTTTCTGAATCCAAATCATCTTTGCCCTGAGGCAATATTCTTTTTAGGATGCACACCAGGCATGTTCCTGCCTTAAGATCTCTGTACTTCCTGTTCTCTCTGTTGAAAATGTACTTCCTCAAACACCCGCGTGGCTTGTTCGCTCACATGGGAAAAGATTACCACTGAGCTAGTTTTAACTCCCCTGATTACCCAAGGCCCAGCCTTTATATTTCTCTAACTTCGGGACTCATGGATCACTGACAGATTATCAGAATGTTAGCTGGAAGGGACTTCAGACACTACCTGTCCACTGGTTCCAAGTTGTTTGGCTCATTGTTAGAATTACCCCAGAAGTTTTGTGTGTGTTTGTGTGTGTGTGTGTAATCAACAAAGCTTCACAAGCTCTACCTCTAGGAATTCGGTTCAGTGGATCTGAAGTTGAGGCTCAGGAAACACCATTCCAATCTACCATCATTATTATTATTAATTAATATTATTTAAAAAACAAAAACAGAGAGATGAAATGATGTGCCCAAAGACACTGATTTTAAGGCAGAGAAGACCCTCAGATCATAAAATCAGGGTAGAGAAGATCCCCAAGTCAAAGTCCCTTCCATTTTATCTGGTATTAAGTCTAGGTTCTCATATGCTAGAGCTGAAAATCAGTAAGTGGGAAAATAGCTTAACTAAGTTCCTTTTTCTGCCTTTGGACAGGGTGAGGCATGAAAGTGAAAGGATATGGCATAGTGAGAAAAAAGGATTTTCATTCACATCTGTTCTGTAAAAACCTAAAGTAGTTTTTTTAAAAAACCTTTCTTAAACCCTTAAAGACATAAGGCTGATGGATGGGTGTACACCTGATACCTAAATATCCCCTTGGGAACTCATAAAAGATAAGAATATTCCCAGGAACCTTGGGTGTTTTTATAACCCACAGGGTGGATTCTCTTTGGTGACTTTTGACAGTTATAATCTTAGATGGGTCACAAGTTATTGCTCTCTCCAATTCCCACCAGGGCTTGCTACATCACTGTTCAGCAATTATTTGGCTTTTGTTACTGTAACAATAAAAGGATAAGGCTAAGCCAGAGCCTGACTCACCACAGGAGTCATAACAGGAGAACCAGGGATGTGGGGACCAGTTCAGCCAGCATTCCGCTTCAGCACAGAGCTGAGCAGAACTTGAGGAAAAAAGGCTTCAGAAGCTGCCCAGTCAGTGACTGGCCTGCAGACTCCAGAGCTGGATTAACCTCATCTTCTGCCTGGAACACTGTCATTCTGGACACAGTTAGCTATGGTGATTAATAACAAGTGCTTTACCCTGTTATGTCATCAATGCTTATCCAAATATGACCGAGACAAAAGCTGATGTCAGTTGTTAGCGTCTATGAAAATCTCCTATATTAAGATTGCTGATTTATTCCTAG
This sequence comes from Homo sapiens, assembly GCF_000001405.40. Classification (NCBI taxonomy): domain Eukaryota; kingdom Metazoa; phylum Chordata; class Mammalia; order Primates; family Hominidae; genus Homo; species Homo sapiens. The sequence goes on along the minus strand of NC_000004.12, from coordinate 158,810,614 downwards.
TAAGTGATGTATCCTCAGAGGGAAAAGACAAATGTTCTTGAACCCTAAATCAGACACAACACTGCATTCCTTGATTCATTCACTCTTATCAGTCTGGAATTATATCTCAAAATCTCTACCCTCAGCCAGCAGAAATAAACTCTTCTAACTAGTCAAAGAAAAATTCTCATGGTACGTAAAAATCAGTAAAAAGGGAAGGAATGCAGGAAGCGCAGAAGAACGTGTGACCACAATACCCAACCCATCAGAGTCACACCCAACCATTTACGACCTCTCTGTGAAGCTTGTCACAAAGCACAAGACCATCAGCTGACTAGGGTTTGTTTTTTCTCTCTACCCACTTCATTCAACCTGTCCAACTGCTACATTTTCTATTAAGTAGCATCAGGGTAGAGTGGTTTTCACACTGTTTCCAGGAGCAGCAGTGAGAAACATTCTTTCCATTCCTACAAACCTGCATTACGCTTACTTTTAATGACCTTTTATTATACTCTTCAGAATTCTTTGGTCTGTTGCCTTAGCATATCTCTCTCTAAATCTGTGACTATTTTTATATTTCCTAGTCAGTAATCCCAACTGCTATAAATAAAGACTGGTCATAAAATCATGGTCAGCTTATCTATGTGAAGCAGCTCACCAGGGAACAATGCACTCAAGTTTCTGTACTTACTTTCTTGTTAAGTAACTACCACAGACAATCTAAGGACTTCCCTTTTTTAATAGAATTATCTCATCTAAAAATGTACATAAAATGGATATACTCATTTAGAATCATCCTGGTGATTCTAAAGCAGTACAGAGAATTTCTTCTGAATTCAAATTTCAAGATATGAAACTGTAAAGCACAATTGACTCTGAAGTGCTCTGTTTCAGTTCCTTTTCAGTGTGTAAGGGGTATACTTTAAAGACATGGCAAGTTTTCTCTTGCCACCAGAGCAACAATGATTCACAAATATGTGTGGCAAGTCCCAGATTTCTCATATAAACAGCCGTAAGAATTTTGTTTGCTAATTTGCCGGGAAAGTTTGAAAAACTCAAAAGTTGTTGGCAGCTTTGCTATAGTCAATATTTTAAGAAAGAGGATTGAAAGCAATTATTTGAGGATGATACCATATACCTGGCATCATATTTAAGAGTCACTAGATTTTATTTTTTTGAGATGGAGTCTTGCTGTGTTGCCCAGGCTGGGGTGCAGTGGCACGATCTCGGCTCACTGCAACCTCTGCATCCCAGGTTCAAGTGATTATCCTGCTTCAGCATCCCAAGTAGCTGGGATTACAGGTACCTGCTACCACATCTAGCTAATTTTTGTATTTTTAGTAAAGATGGGGTTTCACCATGTTGGCCAGGCTGATCTCGAACTCCTGACCTCAAGTGATCTGCCCACCTCAGCCTCCCAAAGTGCTGGGATTACAGGCATGAACGCCACCATGCCCAGCAAAGAGTCACTAGATTTGAAGGGAGTTTTAGCAAGGAATTTTTACTGACAAGCCATTTAAGATGCCTCTCATCAAACTTGGTAGTTTTTTGTTGACTCTAGAATTTTGTGAAATGAATTGAACCCCAACATCTGCCTTTATAGAGGTTAGGGGGAATGGAAATGGAGATGCAGAGGACAACTCCTATCCTGAAATGTGTCATGCTACATGAACCGCAATGAGACAACCAACATGTTTCTTTCTGCACTGTTTCCGTCTGTTTTACACTGTGGCCATCATCACATAATACAACGTGATTCTACTGTAATTGTGGAATCTTTCTCTTCATCTTTTCAGTTACTGGAAAATCATGAGAAGAAAAAAAAACAAAACCCCTGCTTGTCAGTGTGCTCAACTAAGAAGACCACTTGGAACGACTGATTTAAGATATCAAAGAGCAAAAAGAGATTGGAAGTCCTACCTACCTGACTGCCATATGACTTGGACAAACAGATAACTGTGAGCACTCTGGAGCCAGGTCCTTCAGTGCAAGCGCCTGTCAATAATTCACTTCTACCCTCAAGTTGGCCCAAGTCCTAAAGAAGTTCTGGAAACCAAGCACAATACTGCAAGTAAGCAATGTTTCCAAGATCGTAGAAAGGAGAAGAGAAAGCAGATGAGGTCTACTACAGCACATTGTCTGACTAGAGATGAATTCCAATTAATTGACAAATATGTCATCATTGTACAAAGTTCTAAAAAAAAAAATTCTCAGCACTAGAGAAGTAAATCTAAAGGAAGTTAAAATAAGGAAAGAGGATAACAGGTATGAAAATGTTAAAATTTAAAGCATCACTTCGAAGGTGAGAAGCAGCAGCTCATATCAAAAATTTTAGAGGTTTTTAAAAAATTGGCCCTGCATATTATGTCCTTACATGGACATTCAATCCCCATCTTTCATCCTAAATAACTATCTGGGGATCTAGAATTCTATAGAATAACAAAAATACGGAATACAGAAGGCCCTACTACTACATCTAAGAATCTCAGAAGAAGAAAGAATTTTTAAAATAATCCGAGCCAATTACATAGTTTAACAGTTGAGAGTGAGATTAAGAAAAGCCTGGAGACTGGCCCAGGGTTAGAGGCTCCTGGGCAGCAGAGCTAGGGATCAAGATTCAGATAAACTTGAGTGTCACTCCGTTACTCTCTCCTATCACTCAGCTGCCCTTTCTTGATAAGAAACAGATAAAAACAGATAGTATAAAAGTGAAATTCTTATCTGAACACTCAAATGTATTTTTCTAATGTACCATATCATTACCTCCTCCTCTACAAACAGATCTCTTTAACTGAATGAAAAGCATGTGACCTAACACTTGTAAAATAACTTCCTCACTTCTCTCTCACTCTCCGGTCTACTGTGCTCTTACGCTGTAATGGACTACATCCCATTTTATTAAGTTTCTTTTTTCTTTTTTAGAGATAGAAGTGTCACTCTGTTGCCCTGTTTTATTGTTTCTATTAAAAAATGACAAAGATTTTTACGTGACAAAAACTATATCCTGATTATTTTTAACCAAACTAAGAAGCATACTTATGGGATAAAGTTGATGAGATATGTTAATTTTGAGAAAATTTCTGTAAGAAAAAAATGTTTTAAGTGAATTTATTTTATTATTATTATTTTTAAAGCGACAGAGTCTTGCTCGGTTGCCCAGGCTGGAGTACAGAGGTGAAATCACAATTCATTGCAGCCTACAACTCCTGGGCTCAAGCGATCCTCCCACCTCAGCCTCCCAAGTAACTGGCACCACAGTTGCATGCCCCCATGCCCTGCTAATTATTTTTAAAATTTTTTTGTAGAGATGGGGTCTTGCTACATTGCCCTGGCTAGTCTTGAACTCCTAGGCTCAAGTGATCCTCCCACCTCAGCTTCCCAAAGTGTTTGGATTACAGGTTTAAGCCACCATGCCCAAGTTAAATGCACTTATAAACTTGCTTTTACACTAATCATTAACTTTTAGCTCTCCTTACTATCTATCTATGGAAGAATCTGGAATGAAATGTAATTCTCAAAACAGTTTTTTGTTTTTATTGATATGCAATAAAATTCTTTACAAATAGCATTTCAATTAAGTACCACTAATAATAAAATTAATAAATTCTTCCAAATTTATTAACGGAAGAACGTGGATGAAATAAACCAAAAAGAATATTATAAGTATGCTATTCTTTTTAGACAAGCTCCATTATTAAAATTTGCTGTTCATAACATCCTTCTCATGGAAAGGGTCTTCCAGAGGAAGACTGGGTCACCCCGACCACCCTGCTTCCAACTGGAAAAGCACAACCACCTGGCTGCCACGCAGACTATGAAGTGAAAACGCCCAGGCCTGAGCCCCATCTACTAACTGTGCTGCTACTTCAGGACGGCACCTTTTTTTCCTGATAATTACTGTGAACAGTTTCATCCAAGCTTCATGGGACAAAGATGTACACACTTCTTATAAGTTGGCTCCAGTAGAGGTAATGAAAAGAAGAAAACAGATGGGTAGTGAAGTCACAATAGTCACTAAAAAATACCCATGCTTACATCTCTTCTGTAAGAGAAGGGACTTGACTCTGCACATCCACCAATAACCCCATTTCTCCTACTTAGAAGCACTTATGAGAAACAACAACTTTCAGATCAATACAATTCCATCTCCTTACTACACAGTAAATTAAATAAAAAATTATCTGAGACTTTGAAACAACTAAAGTTTCAAACCTGTTGTCGAGTTCCGTGTGGTCAGTGCTCCTGTCTACTCCGGTGTGTTTTTTAATCTTTGTGCATAAAAGCGCCCTGTAAATCCTCCCAGCACCAGGAACAGCATCACTCACACATCTGGCAGAGTCTTGCCAGCTCTCTGGCTGGTTTGTGGTGTTCGCTGTGCCGCCGCACATCTCCTGAACGGTTTAATGTTCTTCTGGTTTATCCTGACCATAAACATGGACTTGGAGACAAATCCTGAAGTTCCTTTGTTATGTGAGGAACATTCTGTAATGACCAGCAGTTCTAAACAATCATTTCACTCCCTATACAGTATGTGAGAAAAGCTACTTGACAGCAGTGTACTAATTTCCCCTTTCAAAGGTTTAAAAAAAAAAAAAGGTGGAACATTCATTTGTTACGTAAATTAAGCCTGCCAATAATTTAGGAAGTCAGATCCATCTATCACATTACAAAACACGCTGTCTGCAATCCCATTACAAACATAGACAAGTCCTACTTTTGTTCTTAAGCTTATACTCCAGTTAGCAAAGAAAAGACATTTAACAGGTTGAGCAGCTTGGACTGACTCACTCCATCTGTGCACCCTAGCTGGAGATTATGTAGTAGTCAATTAATTGGTCACAAGACCTGTTCATATGGCTCTGGGCAATGCAGTGACTTGCCTTCAGCTGCAAGGTTGTTCTGACATTGGCCACACCACCCTCTTAATGGCTCTCATGTGAGCCAGTGTCAGCTGACAGGTCTTACTCTGCAATCTTGCAAAATTCTACCCACAGCAAGTGAGGGATGGTTACCCACAACAGCCAAATGTAGGACTTAATGTATAGATGACAAGGGGAGGTGGGACACAGATTAGGGATATATCCTTGCTTTAATACAAGCAAAAAAAATGATAACGAGCAGCCATAAACCCTCAGAACTCTTGCACTGAATTCCTAGGCATATTCAAATGAGAAAGCCCAACCTGAGGACAAAAGCAGCTCAATTTTGACTTCTGACACTAATATTCTTCATCTGAAAAAGGAGAACAATGCTACAGAATCAATATGATTCTGTGGGTTCACGAAGAAAACATTTTTCTTTTATTAGAAATAAAAATCAAGATCCCTGGAATACAGGTCAAATCTTTACATACAAAACTACAAGGGATTGCCCCAATTCTTTTCCTTTTCTTAGTCCTGGAATTTGGTGAAGAAAACATTAATGGATTCCTAAAACCTGATGAACTCTTGTCTGGTCCTTTGGCTTCAGCAATTTTTAAATGCACCTTTGTACTAGGTTGGTGCAAAAGTAATTGCGGTTTTTGCCATTACTTTTAATGTACGGTATCCACACATTTCACTCCATGAGTGTGAGAAAAACTAATGTCATGGCAGGGCCTTCAATTACCTTAAGACAATCTTATATATATAATCCCTAAAATTCCTTCAAAATAAACTCAAAAAATAGCTGAAATTCACCCTCTCCTGAGAAATAAAAATTGCAACACACATATGACAACTTGAATTCTCTGTGGCACATGCTAAATTGATAGTATCAAGATAAAACCAGATTAGGAGAAAATGAATTCCTTTCTCCAAGAAGAACACATTTTGAGCTTAGAACTGACATGGCCACTGATCATGAGTTCTTTCTTCCCATAAACTGCCTTTAAAGTCACTTTCTCTTTTTAACAGAGAACCAAAAGATTACTTATACAAGCACTATGAAAACTACTGTAGATCAAGCCTATAATCGCAGTGCTTTGAGAGGCCAAGGCGAGAGGACTACTTGAAGCAGGATTTAAAGACCAGCCTGGGCAACATAGCAAGACCTCATCTCTACAAAAAATTAGAAAATGAGCCAGGAGTAGTGGCATGCGCCTGTAGTCCCAGCTACTTAGGAAGCTGAGGTGAGAGGATCACTTAGCTCAGTAGTTCAGGACTGCAGTCAGCTATGACCGCACCACTGCATTCCAGCCTGGACAACAGAGAGAGACCCTGTGTCCAAAAAAAAAAAAAAAAAGTGTATAATACATCTCTTACGATCCTAACTAGATTATAAATTATTTGCATATTAGTCTGGGTCTTGACATTCATTTTTGTACCTCATGCAGGTTTTATCCATGGTAGATGTCCATCAGATACTTTCTGATTGGTTTAATAACACTAAATATTTGCATTAAAACTATGATATGGGCCAGGTGCGGTGGCTCCCACCTATAATCCCAGCATTTTGGGAGGCTGAGGTGGACGGATCATTTGAGGTCAGGAGTTTGAGACCAGCCTGACCAACATGGTGAAACCCCGTCTCTACTAAAAAAATACAAAAAAATTAGCCAGGTGTGGTGGTGGATGCCTATAGTCCCAGCTACTCGGAGGCTGAGGCAGGAGAATCTCTTGAACTCAGGAGGCAGAGGTTGCAGTGAGCTGAGATCGTGCCACTGCACTCCAGCCTGAGCAACACAGCGAGACTCCACCTAAAAACAAAACAAAACAAAACAAAAACTATGATATGAATCTAACTGTAACAAGCAGTGTGCTTCTTTGATAGTCAGATGCATACAGTCTGATCAGGAGGGTGCTTATACACTCACACTCCATTTCTCCCTTTCCCTCGTTTACTATAGCAAAAGCTCCCATAGAGGCTTTTAATATCTTGGGATCACTCCAATCAGTGAGACCAACATGATATCTTAACAGAAAGGATTTTTAGATTTTTTTAAAAGTGAAAATGCCATTTCCTCTGTTACCCAACTAATAAGCCTTAATTCCACAGTTCAAAATCTGATAAAATGTAATAGGGTAGATATGAAAAAACCACAACTATTATATGTTAAAGGGGATGTCTCTACATGACTTCAAATTTCCTTATGTTTAAATAGGAGCTCTAAAATTTCTTCAGTAAGTGGAAAAAGCATAATTGTATCATCACAACCACTCTTCTGAGACATTAGAGCAACTCAGAGAGTAACTAAGAGGAGGTATGTGTAGATCTTTTATGCTTAAGAGTCTGTTCTCTCCCTCAATCCAATCTCCCTTTTTTCTCGATCTTCACTTTCCTAAAATGTAATTACACACTTAGAGAGGTATTCACATTGTTATTCATTATCATGCTGGGTGCCTGCTCTTAAATATTAAATACTATGCATATTACAATTTATCATCCACCCTATTTGTAACCCTACACATGGCCAAGTTATCTATTTCCTTTCTACAGTTCATCCATGTATCATAGAAGATAATTTGGGTTATCCAAAGTTTACACATTTACAAAAGTGTCTGCAATCACTGACTAGACTCCCACATTCCACATGCGGTTCAATAGGTTGTTGACTGGAACTGCTGTTGCCACCACTGCTACTTTCACAAAACTGATGAACTTTCTAAGACACTGGAAGGGAGGACCACAGAAGTATGAAAGCATGATGAATCCATGTGGTATATGTAAGGAAGGCAGACTACTACTTCAATTTTTTAAAGCTGCTATTTGTACTGTTTCCAATCTCATGTACCAGGTATTAAGTGGTCCTACAGAAGAGTGCCAAGTTTAAGAATCAATAAATAGCACAGTATCATTTAGATCACCAAAGACAAATATCTGGTACTCAAGACACAAGTCCAACCTCTTTTCCCCGTGGCCAAAATCTCTAAACAATCACATTGTCTCCTGTGATGCCCAGACTCCTCTCCAAAACCTTCGGATGCAGTGCTGCCAGGACCCACCTCCAATCCAAGATTTGACACCTGAGAAAAAGCCCATTCCCATGCCTAATTTAGAGTTGGGAGAATTAAAGTCATGAAAGTTTCTAGGTAAGTATTCATGCATTTCTGTAATTCCTTGACTTCACATTCTTCAAATGATGAAAAGCAATGATCATGATATGTAATGAAAAATTAACTCAGAAGCAACAATTGAGAAACGTAGCTTGGAGGAGAAAAATCTAAGACTTAATACAGCTCCCTAAAAAGTCCATTCTGATTATTCTCATTTAATGAATCTTGCAATAATGAATCTTTCTCCTCTCAGTATGTCCAATCTTGAAAGGAAAAAAAAAAAGAATCCCTCTTTCTCTGATATTCACATTACATTAATGAGAAAAAAAGGAGAAATAAATACAGGACAGGAGGGAGTGGGGGAGGTTTAAGATCCACAGCATCACAAATGATCCTCCTCTTTATCCGGGTAATTCCCTATCTTCCATAATGCCTTCTCCTTGCACAAGAACAAATGATCACAAATCTTTCTACCAGAGACTTCGAAGCACGGTCCCCAGAAAGACACAAAAAGGTTATGGGATGCTGTTTCTTGATCCCAGTGCTGGTACTGTGAACACACAGCAACCCGAATATGTACAGTGTTTTGTATATTATAATTCAATCAAAGTTTATTAAAAACAAAATAGGTCCTCCTCTTAGCCCACAGCCAGTAGATTAAGGTAAGGGGGTGTGCAAGCTTTTTTGAAGCAGTCTACTTTAGGGGAATGGGCTTTGGAGACAGATCCAGGATCAGAACCAAGTCTGTCAATACTTGGCTGTTTTCAGAAACATGACCATGGATAGTTCCTAACAGCTAGCTAAGCAGCAGGCCATCCTCACGATACCAGTTCAGTGTGCAATCAAACAATAACATACCTACCTTAATGCCATCTAAACTCATCTGACGAGCTCAGCGCTAAGGAAATGTGTCAATATGTCAAATTCAGTCATATAGGGTAGAAAATACTGGTAGGTAGTTAGATCCACTGAGTGCTCTTTTATGTGCCAAGCATCGTTCTATGTGTTTCATTTAACCATAGGAAGTAGGCAGTAGTAATATCTTCTCTTAACAGATGAGGAGAATGAAGCACAGGAAGGTTAAGGAACTGGCCCAAGGTATACAGTTTGTCAGTGGCAGAGCCAGGCCTTAAATCCAGGCATCCTTGCTCAGGAGCAGGCCCACCCTGCTCATTCTCATACCACGTCTGCGCCTGACCACTGGGACAGATCTGGGAAGGGGCTAAGGAGGAGGCAATTGGATATCACTGACTGATAAGTCAAATTCTTTCTTCTACATCTCAAATTCCGTGCCACCTAGAATGTTTAGATTCTCACTAATTCAGTCCTCTGAGGACAAGGCCCAAGTCATGTGCTTTGTGAGTGACTAAGTATCTTGTCGGACACCTTGCCATGAACCCTGCCCTACTCACTCACCCCTATAAACAATTCCTGTGCAGAAGCCAAGCACACCGGCCCCTACCGCCTCCCCAGGATTCTGCTCTGCCCTCCACTCCCAGTCCAGCACTTCAGCTAGGGAAAGACTCCTAGGCAGAGTGATTTTTTTTTTAATCCACACAAAGTTAGCTTAAATATATAATACAAACCAATGAGTATTATTGTTTTGACTTAAAATGTGGAACTACCTGGGAAATAATTTAACTTTCAGATCCAGATCAAAGTTACATGGAAATTCAGGAAGATGTGCAGTTCCTAATTATAATCTAGATTATTTTCTACTCCCATGTCTCCATACTTTAAAAAGCAAAGCATTTGGCACCCAGAGCACAGAGAGAAGGCACCCAGTAACTGAAAGAATCAATGAATGAGTGGCACATCTTCATAAAATCTGTGAAACATAGAAAATTCTTATGTTAAATAAAAAGAATGGGATAAAAATTGTATATGCAGTTTGATAACAAGTATGCTTTTATAAAACTAAATGTAGAAAAAGTTTTATAAAACTAAAACAGAAAAAAGAAAGCATAGAAAAACAATATCAGAACGCTTTTGAGCAGCCATGATCAGGATACTTTTTAAAAATTCTTTTATATTTTCGAATTTTCTAATAATAGGCATGTATTATTTACAAACAATGGGAAAAACTATTTTTAAAAAAAATTCTTGCCATTAATGATCACTTGATTTCCTTAATCTGTAATAATTCTGCAAGCTTTATTTTAAGAGAATCATCAGAGGCAAAACAATTTCTGACAGCTGAAAGGAAAAGCAAAGCACTCACCCTGGAAGGGTGCAATTTGACTCACACAATTTTTCCTTCAACATAATTGCTATCATTAATATTTATAAAAACCAGCAAAAGTATATAGCCGTAGCCATTACCCTCTTAAAGTATCTAAACAAAGCTCCACAATTTCCCTTTATTTGGAAACTTTGTGTAGTATCAAGCAGCAATGCAATATACATAACAATGAGAGGAATTTTTAAAGTACACATATTATACGTTTTTTTGAAAAAGTGCTACCGAAAGGCTATCTGACCAGGTACCAGCATCCAGACAACACAGAGATAAGGAAAAGAAAGTTAAGGCTCCAGGAAATCCCCAACCTGATAAACGAAACAGCGGCCCAGAAGAGCTACAATAAAGCTGTGTTTGTAACTACTTCATATCTAAACTTTAACACCAAAAAGAGGTGGCCAGGTCAGGCCGGCAGTGTAACTCTCCACCCACAAGAAAAGGCACTGCGTATCTATTTGTCTCGGTAAAATGATTCAACCTTTCTAGAATCAGGGAGATAACCAGCAATTTGGATAAAGACTTTCATGACTTTTTTGTTTAAAGGTCCAATATCAGAACTCAATCTACAACCTATTTTCCTTATGAATGATTTTTACAACCCATCCCCATGATTAAATTATAATCATATAATCATTAATTCCCCTGAAATTAATAGCAGCTATGGGATTATTTTTTGAAGACTGCCAAAAGTTAGAAACACATCAGCAACAAAATATTACATAACTTTTAAAGTTTAACTTTGATTTTGAGCCAGGTTGTCCCTAGCATTTGGACCTAGGAAAGGAAGGTATCAGTAGTCTAGAGCTGCTTAAGAAGTTGGAAGCTGAGCTACTGGGTTGGGGCCATCATCTCAGCAATCATTCACAGATCTCTCATTCTCTGCAAATCATGTGATCAGGACACTCTGTTATCAAGTAAGGTAGAAGGTGTCTGGAAGAGTTGCTGCAGAAATTCTTATGTAACACATTTGCTTACTCTACCTACTTCATCACAGAAAACTGCTCTATGGTAGTACCACTTTTCAGTGCTCCCAATCTCCACATCAGGACTAAAATTATTTAATTCATGAGAAGCATGTCTGAAAAACACCTAGCAGAGAACTCTTGGCTATCTCCAGCTCCCTTCCATTTGGATGTACAGCTATAACATAATTAAATCTTCTGTTAATGCTTTGGAACTTTCTGTTGCTGATGCCTGGATTCCTCAGCAGGCAATGCAGAGCTGTACAAAGTCCAGTCCCCTAAAATGCTGTCAGTATTGAGAAGCAGCAGCTCACATGCCCAAAACTACTACTGACAATTTAGCCACCTCATGGGCATGAAGGTAAAACCTTCTCATCATTCTGTACCTTCTCATATGCCTTGCTCTAACCAACTACACACCTATGTCTCACACTAGACTGGTCTCTGTTTTCCTGGAAAGGAATGTTTTTGTGAATAGCCTTCTCTCTTACATTTACAACATTTTTAAGCATTTATAATTTTTAACATTTATAACATTGAGATACAACTATTTATCTGACAGAGGAATAAAAAATTCATTCAGGCTACTGTAAATGGCATCATACAAATACATATTATTGCCATTAGGGTAATTTTGGAATTACTAAGAGTTATTCATTAATCTGTGTTATAATTACACAAGCCACCAAATGGGATTAAACAAAACAAAGAACATCTGACATTCTTCCAGTTTATAAAGGCATTTCATTGCTTTTGTAGAATAATTTATGAACTCACTTTTAAAATGTGCTATCTAAAGACTTAAAACTCCACTCACTTCATCTTTTCAAATATTTCATGTGCCAGACCCTGTTAGGATGCTGATGATACATGAACCAAACCCCTGCCACCTTTATGAAGTTTACATGATAGTGGCAGAAGAAAATCAATAATTCAGAAAAATATTCAGTGTGCCAAAACAAATGGTGAGTGCTATAGCAGAAGATGAAGCAGGGGAAGGGTAAGCAATAGGGAATATTCAGTGGGAGGGAAACTTATCTAATTATCCATCTCTTATATATGGAGAGTAAAGACTTGGATTAAGAAAAAATCTAGAAGGGCCAGGTGTGGTAGCTCACGTCTGTGATCCCAGCACTTTGGGAGGCCGAGGTGGGAGGATCACTTCAGTTTAAGAGTTTGAGAGCTCCCTAGGCAACACAGCAAGACCCTGTCTCTGTAAGAAATTTAAAAGTAATCAGGCATGGTGGTGCGTGCGTGTAATGCTAACTACTCAAGAGGCTGCGGTGGGAGGATCATTTGAGCCCAGGAGTTTGAGGCTGCGGTGAGCTATAATCACACCACTGCGCTTTGGCTTGAGTGACAGGGCAAGACCCTGTCTCTAAAAAACAACAACAACAAAAATTTAAACAAAAACAAAAAAACCTAGAAGCCTTGGTGTTTTAAAGGCTGTCAGTGTAAATAGTTGTAAACAGGATAAAGAGGAAAATGAAATTAGTGTGCCAACAGTCTCAAAGCAGATGTGGTGATGGAGTAACAGGTCTCCCAGTGGTGTGGGAGAAGGTCTTGCCAGAAGCCCCTCTCTTCTCTCAACACTAGTGATAGGAAGGCTGGGCAAGAAGTTTTCTCTGGAGCCTGTGGCACTCCTGGCTCCCTCTTGACTCATGCCAGTGGAGAGATGGCAGCTTCCATCCCAAATTCCACTGCTACCACCCTAATCGAAGCCTGGTGGATTTGGGGTTTTTTGTTTTGTTTTGTTTTGTTTTGAGACAGGGTCTTGCTCTGACACCCAGGCTAGAGTGCAGTGGCAAGATCACACCTCACTGCAGCCTCGACCTCTAGGCTCGAACAATCCTCCCACCTCAGCCTCCTGAGTAGCTGGGACTACAGGCATGCGCCACCATACCTGGCTAATGTTTGTGTTTTTTGTAGACATGGGGTCTCACCATGTTGCCCAGGCTAGTCTCAAACTCCTGGGCTCAAGCAATCTGCCCGTCTCAGCCTCCCAAGGCGCTAAGATTATAGGTGTGAGCCACCATGCCCAGCAAAGCCCAGTGTTTTGCCAGGACTACCGTAATAGCCTTCGTACTGGTATCTCACTCATTCTTGGCCTGCTACAAATCCATTCAATGGAAGTCAATGTGTATAACAGAATAACAAAGTCAATGAGAATTATTAAAGGAAATCTATGTAGAGGTTAAGTTAGTGACAGTTCTCCTTCAGTTTTGGTTTGACAGGCAAAAATAGTGATACCTACCCAAAATATAGCTATAATTAAAGGTTTCTCATGCAATACATTCATTGCTAGTAAATTAAGTCAGAAAGACTCTTAAAGTGCTCTAAGAGTTCTAATAGCTACGACAACTAAGAAAGCTGCTTGGGAGCTGACAGAAATCAATTTAGGAGAAGAGAAAGCTGGGAAATGAAAGACTGGGAAAGGATATTCAGCTCTGAATCAGCAGACTCTCATTTCTCTGAGTCAGTTCCTCATGATCAGGCTGAGTACAAGGAACTCAGGAGACGCCAGCCACCAGCGCGTAGTCACTGTCAGCAGGGTCCCTGCTGAGAGAGGGTGTCATACCAGGGAACAGAACCTTGGACGACAAGGCAAGAGTTAAGTCTAGTTCTGGCCTAGTCATCCACTACCTATGTGACTTTGGGGAAAGACACTAGACTCTCTGGGCCTCAGTTTCCTTAACCATAAATAGACAAGAATTGTTGGAGATGTTAAATGTGAGCATTTGAAAATCCCTTTGAAAAACTATAAAATTCTAGACAAATGCGACGTGTTAATTTTTATATACACAAGCCCAAAAGTACTCACTGTCCTATTTGAGTTGCTAAACTCATAGATGATTGCACTGTATTTATACAACATGAAGCCAAGATAAATAACTTTGGCCACAATGATACCTGGCAAATAATGATTTTGCCCAAGAAGGTCAATCACCTTCCCACCCCATCTTCCCTCCCCCAAAAACATAGCCAATTCTCTGGAAGCTCCAGGCAATTAAACACTCTGAGATAGACTCATCACAAAGTTCCTTGGGAACAATAAGCTCTAGAACAAATTAGCACAACAGTTAGAAAATTATATCTGTGGAACAATTATCTTTCAAATTAACATAAGGTATTCTCTCTTCCACTCATAAATCCCCTTTCAACACCCCATATATCCTCAGTCACATCAATTTCCCCTTCTAAAGTACCGCTCATTTAACTTTACAAGCTGAATCCTCTAAGTTCTTTTAGGACCCAAACCAAGGGCCATTTGCTCTATAAAAACTTCCCAAATGGTCCCTTTCCGAAAACGTTTCAATATTTGTAATAGGAAGATAGAACGGACTCTATAAACAATGCCTCTGAAGGATTCTCTACCTTTCTTGTAGCTCAGAACCTCCCCAACTACAACTATGGTTCAACTTTCCCCTTGGCTATACCTTGGAACAACAGTCACCGAGTCTACACACTGCCACCAACCACGGTTTAGGGCAGCGGTCCCCAACCTTTTCCAGGACCAGGGACTGGCTTCGTGGAAGACAATTTTTCCATGGACTGGGGGTGGGGGATGGTTTCGGGATGAAACTGTTGCACCTCAGGTCATCAGGCGTTAGATTCTCATAAGGAGCGCGCAACCTAGATCACTCGCATGCGCAGTTCACGATAGGGTTCGTGCTCCTGTGAGAATCTAATGCCGCTGCTGATCTGACAGGAGGCGGAGTTCAGGCGGTAACATCGGCGATGGGGATCAGCTGTAAATACAGATGAAGCTTCGCTCCCTTGCCCGCTGCTCTGTGTGGCTGGTCTGTGGCTTAGGAGTTGGGGACCCCTGGTTTAGGGAAGAATACCTGCAAGCCATGCACAATTCCCGTAACAGAACATGTGTGGAAGTGGTGTTTCCTCAAGTAACTTTGGATCTGCGACTTTTAAGAAATAATTTTCAAAGTTTAGTGCTTTAGCTGCTATTATAAAGGTATTAATCTCTCTTTACATCTCATCAGATACCTCAGAATGTAGATGTCAGTTAGGAATCCCTGAGCCAGAGGATGAACTTCGAGGACATGGACCACACCTTTAATTTCTTTTGTGTTTTGCTTGTGCAGTTAATACTAACACTGAGCAGAGAGCAGGCAGTTAGTAAGTGGTTCCTAAACTAGCTGCTTTTAAATGAACCTCTTTTCTGTCATATTTACTAAGGCTGCCTTGCAAATAGCTGTTCATCTAAGTTCTGAAAATAGTCACTCTCTCAGGGACAACAAAACCTCATTATACCACGGCTCAATGTGACATAGATTCAAATGCTCCTTTGAGAAAGAACTGCACATTTAAAAATATGACTGCATTTGATTAGTCCAAAATCCAAGCTAATGCTAACCCTGATACCAGTTCTTAAACGGATTCAGTTATATTCCATCCAGTAGAACTGTCATAAATGTTGACTTCATTTTATTTATGATAGAGGAATTTCCAAGGAAAATGAATAAACTTCTCTTAGCAGAGGGGTGTTTAGTACTTATGACAGTAATCGTTTTATTTATAAGGGATACATTCAGGTATACTAACAACTTCGAGAGGATTAATGTAACTGGACCCAAGAATTTTCTTTAGAAGTATATCATTTAATACAATCATTTTCAAATTATTCCATGGAAATCCAAAAAATAACTCAAAGAGACAGTGCTGTTCAACAGAAAGATAATATAAGCCACAAATATAATTTTAAATGTTCTAGTACCCATATTTAAAACTGCAATAAGAAACATGTGAGGTGCTCACTTTGGCAGCACATGTACTAAAATTGGAACGAAACAGAGAAGATTAGCAGGGCCTCTGCACAAGGATGACACGCAAATTCATGAAGTGTTCCATATTTTTTTAATAGCTAGGTGACGGGTTGATAGGTGCAGCAAACCACCATGGCACACGTTCACCTATGAACAAACCTGCACATCCTGCATATGTACCCTAGAACTTAAAAAACATACAAGAAAAATACATGTGAGGGCTGGATGCAGTGGCTCACACCTGTGATCCCAGTACTTTGGGAGGCCGAGGCTCACTTGGGAGGATCACTTGAGTTCAGGAGTTCAAGACCAGCCTGGGCAACATAGGGAGACCCTGTGTCTACAAAAAAAATTTTTTTTTAATTAGCCTGGCATGGTGGCACACTTGTAGTCCCAGCTGCTTGGGAGGCTGAGGCCGGAGGATTGCTTGAGCCTAGGAGGTCAAGGCTGCAGTGAGCCATGATCACACCACTGCACTCCAGCGGGCCACAGAGCAGGACCCACAAACAAACAAAAAACAAGTGAAATGAATTTTAGTATTTTGTTTAATCCAACATATACAAAATCTTAATTCAACATGTTATCAATATTAAAATTATTAACTTTCTCACAGAATATTTCACATTCTTTATTTCATTCTAGGTCTTCAAAATCCAATGTGAATTTTATACTTAGAGAATGTCTCAATTCAGGCTAGCCACATTTCAAGGGCCGACTAGACATGTGGCTGGTGTTTACTGAACTGGGCAGCGTAGTTCTAGACAACTCTTCACATAAATGACAATAGTAGGGTACAAGTATGATTTGCCTCCGTTCCATTTACAAACCCCATCACAGCAACCAATAGAAGGAGTATGAAACCTAACCCAGTGGCCAATAGGAAAGCTTGGAAAGCTGGAATCTGAGTGTCCAGAATTGTCAGTGAAACTTCAAAGACAGTCAGGAGGAAGCTGACCTAGCTCCACAACCCCCATGCAAACAGAACTGAGAGGAATCATTACCTCTATTTACCAAACCATAAGTATGCTCATTCGCCAATCTTAAATGTCATAATAACAAAAATCACATGATAAGGGAACTGAAAACTGAAGAATTATGATATAACAAAGACAACTCTGGAAGTAAAACATCCATTAAACTCTGTAGAACAAAAAGCATCTTATAGCAATTAGTCAAACTGGAACAACTCTTGACTATTCACTCCTGTCCTCCCCTCCTCTCCCTAAACCTAATCAGTAAACAAATCTTGATTCTTTCTCTACATCTTTCCATGGTAAAATGCTGTGGGTCCTGTAACTGAAAAAGTACACTGTATTCTGTGTAGTCAAGAACCTGCCACTCATGTGATACTTTGCATAGGCCTGTTTATACCTGCTTTCACATCTGGACATTTAGGATTCCTAGATCACGTCTCAGGGTTCTTGGAATTTCTGGAAATTTGCACAGACAGCTGCACCTTGTAGGCACATTCCAATTGTCTTTATCAGCACTCTGGGTCCTCTGACCTAAGTATCCCTATATCACTCCCTAGAGCTCAAAGTTCCCATGAATGGTCTATCCAAAAACAAATGTGTTGTTCTCTGCCTTCTTTAATTGCCCTCATTTCTACCTTCCCCCATTTTCCAGCAAGACTTTGACTATACCCTCTGATCCTTGCAGCTGTAATTATTCCCTGCAGGCCTGCCCTCTGACTTCATACAATCTTCCAGTCCCTTGATAACTTCCTTTATCAAACCCATCCTGACTTCACCTCTTTATCTTTCAAAGCCAACAAGTCATCACTTTAATTCCCTACCTCATTCTATCCTTCAATCAGACTGGCCTCCAAAACTCATTCTAGGATGAAGCCACCCATTTACCTTCTCCATTCTAAGGCTGCAGAGTGCTGCAGAGGGCTTCTACTGTGCAGCCCATTCTCATTCTGTGAAGCAGTTATGTTCTATAAAGTCACCATGAACACTGAATTAGTGAATACCGAACCACTGCTTCTAGGGGGAAATAAAGGGTTAGGTTCCTGAAAGCCGCTGATTACAACATTTTCATCAACAGATTAATACATACCTTGGTTTATAGTGTATATGTGTTTCTGTTGGAAGATACCCTATTTCATGCATATTGTTGCTTCATTAACGCTGAACTCATAGCCAACAGCACTATTAACTCATGCCTGAACAAAGCTTACCTAAAGACACTGTCTTTGTAACGCACATCACAGCTTCTTACAGTAGGACCACTAGACAGCACTCCAGCACTATACGTGGGGGCTAAAGAGTGACATTACCAAGAAGCAGCAAAAAAAAAAAAAAAAGCACTAAATTCACTGTGAAAAGGACACTTGTTTATAGAAGAGCTGACACAGGACAGCAGAGGGTTACCCTGTTTGACTTCAGCTGGGAACATGCGTGTAAAGTGACTCAAATATTTTGCCACTCTGCATATGTCCATGAGTGACCATGAAAGTGCCGAGAGTATTGATTTTGGGGTTACAAATTTTGGTAAGTAGGTGAATTTACTAATAAGGAATCTGCAAATAATGAGGACTGTACTTAGCACCTGATGTGTGTGTGTGTGTGTATTGAGACAGCGTCTTGCTCTGTCTCCCAGGCTGGAGTGCAGTGGTGCAATCACGGCTCACTGTAGCTTCAACCTCCTAGGCTCAAGCAATCCTCCTGCCTCAGCTTCCCAAGTAGCTGGGACCACAGGTGTGCACCACTATGCCCGGCTAATTTCTCCAGATCACCACTCTCCGGATCTCATTGTCTGTTATCCCCTAAGGACAGTTTTCCTGCTATCAGCTGCCCCTACCACCATGTTTTACCTATTTTCAAGCCTTCTATATGTGTCATGCTTGCACTCGAGATTACTGATGTATATAACCCTCAGACTGCAGAATGCCGAATGTAGAGAACACACAGGAAATGAAACACAGAGGGCATTACTGACATTCTTATCAGACCGTCTGGGCAGGGAGGCATTATCCTCTGTTTTGGCCTTCCAAAATAGAATTTCTTGCACATCAACAGTAGCTGGTTATAACTGGTAACATTTCTGGTATTACAAACATACCAACATGAAAATTCTCTTAGGATTCTCAGTGCAGGCTGGGTGCAGTGGCTCATGCCTGTAATCCCAGCACTTTGGGAGGCTGAGGCAAGTGGATCACTTGAGGTCAGGAGTTTGAGACCAGCCTGGCCAACATGGAGAAACCCCCTACTAAAAATACAAAACTTAGCCCCGGGCATGGTGGCAGGTGCCTGTAATCCCAGCTACTCAGGAGGCTGAGGCAGGAGAATCACTTGAACCTGGGAGGTGGAGGTTGCAGTGAGCTGAGATCGCACCATTGCACTCCAGCCTGGGTGACAGAGCAAGACTCTGTCTCAAAAAGAAAAAAAAAAAAAAAAAAAAAAAAAAAAAGGATCCTCAGTGCAGAAGGAACATCTAAAGACTAGAGTGTCTGTAGGCACTAAAAATAAAAATGAAGTTATAGAGGGGATTGGAAGCAAAACTGCCTGAAAATGTTAAGGGAGAAATCACAAATTCCTATCAGAAAATTCCACCTTCTCGTTTATTGCTACGCCCCTCCTCCACCTCCCTTGTTACCCTCACCCCTCTCTCTCCATTCCATTAAATTAGGTTAGGTTTTCAGAAAACTGTTTAATTCTAATCATGATAGCCTGGTATTTATTTTGGGAAAATCACCTGCAAACAAAATGGAAAGACAAGAATTTAAAAATTATGAGCACAAATATAAAAACAACTTTAAAATGTGTATTTAGCATCTAACTCTCCAAATAAGAAGATACAAATCCAAGAAAGTGCTAAGTGAAAAAAAAAAGTGAAAATTAAAGGTATATACTACTAAGCTTAGACACTTAAGTCATCTAACCTTTACTGATCACTTTTATTATTTTATTTTATTTTACATTTTATTTTAGAGACAAGGTCTCACTATGTCACCCAGGCTGGAGTGCAGTGGTGCAATCACAGATCACTGCAGCTTGGAACTCCTGGGATCAAGTGGTCCTCCCACCTCAGCCTCCTTAGTAGCTAGAATTACAGGCATGCATCACCATGCCCAACTGATTTTCAAAATTTTTTGGAGCGATGGAATCTCATTACGTGGCTGGTCCCAAACTCCTGGCCTCAAGTGATCCTCCTGCCTCACCTCCCAAAATGCTGGGATTACAGACGTGAGCCACCATGCCCAGCCTACTGAGCACTTCTGTAAGGTCTCCTTGTGCCTATTTTTTGGTATACAGGTTGAGTATCCCTTATCTGAACCAAAATATTTATTAAGAATAATGGCTATAAGTTAACCTGGTTTTTATAGAATGGCCAGGATTTATTAATAGGATATTAACAGGATCCTATAGTTTAGTATAGGATCCATTAATGTATTTACAAATATTCCAAAATCTGAAAAAACTCCAAATCCCTCGAGGGATCAGAAGTGTTTCGGATTTGGCGTTTTTTCAGATTTTGGAATATTTGTATACACATTATGAGATATCTTGGGGATAGGACCCAGGTCTCAACATAAAATTCACTTATGTTTCTTTCATATACACTTTATATATACATAGCCGGAAAGTAATTGTATATAATATTTTTAATAATTTTGCATATGTAGCAGTTTTGATTGTGTTGGGACCGTGACCCATAAGGTCAGGTGTGGAATTTCCCGCTTGACGTGTCATGTCAATGCTCAAAAGTTATTCCCTAGTATCACTCTTGTACTACTCCAAACCTTTAATGGCTTTAAACAAGAGAATCACAGCAGTACAGCAAACCCCTCCTCCCCTTTTCCCTTGGGTAAGGCATTATTTCGCCTAGAACACATCCACCACTGCCAGGCTACCACAACCCTTGGAGTTGGAAAAAATGGACTCTCATTGCGTTTACTCAGAAACTACTCCGATTTTGAAGCATTTCAGATTTTTGGATTAGGAATACTTCATCTGTACTGTTAGCTCCTGTTGCACGTTATAACAGAAGAATAGGGAGCAAACCTCCATGAACCGAACTCCTCAAGGGCAGGGTGTTATCTTATTCATTCTTGTACTCTAACAATGCTTTGTACCTAGAATATGGAAAATGTCAACAGATGCTTTTGAATGAACATTTACTATTGAGGATCCTATAAATTCATTTGTAAGTTTACTTTTAGAGCTCAGAGCACACATCAGAAACATCATTATAAAGGGCAGTCAGAGTACCTGGCCATCCTATAAAAACCAGGTTAACTTACAGCCATTATTCTAATAAATAAATGAACTGTCCTTCATAACATAGTATCTTAGGTATGAAAAAATGCGTTCTGAATGGTAAAAGCCTGTGATTTCTCACACACACACACACATACACACACACACACACTGCTTTTAGAGGCTCTGAGGTTGGAGGGTGAAGGATAGAAGAGCTCAGCTGTGAAAGTAGCTTGGGATCAGGTGATCTTTGTGTTTCACTACTGCCCCTTGAAAATCTGATGGATTCTACAGCACTTATTCGCTAGTATCACTCTTGTACTACCCTCCAAACCTTTAATGACTTTAAACAAAATAATCACAGCAGCACAGCAAACTCCTTCTCCCCTTTTCCTTTAGGTAAGGCATTATTTCACCTAGAACACATCCACCACTGCCAGGACCTAACCAGGTCACAGCCCCTGGAGTTGGAAAAAATGGACTCTCATTACTTTTAGTCAGAAACTATCCTGCTCTCGCATAAGCTTTTCCTTTTACATTGCTTTTAGTTTTTACTCTTGCCTAAAGATGAAGCATGGAAGGTAAGGAGTCAAGTGGCTTCCACTGCTACATTATGGCCACAGCACAACTGATGACCAACAAAACAAAGTGCCAGGAAATCCTGTGAGTGTGCCTTTAGAGAGCTGGGGAGCAGGAGGCTACAGCAGTTATTAGATTAAATCCAGACTTGTGGTCAATGTTAACCTGCAAGTTCCTTGTGAGTCTAGCCTTTTCTATGTGGAACCTACTTTTTCTTAAAGAATACAGCAACTTTTCAAGAGGCCTGTCCATATGTACGGCTTCTTCTCCCAAAGGGGATAAACAACATGAAGCAATCATGTGTTACAACTCCAGAAGCTGCCATAAAGCAACCTAGGTTAAACTTCCCTATTAGCTCCCTTCTCCTAAAATCACCCATCAAAAACCCCAAATAAAAGGCAAAAAGATCATCACAAAAAGAAAGAAAAGTGGAGGTTAAACACATAAGATTATAGCATGAGCTAAGCGGGCCTTTGCTTATTGATTTATTCAGACATTTGTCTTGTGCCTATACATGCCAAGTGCTTATATTGCAAAGTGAATACAGATTCGGCATGGTCATCCCTGTCCTCAGAGGGGAGTAGTAAGTCATGCACAGGCAATTATACTCCAGGGGGACAGAGTGCTCAGTGCAATGAGTCTGTGAAAGAGCAGATTATCGGCAAAGGCTTCCAGGAATCAGAGTACTTACTACGCGCCCAGCACGGTCGTAACTGCAAGAACCACCCACTTAAATCTCATACCACCACCATGAGGTGGTTACTATTATTCCCAACATACCAAAGAGAAAAAGGCAGCATAGCACGGCATGGTTAAGCAACTTGTTCGAGACCATACAGCTATTAAGTGATAGTGTCAGGGTTCGAAACCTGAAGTCCAATTCCAAGCCCACTCCCGCTCTTAATCACCACACTAGTTAGGAGTGTGAGTCAGGTTAAAGGAGGAAAGGAGGAGCCAAGTTCCAAACAAAGAAATCTTCATAAAGAAAAAACTCAAGATTCTTTGAGGAACTGAGACAAATTCGCTTTGACTGGACTTAAGAGTATGAGGGGAAGAGCAAAGAGAAATGAGGCAGGGCCGCCACACGAAAGAGGCTGGACTTGATTTTCAGAGTTACATAATTTACGTCTCAGTCCCTCAATGCCAGAAAGAAGCAAAAGTCTAATGAAAATAACAAAAAAGTCCAACAACATGCAAGAGAATATAGTTGTGAGATAATTAAGAATCATAAAAATGTATTTTAGCTATAAATTCATAACAGTTTTTTAACTACACAACAAGGGAACTTGCCATACTCATAGGACTAAAAATTGGCTGAGGTGTGATGCAGGAATCAAAAGGTCTGCGTCCCCCATCTTGGCCTATCCATATGGGTAACTAGCTCTGTAGCCCTGGTGAGTGAGCCTTTTCCTATTCTATAAAATAAATATAACTGCTTTGGGAAATAAAACTCATGTAAATATCAAGTTTACAGTTAAGTTCCTTTTATCATTTATACTTTGAAATACCAGTCGTTGGCGCAGAGCAGCACGTTTAACCAGTATGCACCTCTCTCCCACCACAATTTTTAGAAAAGAAAACTATGGGAAAAACTGGTTTGTACAACATGTAATTCCCAACTTCAGTATCCTAAGCCTCCAAAATGCATAGCTCATTTCTGCTTTGAAATCCCCACTACATTTCATTGGCTAAACAAATCTTTGTATTTGCCAAGGAAAAGAAATGATTCCATTAAAAAGATCTCTGGTTAACTGCACTCATGGGGGCTGAAAATACTCTGAACTTTCTCAACAACAGCTAAATCCAAGTTCCTCCCCTCCTAGACTTTGGGAGATGGATCAGCTACCTGAAGTCATGGATCCTTCTGTCCCAACTGTAAAATTCAAAAAGTCACAGACTTAGAGATTAAAAAAAAAAAGCTGAGACCCCCAAAAGCAATACAGACTCTGAAGATAATCTCTCCCACTACTGTTTCCTATCCCCACCCCTGCTAAGAAATTACTTCATCCTAGTCAGTTAAAGTGGCAAGTTAAAAATATAGCATCATGAAGAGAGAATCACAAAAAATTCATAAGGACAAAGAAACCCTACATAAAAATTGCAATGCCTTTGACTCTGGTTAATTTGTCACTATTGTCTTTAGAAAACAGGGAACAAAAATCTCACAGAATAAAGAAGTTTGCAAAGGCTGACTGCAGGCACCTTTTCCCAAACCGAGCTGTTTTTTTTAAAAATAAAAACCACTGTGAACTCTCATTACCATATGAGGACAGGCACAATTTATAGTTGAAATAATTATTTTCAAGTCCTGGGTTTGTTCATTTATTTCAGAACTGACATTCACAAAAATGCAAACGGAAGGAATGAGCTTCTGGCAGCTCCTTGAAGCTGTAATAGCATATGACCTGTGCACTAGTAAATCTAGTTTTCTTTTTTTAACTCTGGCCATGAGACACCAAAATAAGTGTTCTTTTATTCATCTGAATCTCCTGTGCAATTAACGTTTTTACTATATGAACTGCATTAGTACACAGGTATTTGGTGACTTGTTTTTATGAAGATAAAACAGCATGAAGCCAGTAGAATATTTATCTTGGACACAGAACTGGATCAGGTCCAGAAAACAAAAGGACAGATAAGCATTTCTCTGGAAGGAGAAATATAAACAGAGTGGTCTTTTCAGCAATGAGTGTGAAGACTGAACTTAACATTTTCATAATTAATCCGGACGAGACTGGTCATAGATAGGGCCATCCCTGTAGATGATGGCACTAATAGTTTTTCACCAGGTAAGTCCCAAGTAAAGAGAATAAACAGTAAGATCTTTCAAGGTTCTAGGAAGAGACAGATGGCAAATGAGTTTCAGTCCAGGCAAAGGTCAGATTGGTTTAGGCAAAAAAGATCTTCAAACTATTCTTATGACAGACCCTAAACTCTAAGTTTTGTTCCACAGAAATAATTTACTAAAGAGAGACGTCAGCTGGGAGGAGCCAACAAAATGCTGAGTAAATCAGATATGACCTCAGAAACAAAATGAAAATTACTTTGCCTTCATATGTAAAACAGTGTATTTTTAATAAAATACCCCATACATTTCTTGGCAGTGAATTTCAAAACTCTAAACTGGAACTGGTATAGAAAATTAAACAATCTATAGAGGAGAATCTCTGAAGTTAAAAAAAAAAAAGAAAGAAAGAAAAAGAAAAAAGAAAGAACCCTGTAACTGGAAAGAAAAAAATGGAGTAAATACAGTTAAGAAGCATGGGTAGGGCTGGGCGCGGGACCTCACGCCTGTAATTCTACCACTTTGAGAGGCCAAGATGGGAGGACTGCTTGAGCACAGGAGTTCAAGACCAGCCTGGTCAATATAGCAAGACCTCATCTCTTATTAAATTTAAAATTAAAGAAAGAACGAATCATGGGTAGGATAAACACATTTATTAAATTCTGAAATAATGGAGATGTTCTTAAAACTTCAAATTTGGAGACAAATTTATGTTTTAAAAAAGAGAGGGGCCAGGCGCGGTGGCTCATGCCTGTAATCCCAGCACCTTGGGAGGCTAAGGTGGGCGGAACTCAAGGTCAAGAGATCGCGACCATCCTGGCCAACAAGATGAAACCCCGTCTCTACTAAAAAATACAAAAATTAGCTGGGCATGGTGGCACGTGCTTGTAGTCCCATCTACTCGGGAGGCTGAGGCAGGAGAATCTCTTGAACCCAGGAGGTGAGGTTGCAATGAACTGAGATCGTGCCACTGCACTCCAGCCTGGCAACAGAGTGAGACTCTGGCTCAAAAAAAAAAAAAAAAAGAGGAACTTTATATACTGGCTAATAAATTCACATATTTTTAAGTACTGGTAGTTGCTGAAAACAATGCAGGTTCAAATAAACGTATTTAAACAAGCTCCTACTAACGTACTGTACTTAGTATTATGCTATACACTACAGGGACATACATACAATGTTGCTGTCAAGGTATAATCTGGTAAAGTATTTGGATAAATAAAAAACAGCTAGTAGAATGTGGTAACTGCCATATAAGAAGAATTAGAGCAGGGATCCCCAACCCCTGGGTCACGGACTGGTACCAGACCATGGCCTGTTAGGAACCGGGCCACAAAGCAGGAGATGAGTGGTGGGCGAGTGAGCATTACTGCCTGAGCTCCACCTTGTCAGATCAGTGGTGGCATTGGATTCTCATAGTAGTGCGAACCCTATTATGAACTGCGCACGCGAGGGAGCTAGGCTGCACACTCCTTATGAGAATCTAATGTCTGATGATCTGTCACTATCTCCCATCAACCCCAGATGGGACCTTCCAGTTGCAGAAAAACAGGCTCAGGGCTCCCACTGATTATGCATTTGGTGAGTTGTATAGTTATTTCATTATTTATTACAATGTTATAATAATAGAAATAAAGTACACAATAAATGTAATGTGCTTGAATCATCCCAAAACCATCCCCCACTCCACTGTCTGTGGAAAAATTGTCTGCCATGAAACTGTTGCCTCATGCCAAAAAGGTTGGGGACCACTGGTTTAAAGGGAGCAGCATGCCCATTTGGGGCAATCAGCAAAGATAATCAGAGGTGGCATCTAAACCGAGTTTGGAAGAAGGAACAGAATTTCTACAGAAGTAATTTTGGAGGACGGAATAGAAAAAGAAAAGTCTTAAAGAGCAAGAGATGAATTTTCTGGGCTCTTTGGCAAATATTGGCTTAATATCTTCTGACAACTACAGCTTCATGAATATCACAACTTAGAGTGTTCAACTACACCTTAAATTCAACATGTACAAAACCAACTTCTCCTTGTAACTTCCCTATTTCCACTAATTATGCTACCCACATTATTCGGGCTCAAAACTTGGAAGTTACTTTATATATCATGATTTTGTCTATTCTTTTTGTTTACAAGTATCTCCCCATCACTTCCACATCCTGTCCAGCTTTCCTCTGAAATGTGACTCATGTACATTCCTCCATCCATACCGGTTAGGTCCCCAAGAAAGAGAAAGCAATGGTAGACATAATAAACCCTTCATTACTTGTAAGTTTTGATGCAAACCTCAGTCTAGGAAGCTGAACTGGTCCAGGCTCTGGAACTGGATGGAACCAGATGGAGAATTCCAGCTGTGAGGACTTTAGGCCACCTAGAGCCTAGAGCAATGCAGTTCAAATGTCCTCGTCCCCTGCCCTGACAAGGCCACACTAATTCACTAATTTGTGTGAAATTTCACTAATCTGATGGTGAACGGACTCCTGAGAAGGCCAAGCAAAAAAGAAAAAAAGATCAAGCCTGCTTGCCTCAGTGCTTCAGGCAGAGTTGGTCTAGATCCACATGCCAAATATTTCTAAGATGAAAAGAAAAGTGGAGTCTTCAGAACAGACAGGTAATAAATGAGATTTACAATACTTTGGAATTTGAATTAAAGAAGAGAGACCCAATTATTTTCTCCTTGAAGGTAACTTGCCCCTCTCCAACTAAAAACATCTCTGAGGTAAACCTCTGCAGGGAAAATGATGAGTTGGAGGCCCTGTGCCTTGTACAGAATGGTTTCTAAAATAAATGGAGAGCAGAGCACAGGTCTAAAACACTATGGCAATGCTTTCACCCCAGGGAAGTTACCTACTGTGGTCTGGTGATTGGACCACAACAATTCTCACCATCAATTGCTAATCTTGACATAATTCTGAAAGGAACTCTCCTCTTAAATAGCATTAAGCATGCTAGCTTAGCATGCTAGCAGGTCACGGCAAGCTCAAGACAACTCACTCTGCTACTGCTGTGTTAAACACAATATTGACTTTAACAGTCCAAGCTGTAAAACTCAATACTCTGCTGGAGTAAACTAAAGAGCAGCATGGCACAGTAATCAGCTATAAGATCAAAGTCCAATACAAACTGGATTTGAAGAATGAAGACAAAATGATGAACAAATTAAAGTGTGGATTTGCACCTACTGGAACTAGACTGCTTTTTAACAGCTTTAGTTGGAGCAAGCAGAGGTTGTGCGCTTCCCTTGGCACATTATCTAAACTAGCACCCACCCCCTACATACAATTACAGGCAGTATTTAGCACTCTGTAGATAAGATTACTGGACAATTGGGAGCTTCCCCACCCCCAGTTTCTGATACAAATGTCTCTCCCTCTCCCTCCCTTTTTCCAACCCTCTCCCTTTTCTGTTTGTAAAAATACAACAATCGTGAGAACTGAATTAGTAAGAGCCTTCAAACACAAACTCCTTTCCTCGCAATAAGTCTGGAATTTTAGGATTAGCTGCCATAACTGACTCCTCATAAATGTTTGTGAAATGAATCAAAAGAGGCAAGAGAACTGTCAAGAAACTAATTTGAGGAAAAAAAAAAAACAAAAAGGAAGCTCCTGATATTAAAAGATACAAAAAGAGATAGTTATGTATCTGGTAGGTTTACCAAGTACAGATTTTGCCATAGGCTGGAGGGAAAGCTTAAAGGCTGGGAGCATGAAGCTGTCAGCTTGTAAGAGTTTTGTTTTTTCCCTTTGAAGATAAGAGAGGTCTGGGATAGGGGAAAGAAAGGGAAGACTGGGGAATACACGTATGTTTTACTTGCTGATATCATATATCATATACACTAAAACTGCACTAACTTGCATCCCAGCACCAAAATTTAAGTTAGGGTCCCTGTGTTTAGCAAGCTGCTCCACCAATCCACTACTTAAAACCTCAGTGGCTCCACATTGCCTTCAGAGCAGGAACTCCACCTTTTGGTAAAGACAAGCTACTTGCCATTTCCCTACAACCTTGAGATCAGTAGAGATGCATTTAATACAGGGAAAGAGCTGGAGGGAAAGACATAATATTTAAGTCTCTGAGAGTTATAAGAGTCACTACATATTGAATGTCTAATAGTTGTCAAACACTGTGTAGTAGGATTGATAGGTATTATCTCTAGTCTTCAGACAAACTTGCAAGAAAGGCAACTTTACACCTGTTTTACAGATTAAAAAAAAGAAAAAAAAACTCATTTAGAGAGAATAATGTGCCCCACATTGTAAGTGGGAGAGTCAGGTTTGAATTCAAAAATGTAAATCCAGGCTGGGCCCAGTGGCTCCCGCCTGTAATCCCAGCACCTTGCGGAGGCCAAGACAGGCGGATCACTTGAAGCCAGGAGTTCGAGACCAGCCTGGCCAACATGCTGAAACCCCGTCTCTACCAAAAAAATACAAAAATTAGCCAAGCATGGTGGCATGCGCCTGTAGTCCCAGCTACTCAGGAGGCTGAAGCAGGAGAATCACCTGAACCTGGGAGGCGGGGGTTGCTGTGAGCCAAGATCGCGCCACTGCACTCCAGCCTGGGCGACAGAGTGAGACTCTGTCTCAAAACAAAAACAAACAAAAAATGTAAATCTGTAACAAAGGCCCTACTCTAATAAGACTCAAAGTATAGACTGGGGTCCCTCCCCATCTACACTTTGGGGTTACCTAAATTTAAAATTTAAAATTAATAATGCTTGCAACAACTTGCACAATTCGGTCCAAATGTATCTTGCCTCACAAGAACACTCTGATTTCACAGAGACCGGTCCACCCATTTTTAACTCAGGAACACCTCTAAGGTAAAAAGTTTTTCACCTCTATGAATTCTACCTATTAGCTCTTATCTCCTCCATAAAGCCTCCCTAACTAGCCCAGATTAAAGAGCCCTCCCTCACTCCTTCCTTTCATCTTAATAGGACTTTAGAGACTTGGTCCTGAACTACTGTTTTGTATTATTAATTAGTTTTTCACACATCATATATAATTGCACAATTAACAGTAAGCTCCCTAGAAATAGTACTTAGACTTCATACTTTCTTTTTTCTTTTTTTTTTTTTTTTGAGAAGGACTCTCCCTCTGTTGCTGAGACTGGAGTGCGGTGGCGCGATCTCAGCTCACTGCAACCTCCGCCTCTGGGGTTCGAGCGATTCTCCTGCCTCAGCCTCCTGAGTAGCTGGGACTACAGGTGCACGCCACCACACCCGGCTAATTTTTTTGTGTTTTTAGTAGAGACAGGGTTTCACCATGTTGGTCAGGCTGTTCTTGAACTCCTGACCTCAAATGATCTGCCTGCCTCAGCCTCCCAGAGTGCTGGGATTATAGGCGTGAGCCACCGCACTCAGCTACACTTCATACTTTCTTATAAACCTCACAAAATCTACCACTGAATCTCAGTCTTAAGTACTTCAAATATTCATCTGCAGAGAGAGAATACAGATCATATATTAATAAGAGCTGACTGACTTCAGTTTGAATTCCCAGGGTCACTAGTAAACCACTCAATTTCAGGCAAGCCTCAAGTGTTCATCCATAAATTATGGTAAATTTATAATCTATAAATTGGCTAATAAAAATATCTATCATCAAAGGATAACTATGAGACATGCGTGAAATGATTTAAGTAAAAAGCTCTTGGTATAGGGGCTAGCAAATGGTAAAGAATACTATTATTTTTTAAATGTTAGAATGGGCTCCCTTAAAATTCTTGAGAAATAGCTATTCTAAAAGCATTCTAAAAGATTTCTAAAAGATTTCAGGGAAGTCATTTATGTACATATTCTACAATTATGTCTTCACTAATTAACAAGGTTTACAACATCTTTATAATCATAAATAAGTGGCTATTTGTATTATAATAGAATTTTATAGTTTTCCTTTTTTTTTTTCTGAGACAGGGTCTCCCTCTGTCACCCAGGCTAGAGTACAGTGGTGCGATCATGGCTCACTAAAGCCTCAACCTCTTGGGTTCAAGCGATTCCACCACCTCAGACCCACAAGTAGCTATAACCACAGGCATGTGCCTAGCTAGTTTTTTTTTTATTTTTTATTTTGTAGAGATGGGGTCTCCTTTTGTTGACAGGCTGGTCTCAAACTCCTGGACTCAAGAGATCCTTCCACCTCAGTCTCCCAAAGTACTGGGATTACAAACATGAGCCACCGTGCCTGGCCTCTAATTTTTATTTTTTGCCCACACATTTTATAGGATATTTATGGTCAGGCAAGGTGGCTTATGCTTGTAATCCCAGCACTTTGGGAGGCTCAGGGTGGGGGAATCACTTGAGCCCTGGAGTTCAAGACTACGCTGGGCAACACAGTGAGACCACCCCCGCTCCCGTCTCTACAAAAAAAAAAAAAAAAGGTGGGTATGGTGGTGCATGCCTGTCTGTGGTCCTAGCTACTTGGGAGGCTGAGGTGGGAGGGTCACTTAAGCCCGGGAGGTTGAGGCTACAGTGAACTGTGATTGTACCACTGCTTCCAGCCTGGGTGACAGAGTGAGACTCTATCTCAAAAAAAAAAAAAAAAACCACGACCAACAAAGGATATTTACCCACAATCTCATCACCCCATAATGTCAACTGTTCTTTATTATTTTTCTGTTTTTCTTTCTAGTTCTTGGTCATACATTTGCATATTTTACTAATATATTCATCTTGTAGATACCAACTGTTGCTGGTTGTTTTCATTTAACATAAACATTTTATATTAACACTGTCTTCATAATCATTTAACTATTATATTACTATCCTACAAAGCTGACATAACAATTTAGATACTTCCCTGCTGCTGGACAATTGTTAAGATCCTTTTATTTAACATTATAATGATAATATATAAAGAACATCTTTGTGCACAAACATTTGTTTTTTTAAACATTTTCATGCACAAAAGTTTTTTCTCTTAAGTTACTGAGTCAAAAAAGTATGAGCATTTTTAAGTCTGGAAAGCACAGCCAAATTGAGCTGTAAAAGAGTTTAACAATCTGCACACATGTTGAACTAGACAAGTGATCAACAACTACTAAGAATGAGCTAGGGTCCAAGTTTCCCCACCACCCTACCACTGCTATTTCTTCAGGGTACTTTAAATCATCTCCACTAAACAGCCGCTATCATATGCTGTTAGTAGGCGTATAAACAGGTGCAACCTCTCTGGAGTGCGGTTTGGCAGAAATTCCAACCTGGGTTCTCATCCTGGAAATATACTTGAGCTTATGGCATAAGAATCTTTCAACCAGGAAGTTCACCATTTCTAACAATAAAGCCTGAAAGTAAATACTCCATCAGTAGAGGACTGGTAAAATTACAGTAGTGCCCTCTTATCCACAGGCGATACCTTTCAAGACTTCCAGTGGATGCCTGAAACAGTGCTTAATGCCAAACCCTGTATATACTATGTTTTTTCCCATACATACCTATGATAAAGTTTAATTTATAAATTAGGCACAGTAAGAGATTAACAACAATAACTAATAATAAAAATAGAACAATTATAATATACTATAATCATAGTTATGCGAACGTGATCTCTTTCTCAGGAAATATCTCATCATACTATAGTCACCCTCCTTCTCCTTGAGATGATGTGAGATGACAAATGCCTATATGATAAGATGAAGTGACAGTGGAGATTCCATTGTGCTACTCAGAATGGTGTGCAATTCAAAACTTAGGAATTGTTTATTTCTGGAATCTTCTTTCTTCTTTTTTAAATGGTACTGCTCCTTGCAGAGCAGAGCTAACTCACAGGCAGTGCACCCAGAGTTGCTCCATTTCTTGAATTTTTGATTTAATATTGTCAGACTGAGGTTGACAGCAGAAAGTGAAACCTCAGATAAGGGAAGACTATTGTAGTGTGCTTGGCTGCATATGCAAATTACCCAAGGAGAGTTTCATGAAGACAAACATAAAGCCCCAGCCCAGATCTATTAAATCAAGATCTCTGAGAAGCAGTCTGGACATTTAAAGCTCTCTAGGTGACTTTAGTGTCTGACCAGACTTGAGAACTACTGGGTTAAGTGTTATACATGAATTTATTCAAAGGAATACAAAGCAACTTTTAGCAAAATGATGAACAGTGTAGGCAGCAACTACCACTCTGTCTGAGGGAAAGAATTTTTTTTCCTGTATTTGCATAGAGTATTTCCAAAAGGATACGAAAGAAACTGGTACAGCAATGGTAGCCTTTGGGAAGGGGGATTGGGGTGTGAAAAGGCTTACATTTCAACATATTTTATATGAACTTTTAACCAGATATGTTTGAAAAAATCTTAAAATAAAATCATAATTTCATGTATAAGCAATTTCTCAGGTACACATGGCACTAAGCAATATATGGCAACCCCACTGCAGGGCCAGTTACCAGCGTCCACATGGTCTTCCGTGGAGCCTGTGCACTCAGCACCAAGTGGCTACCAGGGGTCCATCTCTGCCCTCTGGGTAGGGCAGGGCCAGTAGTTCCGGCCGCCCCCTTCTGCCCTAGCAACTAACTTACTCAATGTACCATTCTAAAGCAAACAGTCATTGCCTGATATGCTTGGAGAAAATGTTTACTCATGGCTCACCTCCTCACACAGGGTAGGCCACCATTAATGATATGTTAGTCTGGCACATTCTTTTTAAAGAACATGTCAGATTCGCAAATCCATTTCTAAATTAGTTTCTCAAATGGAAAAATCATACATGGAAAGCAGAGATGATTCCATCTTTTTTCTAAAGTGCTTACTTCATTTAACATGCAAATATAGTCTTCGCAGGGTTCAGAATATCAATATTGTTTTCACAATTAAGTGTACTATTATCTTAAATTTGAGAGAACCAATTTGCTCATTTCATTCCATAATGTATTTCAGTTTTACCAAGCCATACAAGAATTCAAATGAATCTGAAAAGTATATAGAGAAGAGTTCTACATCATCAACCCACAGCTAACAATTTCATAGCTTCATAAATATTTAAATCATTTTTCAGTAGGTCATTTCTGACAGCTGTGGGATTTCATAACTGGATCTCTGATATATTACTTAGGCAAGTGTCTTCTTAAAGGTTTTTTTAGGGAGGTGGGGGTGCAGGTCAATCAACTGTTAGAGCACTTTTACCCTATCATTTTGATACCAGGAAAATAATTCACTAATATTGACAAAAAGGAGGAAATTTCTTTGAGTTGTCTGTAACAAGATTCATTTTCTAAAATGTCACAACGCATGCTAGAAACATCAAGAAATATTTCAAGAGATCAGATTCTGGAATACTAGAGACTCTTTAAGGATCATCAGTGTTCAAAACTCTTGAATTCATTCATTCATTCAACAGGTATTTATTAAACGCCAACTTCCTGCCAAGCACTGCATTAAAAGCAGAGACACAATGGCAAGGCTAGGATTTAGACGAACTCTCACAGCCATGCTGTAACTATCACATGTACGTTTTCTTGTTTCATTTACAGTTATTTCAAATGTATGCTTTAAAAGACTTTGTGGCATTGAATTTAAAAGGTATTTTTGTAACTATCTTTAAATCATATTTTATAAAAGAACTTGAGTAAATGAGGATAGCTAATGAAGAAATGAATGATAACATACTTTTCCCCCCATAACCCCAAAGGTTTTGACTATAAGACAAAAAATGTCCAATTTTCCAGGCATATCAGAGAGAGAGTTGGCAGTCTGAAGTATTTATAAGGTGTTAAAGCCAGAATCAATTGAACTGGTGAATTTGCTGCTGCTTCCTAACACATCCTAAATCAACACCTGTTTCATCTCTTGAGGAATGTGCAGGTTAACGTCTAACTTGTCTTCAACTTGTGAAGAAAGAGTTGCTATGACAACATGCAACTATCCTTACTGGGAATCAGGCTGAGGTCCCCACCAGATATGTAGGTTCTTAATTAGCCCCCCTCAGCTTTTGGGATGAATTCCTACTGCCTCAGTGTTCATTCTCACTTAGACACCCTGCATGAATTGGTTGTCATTTTCAATTAGACATCAGCACATAACCAAACACCAATCATTTATTTAAAGATATATATCAAATACAGAAATCTCTTATTTATGATTAAAAAGTCTTAGGTGTGGTAATAAAATCATCTTCATAAACCAATATATAAATCTCTTATAGCACTATGATGGACACAAATTCTAAAGTATAATCTACAAATTAAACAAGTTTACAGGGACAAATAACTAGAAAAATAATTCCTAGAAATGAAGGCACACAGTTCAGGAGACAGAAATATGATAATCGGGGATCCAAACTCATGCTAATACTAAAATCTTATATAACAGAAAGAGTACTCTGCTATACAACATTTATCCACAACATTATAGTATTAATGGCTACATTTTATTGCACTTAATATATTGTATTATTCTGGCACAAACAGAAAGTGCAATAAGGAAAAAAAAATATGTAGCATGATGCATGAGAAGGCACATTGTCCTTTTCAGAAGTCCATTATAAAGGCAGCTGGACAGATTCTGGCTGAACACAAGTGGGGTGCCAGCCCATCTCCTTCCATCCCCATCCCACCCTCCCATTCAAGCACTGGTTACAAAAGTGTCTGTGTGGCCATGAGTAGTGAGTCATGGATGTTCCATTTACAGATGGGGTGGGGTTGAGGGAAATCACTGTTACATGCCCAGTTAGCTGGAAAAGTCCATCCTGTTTTTCCTTTTTTTACATAATAATCATTTTTCATAAATCTGAGATAAAGAATGCTTGGTAAGTAGGAACTCACCAAATATTTCAGCACTCTTACATCCAAAGGAAAGACTTACTTTTACAGCCAAGTATATGATCTCATAGTCCAGGCCTAACAATTCACACTAAGCAAGGGGCTTGTACAATCAGTACAAAACATTTGTTCCTTTTCACCCACACCAAGAAAAACAGTGGCTGGAGAAATAAAGCACATTACCAGTTCCCAAATCAGATTCACACACCAGGAGTTCATGCTGGCAGCCAAAGTATTTCATGACGGCAAGGACAATCTTTTACAGCTTCCTTTTCCAAGGAAACACAACGGCAAAGTAGCTTCCTTAGGCTGACCTTACAGGCAAACCACGAGAAACACAACCTAAAGCAACAACAAAAACCAATGCTCTTTTTGGAGCTATATACTCCATGCATTAAAAGACCACATGCCTCCGTCCATCTCTTAGTACCACCTACTAAATCAAATAATAATGCATAATACAACAAATTCAAATTTCAGGACTTAAAATTATAACTACATGTTTTAGCTTTTAAAACATCTAATCCAGGCCTCTTATCCACATTCCCTCAAAATCCAAAGGGCTGTGTCAGTCTTTTCTAAACATATTTCAAATAAAGCTTGAGCTGCATGCAGCTCCTAACTGTACTCTGAGCCCCCAGGAAGACTACACTGGGCTCTGAAGCTCAGGTGAAGTAGCGACCCTGTCAAACTAGTAAACATTTTGCACATACATATCTCCTATCATTATTGACACTGCCAATTAACTTAGCCTCTGAGGTTTATAATGAGTTTAGATTTTAAATACATTAAACCTCATAACAAACATATTACTTTTAATAATAGGAGCTAACAGTTATTTTGATGAAGAAGAAAGATTCTATGAAATTTATTCAAATCAGATTTCTCCATAAACATTATCCTTACTCTATTCCCTCACAGTGTAGAATATGCTAAATGCTATTTAAGTTATCTTAAATAGTTAAATAATCTAATAGTTAAATAATCTAGAATATTTAGGTTTAAAATAATCCAAATCACAAAAGTAACACAAATTCATTAGAGCAAAATCCAAAAATACCAACAAGAATAAAACACAAAAAATTAAAATAAAATTTTCACCTACCTCTTGGCAACCACTGTTATAATATGTTGGTGTAGAGTGTTGCTGGCCTATTCTGCACATGCATAATCGCTCCTATTTTTAAATGTTTTTCACATAAATTTATAACTTGCTTTTACTTTTTAAAATTTATATAAATTTATGGGGTATAAGTGTAATTTTGTTACATGCATAGATTGCACAGTGGTGAAGTCAGGCTATTAGAGTTGCTTTTACTTCTTCTATTGAGAACATTTTTCTTTTGTTTTGTGTGTCTGTGTATAAAATTATGATTTGGATGCTATAGAATGTCATCCATTGTGTGACTATATCATTTTGCTTAACCAATTTCCTTTTTTGGCTAAATGCAATTTTATTCTTAATAATAAAAACTTGCAAATAACTTTGAAAAAACAAACACACCATATTTCTAAGAATCTTTCTGACACCCCGTCACCTCTACCAGGTTTGAGTGAGTGTCCGCTGAACATCTTTAAGACCCCTCTGAAAACTTAAGGTCTCTGTTTCATGAATGACTACATCAAGGTTAAAAAACTAATATGCAAGTGAAAACAGTTCAATTCAGCACTGTCTCAACTCTCATCTACAGAAAGAAAACAGCCTCTGAAAAATGGTTCCATTTTCGTAAAGCCTCAACAGGAATAATACTGAACTCCATGACCTAAAAAAAGATGCTTAGTAATACTTAAAATCAGTTTGTATTGCATGTTATTCTTTTCAAAAGATTTTCAAGCTCATTACTTCCTTACCACAACTTTGTTACATAGGTCTGATGCTGTCACTTTACAAATGACAAAGCTGAGGATCAGAGAAATGGAGTCTTGTTGGGTCTCCCATCAACATGGTACATGAGGCAGGGCTAAATCAATGGCTTCCTCAATCTGTGTTCCAAGTGCTCTTAATAGAACTCACTGCATTCAAAGGAAGGGTTCCCTTCTTCACCTCTGAAAAAATCACTAACCAGTGCATAGTATCTTTCAGGACAAGGAGATATGATGTAAGGAGTGTGCCAATAGATCCAAGGCAGCAAGCAAGAAAAATCTACAGAAAGACTTTCTTTTAGAAAGTAGTCAAAAGAAATCAAAACTGCTATTTATATGTCATGTTTTATATTATTGGCATTAAAAATGTTGAGTGTACTAGAACAAAACTGTTTTTTTCCAAAATATTATCCACCCTACCTCAGAACAAATCTCATTAGAAATACTTGCATCTGGAGACTTATTAGTGGGAGCGGAGGAAGCACTTCTGTGTAATTTCCCTCCATGTGAGGGAAGAGTAAATCACAATCCGGCCCTTAGTCACTCCAAGCACAAGAACAGCAAGTAAGTTCTTAATTCTGTGCTTATATAAAAATCTACTCTTTATCAGTGTTTATCTGTTTGTTATAGTTTCCAATGTGTTGTCTGCTCTTTATTCATCTTAGTGTATAATCTGTTGTCCTTTAGATTGTAAACTCCAGTAGGTGAGACCGTGGGTGTCCTGCCTGGATTTATACAGGTAGAGCGCCAAGCCACAAGCACAGAGGCATCAGATGCTATGTGATAAGTGGATTAAATTATACTTATACTAACTCTATAACAGATTAAATTTGTTCTAACAAAACAGTGGGGATCAGCACTTACTAGGCCATTTGGCCTTAGGTATACTCTTCTCTGGCATTCACACAGCTAGCTAACAAGCAGCTGCAATGCCTTCACTTGTTCTTCATATCCCAGATAATATATATGCTTCCCTACTTCATTTAACTGCTCCAAAATAAAAGAACATCTGGTAGCCCAAGGTCTTTTCACCTCCCTGCTAAATACACATTTTAGGGGTTTGAAACTGCTCCATTAATTTACAAAAGACATGGAGAAAAAAACAACAACAACAAGAACAACCTTAAGATAATGCTTCAAACGTGAACCACACATGTAAGTCACTGGACATAGCGTGGCTTGAAAACATCCTGGCCTTAAATCCAAGGTAACCAAGAACATAATTCTATTTCTGACTTGAGTCACTGTACACATCATTTTTTTTGTCCTAATTTATTTTTCTGGTACGAAGCATTATTCAAATGTAAATGCCATAATCATATAGCATTCCTGACTACTTCTCCCAAACATGTAAGTTTGGTCAATCGTGATTCCTTTTGTTTTCCTAGCAACCTGTTTCCTCAAAGCTATGAAAAGGGCTTTCTGTCAAGATCCTAAAGGAAATACTCCAGAAGAAATCTTGACTATGATGATCCTGTTTTTAGATGAAATGCCAGGAAACATGAAGTCCTGAAAATGACCTGTGAGATAAACTAGTTATATTGGACAACAGATTTCCTCTCTAATCAAGTGTGTAAAAACTGGAGGAATGAGAACAGTCATAAGCCCAGCGAAGGGACTAGGAAGTGCACAAGAGTAAAAAGACTAACAACAAGGGCAAAACAATTCTGAGAAGAGAAGTTTAAAATAACCAGTGAAAGTCCATCATGGAAACAGAAGATATACAAACTCTAAAACAAACAAACAAAAAGTTGGATCTTAGATTCTCCCCCATATACACTACAAAACTGCCCCAAAAGTCTACCTGAATCCTCAGTGAATTTTCAATCTCCAGATAAACAAGTTACATCCTGTACTTAAATGCACTAAAGAATACAAATTCATGTTAGGAATACTCGATTTTTAATCTAAGGGTTTTAGCTTCACTTCTAAAACTCTATTTAACTACAAGGTAGTTCCCAAGGGCAGCTAATGCCCTGCAATAAGGCACCTTGTTCCCCTCAAAGTACATACCAACTCCTATTTGGCAAAATCTGGGTAAAATGAAACACAGGTTCACAATTTTTTAGGTAGAGAGAAAAATTTTCCTGGAAGCTTTTCCCAGGCCAGCTACACAGCATCTTAGAATTAAGCCAGGTGAAAAGAGCAAAAGGAAAGACTTGCTTGGGGTCTCCTTTGTCAGTCTGGTGAGCACAGGATGGTTTGTTCCCATCGTCCAGCATCCTTGCTCACATCTGCTACTTTACTTTCTTTTCCATGGTGACCTCTATCAGGGACACTATTGAAGGGGGCCCTCATCAAGTAGGATGTTCAACTGGGATCCCCAAATTCTCCAAAAACATCGATCTCAAATTCTTGTAGAAAATCCCAATGAGGTCAAAAAAAAGACCGTACTTGGCACGATTTTCTGTTCTTCATTATACACAAATGAGAAGTCAGAACACTACTGAAAATGTTCCCATGAAGTGGGAATCAATTTCCCTAATATGGCCCAAAACCCTAAATATAGCCATATTTTTTTTGTTCAAATACACTCAGTTAAACTTGTGGATAGCGGAAATGGTGGTAGGCAATTAGGCAAGGAGCACAGAAAACAATGACAAGTAACCGCCACTATCTCCTCCTGCATTCAAATGGCTTTAAATGTCCTTGGCAAGAGCTGTCAAAGTACAGACACCTGTAACATGCTCCTTCCGCTCCAGGCTTTGTACCCCTGATGGAGTCTGGGTTACAGGGAGGGAAGGGACGAAATTACACACCTTAGGTCCGAAGTAATTCTACCATTCTGAGAAGGTACATGGCATCACTAATACTCAGCCTAACAAAAGGCATAGAATTCCCACTCAAATTATAAGGCTTGTTAGCCTAAAGAAAACATGAGAATTTAACTTGGGGAGTTTAAGGTCCTCACAATATGCCTTCCATGAGCGCGCGTGCACACACACACACACGTTTAATTTTCACATGACCACAGTGAGAGACTGTTTTAAATGATGGAATTCAAGAAAAGCAAAATCTAGAACATAAAACTTAATCCAGAATTTATTTCAAAGTTTCACTTGAAACTTTTAAAGGTTTATTATACTGGGTCTAGATCTGTTTAACAGTGAACTGTTTTTGCAAGACATTTTGGCCAAAAAGCACCTAGCATAGTGTCAGAATTGGGAGTTGGTGCTCAATTTTAAAATGTGTTGAAAAATTGTTAAATAAACTTCTCAACATACCTGTGCTCAAAGGCAATATAGGACATTTTAAGGCGTCTTTTAAAAGTTAGCCCTTGAAATCAGAATAGCATAGGGATTTTAAAGACTGGAATCTGTGGTCAAACTGCTTGGGTCAAAACACAGGCTCTACCACTGACAGCTGGATTTTGGGCAAGCCGCCTAAGTTATCTGTGACTTTAAGTTTCCTCACCTGTAAAATGGGAATTATAATAGCACCCACCTCACCGCATTGTCAGAAAAGTAAACGACAGAAATCAACATAAAGCATTTTAGGTAGTAAGCTCTCCATAAATGCTATCAATATTCAAAGGTATGTGTTCGAGAGATCAAATCTATTAAATATACATATCAGCTTTGATCAATTGAAATCTCGGAAATTTCATAATTGCATCTTACTCCCCCTTTCCACACATCATGCGGCATCAACCTTCCACATGATGTGGAAATTACATACTTTCATTCATCCGTTTGAGAGCTTGTCATATATGGCAAGAAAGAAGAAAGATGCCTTTTTCGTGACTGTTGCTCCTTCAGAACTTCAAAACACTGTCACGTACACAATAGGTTGGAGCTGCCCTCAAAATGACAGCTCACAGCTTTGCTGGGCCCGCAGAGGTGCCCAGGCGGCTCTGCCCGGAAGGGGTTCACCCCAATAACCGGAGAATCTCCGGTCGCCACAGCCAAGCACAGCGCACGCCCGGGAACCCCAAGGAACACAAGAGAACTCTGAAATGGGGAAGGACCCTGAGTTGTGGAGAAAGAGCGGGAGGAAGGGTCACGGAGGGTCCGGAGCCACACTCGGATCAGGCGCGTCCACGCTGACAAGCCCGGGACCAGGTGCCGGCGATAGGCAGCGCCGTCCTGGACAGTCCCTTCCCTTTCCCCTACCCGTCCCCTCCCCGGCGAGCACCGAAGCCAACTCGGGTCCCGCGCCAGAATTGCCCCCCGGCGCCCCCTCACCTAAAGGCGGGTCCTTCCTTAGGAGCCCTGCCCTGGGCAGACGCCGCCGCGGAGCTGCCGCTGCTGCCCCTTTTGTTGAAGAGCTTCTGGAGCAGGGTCGGGGCCATGATGCCGCCGCCGCAGCTCCGGCCGTGGCGCTCGGGGGGCCGGCGGCTCAGCGCGCAGCCGGGGGCGGCGGCCGCGGTGGCGGGGCCATCGCGGCGGCGCGGCCGCCCAGCCTTGCGGGAGCGCGGGGCCGCTGCGACTGAGTAACTCTGCTCGGCGCCGGAGCCGCCGGCTGCCGGTCATATGACTGAGCCGGCCCGCCACCGCCTCGCGCGCTGACAGTTATCTCCTGCGGGAGGAGCCCGCAGCCCCACGGCGGCGGCGGCGGCGCGGGAGGAGCGCGGCGGCCCCGGCGGCGGCCATTGGCCCGGCGGCCGCCCGCCCCGGGCTCACGTAACCCCGGCGGGAGGCGGGAGGTGGGAGGTGCGGCCAGGAGCGGGCGGGCGGCCCAGTACTCCGGGCACGCGGGGGACGCGGACGGGGGCAGGCGCGGCACTTAAAGGGGCCCGAGGGGCGAGGGCGGCCGCCGGGGCGCAGCTCCGCGAGTGGCGTGGGGTTCCCACGGAGCCTGGGTTCTTTCGCACAGCGAGCATGCAGCTAGGCCGATCTTTGTTCTTTAGAGACAAAGCCCCTGAACTTGGGTCCTCGCTTTGTTCAGGTACAAGAGCCCGTTCACAGAAGGCGTATGCTAGGGGGGAAGGCTTGGTACGCGCGGTGGCCGCTTCGGTGGGCTGTGATTTGAATCACATAGCACCCAAGGTTTTGTCAGGTTTCCTCCATGTCCAAATTCGATTCCTCCAGGCTTTCACAAAATTTAAACTGTTTATCCAAATCATTTGTTCTGTTTGGCGTCTTGGGCCACCATACCATGGTTATATAAGAAGTTGCATTTGAAATATTAAGTCCCCCCTTTAAAACATACACACACACACACACACACACACACACACACACACACAGAACTCACTACATAGATTTAGAAACTTAAGATATTTTATAGCAAGGGATTGTTTTTCCTAATACATATTTAACAGTCAATCAAGGCATATCAGCAGCAGATATTTGGTTTGAGGAAGGGAGGAGTTCATGTGTTTGAGTCCGCTTTCCTGCCCTGTCCCACCCCAGTCCCCTTTGGAATTTAATCCTTGGTGGTGCAGGGCTCTAAACAGCCAGTGTAGGACACGTTACCAGACTCAAAGCAACTTCTTAATCTATGTTTTAGAGCGTTGGGCTTCACGAATTTTTCCGATGATGGGAAATAGAGATAAAGTTAGTAAGACCCCAACCATGCCTCTTCTAGCTTCTCCATGAGTAGTGAACAGTGACTCACCTGGGCTCTCTTACACTTGTTGAGAGGAGGACTCTTGGAGACTCAAAAAGGAAAATATATTTCCAAAAACATAAGTAATCAAAAGAACCTATTCTGGGCCTATTTTACTTTGCATTTTCTTTTTTTAATTGTGTTAGTTTCTGGACTTGGTTGGGAACTAGCTGTGAATAATGTGCTGAAATTTCACAAAGGTAAGAGAAAGGTGGTAGAAATGGAAACTTAGTCATTTGTTTCCTTCGGACTTTTACTGTTAAAATGGTGGATTAAGTGTTTATCCTGATGAGCAATCATCCTTTTGCACAATTGAGTGTACACAGAACCCTAATTTGCAACTTTGCTATTTCTGTTTGCTGAAGGCCTTTACCTCATAGGGCTGCCAGTGTTGGTCAGGATGCTATATAGAAGGTATTGGCTTTATACGTTGTGACTTTCAGATACAGTCCCAGGTCATACTGTGGCCAGCAACTCACCACCTTTCCTTACTCCATCCTTGGTCAGAAAATGTCCTTTATTCTCCAGACTAAAATCTGCATGTTCCTCAT
This sequence comes from Homo sapiens, assembly GCF_000001405.40. Classification (NCBI taxonomy): domain Eukaryota; kingdom Metazoa; phylum Chordata; class Mammalia; order Primates; family Hominidae; genus Homo; species Homo sapiens. Next base: position 158,767,402 of record NC_000004.12, on the reverse strand, counting down.
GAGCCTAGCAGCTTTTGTAACTGCATATAGAAGAGGAATTTGACATATTGTGCCTCATTCCTCACTTCCTAGGACTCTTTCAGTTCCAACCCAGTCCAAATAGACAAGATCATCCAAAAGAGGCAATTAAAAAATCATAACCTGCTCTAGCCATCATCTTCAATTTTGGTTTTGACTAGGCAACTATAAAGGAAGAGTGTGTATTTTAAACTATTAAAGCCAGGACTTCAGTTAAAGGAGACAAAAGGAACCAAAATGCTTCCCTTCTCCCCTCTTTCTCCCTGTGCTTCCTCTCAGCATCACATTCTTCCTCATCCTGGTTCTGGCCACACCTCCTCCTTTGGATTTTTAAAGTATACAAAAATCCTAGCCAAAAAAGTTCTGGGAGACAGCTCTAGCCAGCTCTCCCAGTCTTCTTGTTTTTTATTTTTATTTTATTTTATTGGCTACTCAAGGCCGCTACAAAAATCCAATCTTTTGCCCATCATCCATTGGTCATTGCCTGGTCCCTGAGGCTTGTCATAATCTCAGTCTCCAACACTGGTCACGTGGCCCATCGCCCAGTTCCATACATCTCCTTTATTCACCTCTTCCCACTCACCCTATCTTGGAAAATATACCAGCTGGCTGTTCTTGTACGCAGCTGTCAAGAGGAGCAGGGAATAAGACAATATCCTGAATGCTTGGAGATGACAGAACAACACTAAAATGGGAAAGGGGAAGTTGTAAAGGGCTGACTTACTTAGTCCGGTCCATTCTGAGTCCTGGTGACAGTTCTCAATTAGTGGATATTATGTAAGTTGTTTTAGTTCTGCTTCTGCAATTAGACTGTCATTGATACCGTTTGTAGCCTATGTAATACCTGTTACCCTTATTCCTAACAGGAGGCAAGAGAGAAAGGAGCTGGAGGAAAAGGAGTAATTCTGGAAAAAGTTTCCTCACTCTTAATAGAAAGAGAGAGAGAGAGAGATAGGTGGGTTTTTTTCTTCCTTTGGATGTTATATGTCTAGGTCTAATGCCATCTTGCTACAAGCCTAAAGATGAAACCAGGACTGGAGATGGCAAAGAGACATAGAAGCGAGCTGGGTCCTTGATGGCATTATTGAGCCACAATCCCTCTGCCCTAACCTGACACTCTCCATTAGGTGAGATAATATTTCTATTTTCTTATAGACCAGTCTATAAGAGGCTGAGGCAGGTTCGTGTTTTCTGTCCTCTTTATTGCTTGTTATGTGAGACACATAATGCCAATCTGTTTATCTCTCAATATGCCAGAGAAAATACTTGTCACCAATGGTCCTGTTCTGTTTTTTCATACTGTTAAGTGATTTTGCAAATTATTTACAGAGCTAAGACTAAAGGAATAGTGAAAAATAATTCTTTAAAAAATTTTTAATTTCAGTACAGCAAACCCGTTTTTTATTCTATATTTTCCTGCATTTGAAGGATTATTTACCCTAAATGGACAGTGTTCTTTGAACGTAACTGACTACTTATCAATTAGCATATATGAACCAGGAACACAATCATCTTATAAATATTGATTCCAGGCTTCAAATACATTTTTTTTTTTTTGAGACAGAGTCTCACTCTGTCACCCAGGCTGGAGTACAGTGGCGCAGTCTTGCCTCACTGTAACCTCCGCCTCCTGGGTGCAAGCAATTCTCATGCCTAACCATCCAGAGTAGCTGGGACTACAGATACCCACCACCACGCCCGGCTAATTTTTTGTATTTTTAGTAGAGACAGAGTTTCACCATGTTGGCCAGGCTGGTCTTGAACTCCTGACCTCAAGTGATCCACCTGCCTCAGCTTCCCAAAGTGCTGAGATTACAGGTGTGAGCCACCACACCCAGAATCAAATACATCTCTAACGATTCTAACTTATCATTACCTTTGTGCTGCTTGCACTTGAATAAACAAAAAGCAGTGCTTTTGAAAACTTTGATGGCTCATCATTTTGTTGAAGAGACAGTAGTTATTTTCTTTGTTTCTTAGTTGCAAAATATTTTCATTTTTAGATTTATAAACACCAAGTAGAATTAGCAATCCAATGAATTTTTTCATCTCTTCCTTATAGATTTCCTTCCCTTCACCTTTGTATATATACATCTGCCTTTATCATTTGTTATCTTATAAACTATATGAAGTATATTGGATGCACAACACCATGAAAGATGACAAGATATCACACTTTTTTAGGATGGCTCAGGTTCTTGTTGCAAAGTATTGAATAAGGAAGTAATTCCTATTAAATGTCAAACTGGATGAGAATACCCTATTTCCTTTTTATCCTTAGGTATATGTTGTTGAATTGTCAGTTCTTGAGTTTGAGAAAATGTATCTAGGATATCATTATCTAAAGACTCATAATCTGAGATTTCACTTACATGTTTCAGGCCAGCCACGATGGCTCACACCGATAAATCCCAGCACTTTGGGAGGCCTAGGTGAGAGGATTGCTTGAGCCCAGGAGTTTAAGACCAGTCTGGGCAACAGCATGAGACCCTCTCTCCACAAAAAGTAAAAAAAAAAATAGCTGGGCATGGTGGTATATACCCGTAGTCCTACCTACTTAAGAGGCTGAGGCAGGAGAATCACTTGAACCCAGGAGTTCGAGGAAGCAGTGAGCTATGATCACACCACTGTACTCCAGTCTGGGCAACAGAGCAAGATCCTGTCTCTAAAATAAAATTAAATAAATAAAATTTCACCATCATCTTTAAAGTATAGAGTCCTCTGTCTTTTTGCATTAGACATCTGCTTTTTCTAATTATTAGAAATATTTTCATCAATTTTCTTCTCTTTGCCGTTATGGGAAAAAATGAAAAATTCTGAATATTTATCAACGAAAGCTTTAAAAAAAACAACAAATACTATTAAAATAATATCTCCAGATTTTTTTTCTACCCTCTTAAAAGATGATACAGTGTTTTGGGCATTACAATAAGATAAAGGAAGAATCATCTAATAGCGATGATTTATTTCACTTTTGTCCCCAGTGCTTCTGTTATAGCACCCACCTTAACTATTTTTGTCTTGTCTTGTACAGTTGGGAATTGCTGAAAAATGTTGAAATAATCCCTAGGATAGTGATATAGCAAAATTTCTGGAGCTAGAGGAAATCAGAATCACCAAGATCCTGTTAAGTTATGAAAGGGTCCAGTGGACCCTATGTGGGACTTGCAAGATAGAGTTTTATTATATTTTTTAAAGGGAAATTTACATTTTTGGAAAAAGTGAGAGTCTAAGAAAGAATAAAAATAATGAAATAACCATCCTTATAAGCAGTTAGAACCAGCCAGGCACAGTGGTTCACACCTGTAATCCCAGCACTCTGGGAGGCCGAGGTGGGAGGATTCCTTGAGCCCAGGAGTTAAAGACCAGCCTGGGCAGCATAGTGAGACTGTGTCTCTACAGAAAGTTAAAAAGAAATTAGGCGTGGTGGCATGCGCCTTTAGTCCCAGCTACTAGGGGAGCTAAAGTGGGAGAATCACTTGAGCCTGGGAAGTTGAGGCTTCAGTGAGCCTTGATCGCGCCACTGCACTCCAGTCTGGGTCACAGAGTGAGACCCTGTTTAAAAACAAACAACAGCAACAACAACAAATAAAAAGCAGAAGCTCTCAGGGAAGAAAACCTCAAAATCTAACATTGAATCTAATGAATCCTATAAATTGATTCTTCCGGTATTTGCAGAGCTCCATCCACCTGACAATCTTACAGTGGCAATCAGTGACCTCCATGGTGCTGAAATCAAGCGACATTTTTCTCTTCTCTGCAATCAATTCAACTGACCATTTCTCCTTTTGGAAACTTTCATCTTTCAGTATTGCAGACCTCTTCTAGTTTTAACTAAACTTGTTGGCTACTCAGTCTCCACTAGTGGGTCTTCCTTTCCCATCCTTTATTTATTTAGAGACAGGATATCACTTTGTTGCCCAGGCTGGAGTGCAGTGGCACAAACACAGCTCACTGCAGCCTTGACCTACTAAGTTCAAGCATTCCTCCTGCCTCAGCCTCCTGAGTAGCTGGGACCACCGGCACTCACCACACCCAGCTAATTTTTTAATGTTTTTTTTTAGAGATGATATCTCACTATTAGCCCAGGCTGGTCTAGAACTGCTAGGCTCAAGCAATCCTCCTGCCTCGGCCTCCCAAAGTGCTGGGATATTGCAGGCATGAGCCACTGTACCCAGCCTCTCTTATCCTTTAAAGTATGAAATTCCTCGGGCTTCTCTTGTCTCACTTCTATTCTTCTCATTTGTATTCTTAAGCTCCCTAGATAAACTCATCCATCCCTGTGACTTTAAATGCCGTCTATCTGTCGATGACACCTAATTTTTACCTTTGGTCCTGACCTCTCTTCAGAATTTTACAACCAGCTACCTACTTAATATCTCCACTGGGATATCTTAAAAGCATCACACACTGAACTCTTTATCTTTGCTTGTTCCAAATCCTGCTTCCTTTGCCATCTTCCCTATCCCAGTAAATGGCACCTTCCTTCTACACATTTGTTTAAACTGAAACTTAGGAAGCATCCTTAATCCTTCTATTTATCTCATCATCCAAAATATTTCTCATCCATTTATTTCTCTATTCATTGCCATCACCCTAGTCCAAGCCCCGTTTATCTCTTGGACTTTGGCAGTAGTAATTGGTTACTTTCTTGCCCAACTCCTATCTACTCTAGTGCAGCTGCTGTAGGGATCACTTATAAGTGTAACTTTTTTTCATGTCCCTTCTTCGATTAAAAGTTTTTAGTGGTTTCTCATCACGCTTAGTAAAATCCAAAATTCTTAGCATTGCCAAGAGAGGTTTGGGTCCCTGCCTTCCTCGCTAAATTCATCTCACATCACCCACCCCCAACCTCACCCTTGGTGTCTTCTAGCCACATTGGTGTGCTTTCATTTCTTCAACCAAGCCTCCTCTGTCAGGAGTGCTCCCACCCCCATCCCACAGTTCTGCCTGGTTAACTCCTATGTGTTTGTTGTTGTTGTTGTTGTTGTTGTTGTTGTTGTTGTTGAGACAGGGTCTCACTCTGTCACCCAGGCTGGAGGGCAGTAGTGTGATCTTGGCCTACTGCAACCTCTGCTTCCTGGTGATCCTCCCACCTCATCCTCCTGAGTAGCTGGGACTACAGGCACACACTATCGCGCCTGGCTAATTTTTTTTGTATTTGTAGTGACGGGGTTTTGCCTTGTTGCCCAGGCTGGTCTCAAACTCCTGAGCTCAAGCAATCCACTGGCCTCAGACTCCCAAAGTGCTGGGATTACTGGTGTGTGCCACTGCACCCAGCACTCCCATTTATCTTTCAGGTCTCAACTTAATGTCACTTATTCACATGTTGACTGGCTGATTCCCTCAATCTGTGTTCTTAATTAAAAGCTCTGACCTTGCCCCCAGTGTTTCTGTTATACCACCCTTTTCTATTTCTTTAAAGCACTTACAATAATTTGTAATTAACCAATAAATAAATTTGTAACACCTTTGTCCCACACTAAATTTATAACACCTTTGTCCCACACTAAACATATATACTCCTTTAGGTCAGAGACTGACTTGTTGACTAATATGCCTGGCACATGGTATCTCCTCAGATATGTATTTGTTGGCTGAATGAATGAATGAGTCAATAAATGAATGGAGTTTGCCATCCCTACACCATGGTAAGCTCTAGACCCTCACAAAAGAATTTGCCATGGAAATTGCTAGATGAGGAAGACTTTCTTAACTTTTTCCATTTATTTATTTTGGGAGGAAGAAGAGATCATTGCTGTTCAGTTGTAAGTCCCCATTAGGAAACTGATCGTATAGGGGACTTAGACTTTTGTTTTTGATTACTTGGCTTAACCCCAAAGCCCTTTTGCTTCAGCATCACCAATATTGGGTCTCCTACTCTGAATGTGAATTTTGCCTTTCTGAATCACCTAACATGTAATACTATCTGCCTTCTCTCTTCTCCCTCTTATACCAAATCCTCTTCCTGAGACAAAGCAGACTGTATCAGTTATTGCCTTTTACTTCAAGTAATAGAAGCTCCAGCCCAAATTGGCTTAAACAATAAGAGGACATTTTACCTCATAAAATGTTAGGTCTAGAGGTAGGACAGGGGCCAGCCATGGCATACTAGAGCCACCCCTGCTTCTCTGGGATTCCCTTGGCTCTGCTCTCCTCTGTGTATTAAATTCTTCCTCGGGCTGGCACCAAGATGGCCCCACACTTCTGGGGACTATGTGCAGGTGCAACTATATTCAGCAGGAGATGGGGCTGGTCTCTCCCTGTGTGTTTCATTTTCTCAGAAGCTCTGCAGCATCTAATCACTGGCAAGGGGGATGTGGTGTTATTATGATTGTCTTTGACTAACGAGACTATTCCCTGAGTCACCCGGTGGAGTGATACTCACCAGAACAAAACCAAGTCTCTCAAAAAGAGAAGGGGGAGTGGGGAAAATGACTGGTGGCCAAACAACCACGAGAATTGGCTGCATATAAATTAATTTATAAATTACAAAATGCAGACAGCTGTATTTTTCCTGAGTATTTTTCAGGAACCTACTACATCATGACCATGGATCTTTCTTAAGGGATGAGATGGGGGATTTTTGGATTTTTGCATCTCTAACTCCATGCATAGAATCTGTGAGATATTAGTCACTGAATACATTTTTTTTTTTTTAGATGGAATCTCGCTCTGTCACCCAGGCTAGAGTGCAGTGGTGTGATCTTGGCTCACTGCGACCTCTGCCTCCTGGGTTCAAGCAATTTTCCTGCCTCAGCCTCTCAAGTAGCTGGGATTACAGGCGTGTGCTACCATGCCTGGCTGATTTTTGTATTTTTAGTAGAGATGGGGTTTCTCCATGATCAGCCTGGTCTGGAACTCCTGACCTCAGGTGATCTGCCCACCCGGACCTCCCAAAGTACTGAGATTACAGGCATGAACCACCGCACCCGGCCCTGAATACATTTTGTAAAAGAAATGTAAAAATGCCATATGTTTCCATGCCTTCTCAGTTTTAAAAAATTCCTCCCAAGACACTTTCTTCTCTCAACCCAAACTTTTTTTTTTTTTTTTTTTTTTTTTTTTTAGTATTTATTGATCATTCCTGGGTGTTTCTCGGAGAGGGGGATGTGGCAGGGTCATAGGATAATAGTGGAGAGAAGGACAGCAGATAAACACGTGAACAAAGTTCTCTGGTTTTCCTAGGCAGAGGTCCCTGCGGCCTTCCGCAGTGTTTGTGTCCCTGGGTACTTGAGATTAGGGAGTGGTGATGACTCTTAAGGAGCATGCTGCCTTCAAGCATCTGTTTAACAAAGCACATCTTGCACCGCCCTTAATCCATTTAACCCTGAGTTGACACAGCACATGTTTCAGAGAGCATGGGGTTGGGGGTAAGGTTATAGATTAACAGCATCCCAAGGCAGAAGAATTTTTCTTAGTAGAGAACAAAATGGAGTCTCCTACGTCTACTTCATTCTACACAGACACAGTAACAATCTGATCTTTCTTTTCCCCACATTTCCCCCTTTTCTTTTTGACAAAACCGCCATCGTCATCATGGCCCGTTCTCGATGTTCGCTATCTCTTCGGAGCTGTTGGGTACACCTGCAGAAAGGCTGTCACTTCACACTTGGAAGATTGCACAGCAGCCATGCAGAGGCGTTCGTCACCTCCCAGAAGGGGCGGCCGGGCAGAGGCGCTCCTCACTTCCCAGACGTGGCGGCCGGGCGGAGGGGCTCCTCACATCCCAGATGATAGGCGGCCAGGCAGAGACGCTCCTCACTTCCTAGACGGGGTGGCGGCCAGGCAGAGGCTGTAATCTTAGCACTTTGGGAGGCCAAGGCAGGCGGCTGGGAGGTGGAGGTTGTAGCGAGCCGAGATCACGCCACTGCACTCCAGCCTGGGCAACATTGAGCATTGAGTGAGCGAGACTCCATCTGCAATCCCAGCACCTCGGGAGGCCGAGGAGGGCAGATCAGGAGCTGGAGGTCAGGAGCTGGAGACCAGCCCGGCCAACACGGCGAAACCCCGTCTCCACCAAAAATACAAAAACTAGTCAGGCGTGGCAGTGCATGCCTGCAATCCCAGGCACTCAGCAGGCTGAGGCAGGAGAATCATGGGAGCCCGAGGCAGGGAGGTTGCAGCGAGCCGAGATCACGGCAGTACAGTCCAGCCTCGGCAACAGAGGGAGACCGTGGAAAGAGAGAGAGGAGAGAGGGAGAGGCAAACTGTTTTTTTAAGTAGCTTTTCAGGTTATGATTCAGAAAATAGTTAGCTACCAGGTGCAGTGCCTCACGCCTGTAATCCCATAATCCCAGCACTTTGGGAGGCCAAGGGAGGTGGATCACTTGAGACCAGGAGTTCGAGACCAGCCTGGGCAACATGGCAAAACTCCGTCTCTACGAAAAAAATACAAAAAGTAGCCAGACATGGTGGTGTGGATCAATTGAGCCCAGGAGGATGAGGTTGCAATTAGCTGAGATTGTGCCAATGCACTCCAGCCTGAGTAACAGAGTGACAACCTGTCTCAAAAAAAAAAAAAAAGCGAGAAAATATTTACCTATTTCTTAATGCTTCTGTGGTATTTAACTTTGGCTTAGGCACTCAATAAAAACTTGTTCAATTAATGTATATGTTTCAGACTCTGTGGACTTTATTTTACCTCCAGAGGTGAGGTGCTGAGAGGTACAGAAACTCTCTCATACACGCGGTCATGCACACTGCATAAAATTTAGAAAATGCAGAAAAGTACAAAGAAGAATATAATAAGATATCTATTCCACAACCTGGATAGATAGAAATAGGTACAGTTAACATACTTAGGACCTTTCTTTCTTCCTTCTTTTCCTTTCTTGTTATTTATTTATTTGGCAGGGATTTTCATTTTGGGATCTGATGAGACTCCTTAGGTCAGTAGTTTAACAAATACCATTTTTGCTGCTTTTAAATATTTAATTCTTTCTAAATTCATCTAGTTCACGACATAGTCAATAGCCAGTATTCCAGCACCAACTGTATTCTAGCCAGTGACCCTCAAGCGTGTGTTGCACAAGAATTACTTAGGAATTCCATTTACAGATTGTAATTTCACCACAAGCTTTCCCTTCCCCACCTCTCACTTCTTCAAATCCCACTAAAATGACAGTAGAGGAATAAAAACACATTAATCTACAATAATAAAGACAAAGAGAAGGGAGACACAATTAGAATTAGAGATTTCGACAAGTATTTGGACAAAGACACATGTTTGGAAGACGGAAAGTGGGTGAAGAAGTAGTAATTAACTTAGCAGAGAGGAACAGGTCAAAACCTAAGTGTAAAGATAGGGGCCAGTTGCCCTCAGAGATCCTTAAAGTGTCAACATTTGGGATATAGGAGGTGTCACTAAAGGATAGGTCAGGTGTGTAGGCTCAAAACATGGGAGATGTTTGAAAGTCTACACGTAAATAGACCCCAGGTTTTGTGGGTTTTGTTTTTTGTTTTGTTTTGTTTTTTAGAACGGAGTTTTGCTCTGTTGCCCAGGCTGGAATATGTTGGTGCCATCTCGGCTCACCACAACCTCTGCCTCCTGGGTTCAAGTGATTCTCCTGCCTCAGCCTCCCAGTTAACTGAGACTACAGGTGTACACCACCACACCCAGCTAATTTCTGTATTTTTAGTAGAGGTGGGGTTTCACCATGTTGGCCAGGCTGGTCTTGAACTCCTGACCTCAGGTAATCCACCTGCCTTGGCCTCCCAAAGTGCTGGTATTACAGGCATGAGCCACCACGCCTGGCTGACCCCAGGTTCCTTTCTGCACCTACCCTGCACGGCTGGACAACTGTCCCTCAGTGGACCAAAAGAGGAGAATCAAGTGAATGCTCAGCTCCTAGAGAAGTAGAATGGCAGCAGAGAAAAGCTCTCCAGACATTTACAGTTGGGAAAGTCCAGTGAAGAGATGGTTCACCGCTGGAGCATCTATTCATGAACTTCATAAATCAGTACTCCATACAGAGAACTTCAAATCAAGTGTTTGGGGTGTCATTCTTAAATATGAAGGGTAATCCAAGAATCACTAAACATTTGATGAATGCCTCCAAAATGGTAAGGAAAACACATACTTAGAACTAAGAGGGACCTGGAGAAGTGGAGACCATGCAAGGAGAAGGCAACTTCAAAAAAAACTATAATAGGCCAGGCATGGTGGCTAACACCTGTAATCTCAGCACTTTGGGAAGCTGAGGTGGGGGGATCACTCGAGGCCAGGAGTTCGAGACCAGCCTGGCCAACATGGTGAAGCCCCATCTCTATGAAAAATACAAAAATTAGCCAGGAGTGGTGGCACATGTCTGTAATCCCAGCTACTCAGGAGGCTGAGGCACAAGTATTGCTTGAAGCTTGCGGTAAGCTGAGATCATACCACTGCACTGCAGCCTGGGCAACAAAGCAAAACTCCATCTCAAAACAAAAAAAACAAAAAAAACAAAAAAAACCCCTATAATTGATTAATGTCAAAGAGACAAAAAGATATGTCTATAAAACAAATTGGAAGCCATGAAAAAGGAAAGCAAGACAGAGCTCTGAAAATTAAATATACAGTGATGTGAATAAAATAGAAGTTTCAGAAAGATTGGAGAAAACAGGGAACAAATCATCAAAGAAATAATAGAAGAAAATTTTCCAGAACTGAAGGATAGAGGTCCTCATATTGATAGGGCCCACCCAGAACAATTTAAAAACAAAACAATTTCAGGCACATCATCATCAAATTTCAGAACATCTTGGATAAGGAAAATAATTCTGGAATCTTCCAGAGAGAAAAAGCTGATCACAAAAAAAAAAATGGAATAGGACTCAGAAAAGCGTTAGAGTTATCACCAGCCACCCTTGATGATTGAAGATAATGGACTACAACCTAAAAAATTCAGAGGGAAAACTTTTTATCCTAGAATCCTTTATCAAAGTAAACTATAAATCAAGTCATAGAGAATACCCACATTTTCAGATGTACGAGGTCTTAAACATTACATCATCTGTGCATCCTTTCTTACGAAGCTGTTTAGCAAAATAGGGAAGTAAAACAAGAAAATAGAAGATATGGGAGAGAAGATGCAATGAAGAAAAGCAACAAGAAAATTCCTAAGGTTGTAGGAAGGGATGTCCCAGGATCTCTAAAACACAGTCAGGCCAGGGCTGGGTGTGGTGGCTCACGCCTATAATCCCTGCACTTTGGGAGCCTGGGGCAGGTGGATTACTTGAGGTCAGGAATTTGAGACCAGCCTGGCCAACATGGTGAAACGCCATCTCTACTAAAAATACAAAAATTAGCCAGAGAATCGCTTGAACTGGGAGGCAGAGGTTACAATGAGTTGAGATTGCACCACTGCACTCCAGCCTGGGTGACCGAGCGAGACTCCATCTCAAAGAAAAACAAAACAAAACAATCAGGCCAGAGAGGAGGGGGAGGGAAGAGGGCACCAGGAGTAGCTCAGAAAAATGGAACTTAAATGTTTGGGCATAAAAAACATCATTGTTGGCTAGGCGTGATGGCTCACGCCTGTCATCCCAGCACTTTGGGAGGCTGAGGCAGGCAGATCACTTGAGGTCAGGAGTTCAAGACCAGCCTGGCCAACATGGTGAAACCCTGTCTCTACCAAAAAGAAAAATATTAGCTGGGTGCTCTGGCACATGCCTGTAGTCCCAGCTACTCTGGAGGCTGAGACAGGAGAATTGCTTGAACTTGGGAGGCGAGGTTGCAGTCAGCCAAGATAGTGCTACTGCACTCCAGCCTGGGCAACAGAGTGTGTCTCTGTCTCAAAAAAAAAAAAAAAAAAAAAAAAAAAAGTCAATGATAAGTATATGCAAAGACACTGGAACACTGGGAAAAAATTAACAATAGGTAAATGGAAAACCAAACGATGCAATGTGGCAGTTACTAACTTCAGAAAAAAATGAAAGCTATGCAGGAAAAGAGGTTGTAATGCATTATCTGGCTCTGTGCAATACATTGTCTTAATAATTAATGTTGACTTGATTTAACAAAAAGTTATTATACAACTATACTGGGACATGGGGGAAGGAAAGTAAAGTTAGCATAGGGTAGTAAGATCCTACTGTTTATTCACCATGGCAGGAAGTCAATGGACAAGGACTAAAATTGGCTAGTCAAGACATAGTGACATGAGCATATAAATTTTTTAAGATATAGAGTAAAATATCAGTGAAATTAGCTAGAAAAGTTGAGGGTGGTAACCTGTAGGGCTGAGACTGGGTGTGGGAAAGATTGCAATAGGAGACTGTTGTTTTTTTGCTTTTTTTTTGAGACAGGGTCTTGCTCTATCTCTCAGAATGGAATTAAATGGTGCAATCATACCTCACTGCAGCCTCGACCTCCTGCGCTCAAGCGATCCTCCCACCTCAGCCATCCAAGTAGCTGGAACCACAGGCATGTACCACCACACCCTGCTAATTTTTTAAATTTTTTGGTAAAAATAGGGTCTCACTATACTGCCCTAGCTGTTCTCAACCTCCTGGTTCAAGCGATCCTCCCGCCTTGGGATTACAGGCATGAACCACTGCACCCAGCCTGACTATTGTTTTTTTTTTTTTAATTACAATCTTTTTAGTACTATTTGACTTTTAAAATGTTACACATGAATATGCTATTTGTGCATTCTTCTTTGATAAAAAATACAGTCTATCTTAAAATAATCTCATCTGTGGACACTGTTAAAAATCCTATTTCTGGGCCAATCTGGTAAATCTGCAGTGGTGCTCAGGAATCTGAACTTTTAACTAGAACTTCAAGAAATTTGGAAGCAGATGGTCTATGGATGATACTTTGAGAAACAGCACTTAGATCCCTCAAATTGTGTACAAAGTATTGTAGGAATGTGCAGCTTTTTGAAGAGAGTCCACAATTTTTCAGATTCTCTTGTGATGCCTCAAACCTAAACAAGTTTAAAAATTACTGTTCTCTGCCTCCTGCTTGCCTGCCTTTATCCAAGAATAATTGAGATTCCATTACTTATTTAAGATCAAAAGCAGAGCTAATTATTGTTAAGTGAGTTAAACACTTTATAAAATTCATTAAATGATACAGATTGGAAAGCATTGGCTAAATTTTTAGTCCATTGCTTAGTATATTGCTATGGTGAAAACCAGTGCATTACTACTTGCAATGTGTTGGCTAGAAATCTAGGGGCTTGAAAAAGTTAGTATGAATCCATTGTTACCTACCATGATGTTGACCAACCCTGTAGCTAAATTATATTCAGTTGAAAAAAAAGTTCGTATGTGGTTATTCAATAATTTTTAAATGGTTATAACTGCCACTTACAAGTACTATAGTCCAACTGGAAAAATTTAATGCAGGTATTTTGCCAATTGCATACATTTAGACAACACTTTAGTAATTTTATTGTGCAAGCCAGTCTCTACCAAACTTTTTCAACACTTAAAAAAGAAAATTTAGCTAGGTGCGGTGGCTCATGCCTGTAATCCCAGCACTTTGGGAGGCTGAGGCGGGCGGATTACCTGAGGTCAGGAGTTTGAGAACAACCAACATCAAGAAACCCCGTTTCTACAAAAAATACAAATTAGCCAGGCGTGATGGTGCATGCCTGTTATCCCAGCTACTCAGGAGGCTGAGGCAGGAGAATTGCTTGAACCCAGGAAGCGGAGGTTGCGGTGAGCTGAGATCACGCCATTCCACTCCAGCCTGGGCAACAAGAGTGTAACTCTGTCTCAAAAAAAAAAAAGAAAAAAAAAAGAAAAGAAAAAATAGCCACTAGGTGTTGCCACGTTGCCCAGGCTGGTCTCAAATCCCTGGGCTAAGCAACCCTCCTGCCTCAGCTTCCCAAGTAGCTGAGAGTAGAGGCATGTTCCATTATGCCCAGCTTTTTTCAACCTTTAAAAATTTGTTTTTGTCTTTATAAAACACTATAGGAGTTCGTAAGATGTAATTTGGATACATAGCAAAATGTAATTTTATTTTTGGCATGAAATCCAAAACGGAAGGTATTACATTTTGATTTATTTTTTATAAACCCTTATACATTAAGAAATTAGAGAAATTAAGTTTTATTTTTGTGGAAATAAAAAGTATAAAACATTTTTAAAAGAAGATGCATCACATAGAAAAGTACAAACCAGCAAGTGACAAGTTAATATTTGTTGAATGAACAGTAACATATAGTATGACCATTATTTGTATTTAAGCTGATTATGTAGTAATTCACATATCAGAGGTGCCTCATTCATATGTCATCTCTGACATTCTTAGGTGTGGCATACCATTTCTTAAAAGTAATAGCAATCCCATGCATAGCACTTACTATATCTCAAGCCTTGTTCTAAGCATTTTCCTTGTGTGTATCTCATATTTCCTTTAACCCTGGCAACAACCCTCTGAGAGAAGTAGTAGTAGTATTCCCACTTTTTTTTTTTTTAAGAGACAGGGTCTTGCTCTGTCACCCAGGCTGGAGTGCAGTGGTGCAATCATAGTTCATTGCAGCCTTGAACTCCTGGGTTCATGTGATTCTACCACCTTAGTTAGCCTCCTGAGTAGCTGGGATGACAGGCATACACCACCACACCTAACTTTAAAAAAAATTTTTTTTAGAGATGAGGTCTCAGTATGTCACTCAGGCTGGTCTCAAACTCCTGGGCTCAAGCAATCCTCCTGCCTCAGCCTCCCAAAGTGCTGGGATTACAGGTGTGAGCCACTGTGCCCAGCCTCAAATTTGTAATTCTTAAACATAAACAAAATTGCATTGTTCTCAATGACAGATGGAGCTAAATTTAATTTATTCACTCTTATGAATGAAGATTACACTGCAAGAATGAGACAGGTTCAATATTAATTTATATTTTTAATTTTTTAATAGTTGTAAATGCTAAGAAACCTTATTCACATAAATAAGTAGGTGAAAATGGAAGGAGTTTGTAGCAGCATATAATTATAATTTTTTGTTCCAAAATATATTTTTAAAAATCACCATATTCTCCCCATTTACTCTGATGTGATTATTATGCATTGAATACTATATAAAAGTATCTCAGCCAGGCGGGGTGGCTGATGCCTGTAATCTCAGCACTTTGGCAGGCCGAGGCAGGTGGATCACCTGAGGTCAAGAGTTCGAGACCAGCCTGGCCAACATGGTGAAACCCTGTCTCTACTAAAAACATAAAAATTAGCTTGGCATGGTGGCGGGCACCTGTTATCCCAGCTATTCGGGAGGCTGAGGCAGGAGAATCTCTTGAACCTGGGAGATGGAGGTTGCAGTAAGCCAAGATCGAGCCATTGCACTCCAGCCTGAGTGACAAGAGCGAAACTCTATCTCAAAAAAAAAAAAGTATCTCATGTACCCCATAAATATATACACCTATGTATGTATCCACAAAAATTAAAAATTGAAAACTGAAAAAAATCACCATATTCTATCATCAAAAATTATATTGGTGTCCAGCACATGAAAACTCCTTATTAAAAGTTAACATTAACTTCCAATTGTTTTTAAACAGACTTTCTATTCTTTTTTCAGTCTTTTTTAAAGCAGTTTCTGCATTGCTTTAATCATTATAGGTTTACAAGGTATTTTGATATCTGTTAGGGCAAATTTTTCACTTACGCTTTGTCATTTTTTTCCTGTTTTTCTAATTTAAATTTTTATTTTTAATTGACAATAATTGTATATATTCGTGGGGCACTATGTGGTGTTTTAATATTTGTATACATTATGGAATGATTATGTCAAGCTTATCCATCACCTCATATACTTTTTTGTAATTATAGCACTTAAAATATATATATTTTTGCAATTTTGAAATATACAATACATTATTATTAGCAATGGTCACTGAGCTGTGCAATACATCTCAAAAACTTATTCCTCCTAAGTTAAACTTTGTACCCTTTGGTCAACATCTCCCTGTCCCCATCCGACATTCTACCCCCGATCCCTGGTAACTGTACTCTCTGCTTCTATGAGATCCACTTTTTTAGATTCCACATAAAAGTGAGATCACATAGTATTTGTCTCTTTGTGCCTGGCTTATTTCACTTGCATAATGTCCTCCGTCTAGGTTTATCTGTGTTGCAAATGACAAGATTTCTTTCTTTTCTTAAGGCTGAATAGTATTCCATTGTGTATATATACCACATTTTCTTTATCCATTCCTATTGATGGACACTTAGGTTGATTCCATGTCTTGGCTATTGTGAATAGTGCTGCAGTGAACATGGGAGTGCAGACATCTTTTCAAAATACTGATGTCAGTTCTTTTGAATATATACCTGGAAGTGGGATTGCTGGCTATTCTCTTTCAAAAAAATTTTTTTGGCTTATAGATATCTTTCCTAGTAGATTTTATGATTGACTTGTCAAGTTCTAAAAATTTGAGTTGGAGTATTTATTAAAATAAATTAAATTTTAGGTTAATTTCAACATATTTGATACCATTCCATACTGATTCTTCTCACCCAGGAATCCAGTAAGTCTCTCCATTTTACAAGCCTTTTCTCATGTCCCACAATAATGTTTTATAGTTTTCTTTTCATGGATTTCACATATTTCTTTTTGAATTTACAATCACATGTATTTTAGTTACTTTAAATGTATTTTTTATTTCTCCTCCCTCTCTCTCTTCCTTCCTTCCTTTTTTCTTTTCTCTTTCTTTCTCTCTTGTCATCCCAAATAGACTGTAAACTCTTGTAGGATTGGGAATGGATTGCCCTTATAACCTCGTAAGTGCCTAGGATAAAGCCATGCTAGACTGGTTGCTAAGGAAAGAAATACTTGTTGAATAAATAAATAAATGAAAGGCTTGATTCATAAACTAGAAATGCAACAAGAAGAATCTGGGGGCTTCGCCAGGAAAAGCCTCAAAAGAATTACAATCCCTCACAAATGGATAATAAATTGTGGCTTGGTTATTCCATAGGCCAGATCTAAAGAGAAAAAAATGACTTGGTTGTTAGACAAATTCTCCCAATGTGGATTCGCTCAGAGAAGATCCAGAGGAGGTAAATATATGCTTCTGATTTCTTCAGACTTTGAGAAAAAATGCCAACTTTTTCTACCTGTGAGGCCCTTTGAAGCACTATTTCCATTGAATAATAAACAAAAATTTTCTTTTAAAAAGGATGTATGCCTCCTGAATGTTACCGATTTAAGTTGCCTTTTAAATAAGAAATGTGGGCTGGGTGCAGTGGCTCACACCTGTAATCCCAGCATTAGTAGAGACGGGTTTCACCGTATTGGCGAGGCTGGTCTCAAACTCCTGACCTTGTGATCCACCCGCCTCGGCCTCCCAAAGTGCTGGGATTACAGGCATGAGCCACTGCGCCCAGCCCACATTTCTTATTTAAAAGGCAATTCAAATCTGTAACATTCAGGAGGCATACATCCTTTTTAAAAGAAAATTTTTGTTTATCCTTGTATTATTCAATGGAAATAGTGTTTCAAAGGGCCTCACAGGTAGAAAAAGTTGGTATTTTTTCTCAAAATCTGAAGAAATCAGAAGCATATATTTATCTCCTCTGGATCTTCTCTGACCAAATCCACATCTACATGATGTTGGTCCTGGAGATGGGATGAAGGTTCCTTTCGCACCTCATTTTCACTTTTGAACCACTCCTCCTCCCTAAAAATCTCCAGCTTTGAATCTCATGGCATCAGTTTATACCACCTACTAACCCTCATAGTCACTTGCCCTCATTTCTCAGATGTTAGCAGCTCAGTGTGGGGTCACTTTCTCCAACAGTACACATAGCATAATTCTAAGTAATTTTAATATCCAAAATGGTCAGCTTTCATGTCTTAGCCTCAATTTTTTCACCTCCCTTCTTCTTGTGATTGGACCTTTCACCCTGTATCAGCCACTCACTGTGAGATCATACCCTAGACTTTGACATAGTCAGTAACAGTAACTCCATATTCCCCATGCCCAGCATTCTCCATGTCTCATACCCCTACCCCAGCCATTCTTTCACTCCATTGAGGTCTACCATCCCTGATTCTACTACCTTTACTCTATGCCTCCTGATTTTCAGATTCTCTCATTCCTTGTTGCTTAGTATATATCCGTTGGTCAACTGTAATCACTCCCTAGCAGACAGTTATAGTTGTCCACAAAAATCCATCCTCTGCTTTCTCAAAAGTGATAGAATTGTAGCTAAGCACATAGCTAACCATACATATGGCATTTCCTGGGCTTTCTTGCATTTAAGTGTAGCAATCAGACTAAAATTTTGCCAGTGGAATATAAACCGAAGTAATATGTGGCACCTGCAGGCTAGGCCCTTAAAGCAAGGGATTCCTCTTCAAGCTCTTCTTCCCCCTCCTGGTAAATGGTAAAGGATGTGTCTGCCAACCAGTTTCTATGATCCAAATGAGGAAAATGCACTAGGATGTGGAAGAGAAACAAGATGGAAAGACGGATCCCCAGTCCCTAAATGATTCTTTGAAGATGAGACCCAGTGACCTGAAATGGTCACTTCTGACTGTTGCTTGAAGTAGAAATAAATATCTGACTTAAGTCTCAGAATTAATGTTGGGTTGCTTTGTTATAGCAATCTAGCTTTGTTCTAAATAACACAACTCTCAACTTATTTGGTGCTCTCTCACTTGCTAATACTAGCATGGAAAAACCACAACCCTGGTTAAAACTCTATCTCTTCCTCACATGCATTCATCTATGGAGTCTGGCCGGAGAAAACTCTTGATGATTAGATTCTTGGCCACCAAATTCCAGTATGATTTTAATGCTGCCTAGCAATCATACCATATCTTTCTAGCACCTTCACTTCCCACCCTCCTAGACAAACAATTTTTGCCCTTTTTCAGACCTCCAACACTTTGTCCCCCAACCTCACTCTTCACGGATAACCAGCATCTGTTTCATTAAGGGAACTGAGGCTTCAGAAGAGAATTTCAACCACCTCTTCTTTCCCTACCCTCTCACATCTGTGCCCATGTTTTAGTCCATTTTGTGCTGCTGTAAAAAAAAATACCTGAGACTGGGTAATTTATAAAGAAGAGAAATTAATTTTCTCGCAGTTCTGGAGACTGGGAAGTTTAAGGCACCAACAGTTTTGGTTGTCTGGTGAGAGCTGTTCTCTACTTCCAAGATGGCACATCATCTGAAGAGATGCAGGCTGTGTTCTCACATGGTGGAAGGCAGAGGGGCAAGTGAGCCGAATGCTGCATGAAGCCTCATTTATAAAGGGCTTTAACCCACTCATGAGAGAGGAGCCCTTGTGGCCTAATCATCTGTTAAGGCCCCAGCTCTGAGTACTATCACATTGACAACACCTGAATTTTGGAGGGGACACATTCAAACCATAGCAGCCAATATTCTGTCTTGCCTCGCCTCCCGTTATTGTGGATATAATGTCCTGTACTCCTATTTACGACCAGCACTTCCACATTTGCACCAGCTCTCATCCCTTCTTGGCTATTCAAAGACATTTCTCCAAAGAGTCTCCTTTCTCCCCCCACATCATCACATTAAACCGGGTGTGGTGGCTCATGACTATAATTCCAACAACTTGGGAGGCTGAGGTGGGAGGATGGCTTGAGCCCAGGAGTTTGAGATCAGCCTGGGCTACATATCAAGACCTCCATCTCTAAAAATAAAAAGAACTATTTAAAAAATGTTTGGCCTGGCATGGTGGCTCACACCTGCAACCTCAGCACTTTGAATGGCTGAGGTGAGTAGATGGCTTGAGCCCAGGAGTTTGAGACCAGCCTGGACAACATGGTGAGACTCCGTCTCTATAAAAAAAATTTATAAATTAGCTGGGTGTGGTGGTGCACACTTGTAGTCCCAGCTATTCGGGATGCTGAAGTGGGAAAATCGCTTGAGCCCGGCAGGTTGAGGCTGCAGTGAGTCATGATCGCGCCACTGCACTCCAGCCTGGGAAACTGAGTAAGACCCTGTCTCAAAAAAACAAAAAACAGTCCCTCTGATGCCGAGCCGAAGCTGGGCTGTACTGCTGCCATCTCGGCTCACTGCAACCTCCCTGCCTGATTCTCCTGCCTCAGCCTGCCGAGTGCCTGCGATTGCAGGCGCGCGCTGCCACGCCTGACTGGTTTTCGTATTTTTTTGGTGGAGATGGGGTTTCGCTGTGTTGGCCGGGCTGGTCTCCAGCTCCTAACCGCGAGTGATCCGCCAGCCTCGGCCTCCGGAGGTGCTGGGATTGCAGACAGTGTCTGGTTCACTCAGTGCTCAATGGTGCCCAGGCTGGAGTGCAGTGGCGTGATCTCGGCTCGCTACAACCTCCACCTCCCAGCCGCCTGCCTTGGCCTCCCAAAGTGCCCAGAGTGCAGCCTCTGCCCGGCCGCCACCCCGTCTAGGAAGTGAGGAGCATCTCTGCCTGGCCGCCCATCGTCTGGGATGTGAGAAGCCCCTCTGCCTGGCTGCCCGGTCTGGAAAGTGAGGAGCGTCTCTGCCCGGCCACCATCCCATCTAGGAAGTGAGGAGCGTCTCTGCCTGGCCACCCATCATCTGAGATATGGGGAGCGCCTTTGCCCCGCTGCCCCGTCTGGGAGGTGAGGAGCATCTCTGCCCAGCCGCCCCATCTGAGAAGGGAGGAGACCCTCCGCCCGGCAACCGCCCCGTCTGAGAAGTGAGGAGCCCCTCCACCCGGCAGCCACCCCGTCTGAGAAGTGAGGAGCCCCTCCGCCCGGCAGCCACCCCGTCTGGGAAGTGAGGAACGTCTCCGCCCGGCAGCTGCCCTGTCCGGGAGGGAGGTGGGGGTCAGCCCCCGCCAGGCCAGCCGCCCCGTCCGGGAGGGAGGTGGGGGGATCAGCCCCCCGCCCGGCCAGCCGCCCCGTCCGGGAGGGAGGTGGGGTGTCAGCCCCCCGCCCGGCCAGCCGCCCCGTCCGGGCGGGAGGTGGGGGGTCAGCCCTCCGCCCGGCCAGCCGCCCCGTCCGGGAGGGAGGTGGGGGGGTCAGCCCCCCGCCCGGCCAGCCGCCCCGTCCGGGAGGGAGGTGAGGGGGTCAGCCCCCCGCCTGGCCAGCCGCCCCGTCCGGGAGGTGAGGGGCGCCTCTGCCCGGCCGCCCCTACTGGGAAGTGAGGAGCCCCTCTGCCCGGCCACCACCCCGTCTGGGAGGTGTGCCCAACAGCTCATTGAGAACGGGCCATGATGACAATGGTGGTTTTGTGGAATAGAAAGCGGGGAAAGGTGGGGAAAAGATTGAGAAGTCGGATGGTTGCGGTGTCTGTGTGGAAAGAAGTAGACATGGGAGACTTTTCATTTTGTTCTGTACTAAGAAAAATTCTTCTGCCTTGGGATCCTGTTGATCTGTGACCTTACCCCCCAACCCTGTGCTCTCTGAAACATGTGCTGTGTCCACTCAGGGTTAAATGGATTAAGGGCAGTGCAAGATGTGCTTTGTTAAACAGATGCTTGAAGGCAGCATGCTGGTTAAGAGTCAACACCACACCCTAATCTCAAGTACCCACGGACACAAACACTGCGGAAGGCCTCAGGGTCCTCTGCCTAGGAAAACCAGAGACCTTTGTTCACTTGTTTATCTGCTGACCTTCCCTCCGCTATTGTCTTATGACCCTGCCAAATCCCCCTCTGTGAGAAACACCCAAGAATGATCAATAAAAATAAAAATAAAAAAGAAAAGAAAAAAAATAAATAAATAGCAATGTATTCCCCTGAAAAAAACAAAACAAAACAAAACATTTTTTTTTGAGCATACACAAAGGTAGAGAGACAGGATAATGAGCCTTGTATATCCTTAGCCAGTTTCAACCATTAGAAACATTTTATCAATCTTATGTCATTTACTCTTTTTCCCTACATTTTCTAAAGTTTTTTTTTATTTTGACAACCTTGCCTTTGTCTGTTTTCTAAAGTATTTTAAAGCAAATCCCAGACATCATATTATTTTGCCTATAAATACATGGCCGGGTGCAGTGTCTCACGCCTGTAATCCCAGCACTTTGGGAGGCTGAGGCAGGCGGATCATCAGGTCAGGAGATCGAAACCATCCAGGCTAACAAGGTGAAACCCCGTCTCTAATAAAAATATAAAAAATTAGCCGGGCATGGTGGTGGGTGCCTGTAGTCCCAGCTACTCGGGAGGCTGAGGCAGGAGAATGGCGTGAACCTGGGAGGCGGAGCATGCAGTGGAGCCGAGACTGCGCCACTGCACTCCAGCCTGGGCAACAGAGTGAGACTCCGTCTCAAAAATAAATAAATAAATAAATAAATAAATAAATAAATAAATACTCCAATACACATCTCTAACAGATAATGACTTTTACAAATGTCAATCACAACAGCAATGATCATATCTAACAAACCTAAATATACAGCTAGGTTTTAAATTTCCTAGATTGTTTCAAAAAACTTCTCGTTTATGTAGATTTGCTCAAATCAGCCTTTAAACACATTGTATTTGGCTGGTATGTTTTTTAAGTCTTTTGTCATCTCTAACAGTATTCCTCCCCCATGTTTTCATGCCATTTATATGACTTATTTTTAAAAAACAGATCATTGTTTCCTGTAGAAGTTCCTACATTCTGGATTTGGCTGCTTGCATCCTCATGGTTTTGTTTAACATGTTCATCTTTCTTCCATATTTCCTGTGTATTGGTAGTTATATCTAGACACTTGATTCTCTTCTCTCTTGAATTCACTCCACTCACGCTTTCACCATGTTGGGGCTCAGAACAGGATCCCCCAAAGTATGGCACTTTGCCATGCTATGTATTTGGAATGAAAGGAGATTTCAAGGCCTCAGAAGCAAGGTCTCTCTGACATTCTTCTATTCTCCTGTCTCTCACCCCATTTTCTCCCCAAAAGCAAATCATGGAAATCAGAATTCTCTTCCCCAAGGTGGTTCACAGAAATGAGAACTCCTGTCCCAAAAGCAAGCCATAAAACCTAGACAGGTTACGCTCTCCCTTCCTCCTTCTCTCTTCTCCCTAGAAGACCCTCGCTCCAGAGGGGTCCTGCCCCCCACCAGAGAGGAAGAAACGTTACGCAGAGAGACCAAGAAAAATCTGAACAGAGAGGACTTGCTGGATATCCCCTCTTAGCCTGTTACTATTAGAGCATACACTTTTTGTCTGTAAACACATTTCTACATGGCTGTCCATTCTTTGTTGAATCTACACATAAAAATAGTTCCCCCAGGATTTTAGGGCTTCATTTCTGAAGCCTCTTGTGTTATGTAAAACTTTG
Source organism: Homo sapiens (assembly GCF_000001405.40). NCBI lineage: Eukaryota > Metazoa > Chordata > Mammalia > Primates > Hominidae > Homo > Homo sapiens. The sequence continues at coordinate 158,744,215 of NC_000004.12, read as the reverse complement.
ATTATATGAATCTGTTATGCTTTTCTCTTGTTAACCTGCGTTTTGTTATAGGAATGTCAGCTGTGACCCTTATGATGGGGAGGAAAGGTACCACCTTCCTCTTCCTGCAACTACAACTGTTGCTCTAAAGCTATGTGTGTCTTCAAGTTTGTTAGTGACCTGTGTTGCTAACTCTAATGGTCTCAACCCTCATCTTCCCCAATCCATCAGCAGTATTTGACACTATCGATCACTTTCTCCGCATTGGTGGGTTTCATTATTAGGCTTACAGGACACCACACTTTCGTTGTTTTACTTTTACCTCATTTTTTGCTCCCTGTCAATCTCTTTTCCTGCTGGCTCCTCTTTATGATTCCTACCTCTAAATGGTGGCATGCTCTCGGATTAGTTCTTATTCTCTTTTCCTCTGCATCTGCATTGACTCCATGGTGACCTCATCTAGTTCCCAGGCTTTAATAACTATTTTTACATGCTGAATTCCGGTTTTGGGGTTTGTTGTTGTTGTCGTTTTGAGACAGGGTCTCACTCTGTCACTCAGGCTGGAGAGCAGTGGCATGGTCATGGGGCTCACTGCGGCTTCGACTTCCTAAAGCTCAGATGATCTTTCCCCCTCAGCCTCCCAAGTAGCTGGGACCACAGGTGAGTGCCACCATGCCTGGCTAATTTTTGTATTTTTTGTAGAGATGGGGTTTTTTCATGTTGCCCAGGTTGGTCTCAAACTCCTGGGCTCAAGTAATCGGCCCACCGTAGCCTCCCAAAGTGCTGGGATTACAGGCATGAGCCACCATGCCTGACCCCTGTAAGGGCTGACTTCTTAATTTGTAGCTTCAGCCTAGATCTCACCCAAGAAATCAGAATTCATGTAACCAAACTGTTTCTTTGATATATCCATTTGAATGTCTAAAAAGCATCTCAGGTTGATCACATTAATCATTTAACACCTGACTTCCTTCCAAATCATTGCTTCATTTCAGTTGATGGCAACTCTGTCTTTCCAGTTTTTCAGGCCAAAAATCTTACAGTCATTCTAGACTCTTTCTTTCTCTCTACCCATATCCAATCTGTTGGCAAATTCAGGTGACTCTGCTTTCAAAATATACCCCAAATCTGGCCATTTCTCACCACCTCTACTACTGTCATCTTGATTCAGTTCACTGCCACCTCTTGCCTCATACCGTAGCCTCCTAACTGTTCTCTCCTCTGTTCTTTTCACAGCAGTAAAGTGGTCTTTGAGAAATGTAGTTTACACAAGGTCACTCCTCTGCTCACAATGCCCCAATGATTTTCTATCTGCTTAGAGTAAAAGCTGAAGACTTTAAGATGACTTAGTAGACCCTCCACGTCCTGCCCTACTAATATTTCCCTGACACATCTCCCAGTATTCTCGTTCATCACTTATTCCACTCCAGCCACTCTTGTTTCTAGCATATGCCTCACACTGTTCTCAACTTGGGCCTTAGTATTTGGTGTTCTTCCTGGGCTGTTCTTCCCTGAACCTTCCTCAGCTCCTTCAGGTTTTGTCCTTTCCCAACCACCCTCTTTAAAACTACATTCCCCTAAAAGTACAAGTGAGGAATCAATAGGCATAGCATTTGTGTTTCTTTTTGATTTTTATTATTACTTTTCTCAATCTTCCCATTCTTTGCAGCATTTGTGTTTTGATAAATATTGCCAAATTACTGTCACCAATAATGTATGAGCATGTAAGTTTCCCCCATAGATTGACCAACTGAGGCTACTAACTGTTGAATTTTTGACAATCACCGTGTAGTTTTAACTGGCATTCCTTATGAGGGAGTTTGAGAGCCATTTTTATTTCCACGTCTGAAAACTGTAAGCACATATCCCAGGCTCACTTTTCTAAGGATGTTGGTGTTTCTCTTATTTGTAGAAGCTCTTTGTACATTAGGGAAATGAACACTTTGACTGTGATATGAGTTGGAATAAAATTTTCCTGGTTTGTCATTTGTCTTTGACTTTGTTTATGGTGGGTTTTTCTACGCAGAATTTTTTTTAATTGGAAGTCTAATTTATTCATATTTTCTTTTATGTGTTCTGAGTATTATATTTTAAAAGTCCTCTCCCACCTGAGATATATATACATATTTTTTTCATGAAACTTTTAAACATATATATATCTTTTTATCTATCTGGAATTCATTTTGGGACAAGGTGTGAAGTATACTTCTAACTTTAATTTTTTTCCCATATGGCCACCCATGTGTCTCCATACCATTTTTTGGATACTCCACTGTTTTCTCCATTGACATGAAATGCAGAATGAAAGGCAGAATTTAATGGTTGTGAGCTGAAGTTGAGGTACCAGCATTTTCTCTTTGTGAAACCTGTTCTGGCAGAGCCCTTCTGCATGCCACTGAGAGCTGCAAACAAGTCAAACCTGTAAAGTGCTGAAAGCCCACACCCAGAAAATGCATGGATAATGTCTCCAAATTGTAGCTTGAGATGTTGTGAGCACATGATTCTGATATAATTAGTTCTCCACCCCACGCACATTCTCTCCAATACTGTCAAAGGGTGGCAAAGAATAGTCACATAGTTTTTGGTTGGTTGTTTTGCAGACTGATTCCATCTACATTTGATGAAGGCCACACCTTAATATTTGCAAATCATCTTGAACTATGGATAACAAAGGTGCTACTGCAATCCTCACGTTATCTTTTAGGTTTCCAGAATGTTGTGATTGCAGCATTCTAGTTAAGCATCCATCTGTGCTTCACTAACTGAAACAGAGCCACTGGGTATGGAGAATGAAGGCTGAAGCTTTCGGGGATGGGATACAACTTTCAAATTGGTGATATCATATGAGACCATTATAGGGAGTTCACCTGGCATCTGTCTACTAGGCTGTTTTTTAAACTAGGACACACATCTATTGTTCAGTGATAATTATACTGATAAGGACACAAAGAGGCTGTAAAATCCTGCTGAACTATCTGAAATAGTTTTGTATCATTAAAGGTAATTATGAGAAATGCAATTTACATTTAAAAGCTATTTGACGGTATTTCTTAATGAAAGTACTTAGTGGTTAGGAGTTTTTTTCAAGACACAAACAGGAGTGCAATCTGGATTCTTCTACTTTTTCTCTGAATGACTTTAGCTAGTTACCTAACCTCTGTAAGCCTTAATTTTCTCATATGTAAAATGGTGATAATAATAGTACTTACTATTATAGAGATTAGTGAGAAAATCTATTTAGAACATAAGTGCTAAGGCATTTCCACTGAATCTTATTAGCAAAGATCAAAAAGTTTAAAAATACATTTGTTGGTAAGAGTCTGGTGGAGATATGTACTCTCATACATTGCTTGGGGGAGTGTAAATTAGTGTAGCCATTACATAAGACAGTTTGGCAATACTTATCAAAAAATTAAAGCCCACATACTTTATTTTTTAATTGTATGTATGTATGTATGTATGTATATTTGAGACAGGATCTCACTCTGTTGCGCAGGGTGCAGTGCAGAGGCATGGCTCACTGGAACCTCAACCTCTCGGGCTCAAGTGATCCTCCCATCTCGACCTCCCCAGTAGCTGGGACTACAGGCATGCACCACCATGCCCGGCTAATTTTTGTATTTTATGCAGAGATGGAATTTCACCATGTTGTCCAGGCTGGTCTCCAACTCCTGGGTTCAAGAGATCTGCCCACCTCAGACTCCCAAAGTGCTGGGATTATAGGCATGAGCCACTGTGCGTGGCTCACATACGTACTTTACAACCAGCAATTCTTCTTGCTAGAATTTCTCAAACAGATGTACTTGTAAATGAGTGAATTGATACCTATATGTGGATATTTATTGTAATACTGTTATGGTAGGGAAAGTATGGAAACAACCTAAATCTCCATCTATAAGGGGCTGCTTTGATGGACTTATGCAATCAAACACAGGTTGAAAATCCCTTATCCAAAATTCTTGGGAACAGACATGTTTCAGATTTTGGATATTTTTGGATTTCAGAATATTTGCATATACATGATGAGATATCTTTGGATTTCAGAATATTTGCATATACATGATGAGATATCTTTGGATTCAAGTCTAAACACAAAATTCATTTATATTTCATGTATACTCTATACACATAGCCTGAAGGTAATTTTATACAATATTTTTAACAGTTCTGTGCATGAAACAAATTTTCACTGTGTTTTGACTGCAACCTGTCACATGAGGCCAGGTGTGGAATTTTCCACTTGTGGCATGTGAGCCCTCAAAAAGTTTTGGATTTAGGGAGCATTTCAGCTTTCAGATTTTTGGATTAGAGATACTCAATGCTATGGTTTGGAAGTTTGTTCCGCTAGACCCTTGTTGACATCTGATTCCCAATGTTAGAGGTGGAGCCTAATACAGGGTGTTTGGGCCTTGGCAGTGGATCCCTCATGAATGGATGAATCCCCTCCCACCTCCTAGGGGAGAGGAGTGGATCAATTTTCACTCTATTAGTTCCCACAAGAGCTGTTTGTTAAAAAGAGCCTGGCACCTCCTCTTTCGCTCTTGATCTCTGCACACAGCAGCTCCCCTTCACATTCTTCTATGAGTGCAAGCAGCCTGTGGCCCTTACCAGATGCAGAATCACAATCATGAACTTTTTCAGACATCACAATCATGAGCCAAATAAACCTTTTTTCTTTATAAATTACCCAGCCTCTAGGCACAGTGGCTTATGCCTGTACTTCCAGCATTTTGGGGGGCTGAGGCAGGTGAATCGCTTGAGCCCAGGAGTTCAAGATGAGCCTGGGCAACAAAGTGAGACCCTGTCTCCACAAAAATAAAAAAAATAAAAAAAGTTAGCTGGTACGATGGTACACACCTGTGGTCCCAGCTACAAGAGAGGCTGAGGCAGGAGGATTGCTTGATTCTGGGAGGTAGAGGCTGCAGTAAGCCATGATCATGCCACCGCACTCCAGCTTGAGTGACAAAGTGAGACCTTGTCTAAAAAAAGTTAAAAATAAATTAAAAATAAATAAATAAAATATATTACGCAGCCTCAGGTTTTTCTCTATAACAACACTAAACAGACTAAGACACTCAACTTGAACCATGCCAGAAAAAAGAATGAGGAAACATTTATGTTATGACAAGGGGTACTGCCAAGATACAGTGTTAATTAGAAGAAGCAAAGTATAAAACAGTGCAAAAATGAGTGACAAGTAGATGATACATGTACATATTTGCTGCATAATCACAGAAAATGGTAGCGCTGAATTTCTCTAAAGCTTGAATTTGGGTAGTTGAGTGGCCAAGAAAATTTTCACTGTGTATTCCTTTTCATCTTTTGATTGTATTTTGTGAATGTGTAGCTTTTTAAAAAATAAAATGGGCCAGGTACAGTGGCTCATGCTACTTTGAGAGGCCGAGGTAGGAGGATCACTTGAGTCCAGGAGTTTAAGATCAGCCTGAGCAACAAGGTGAGACCCCCATCTCTGCAAAAAATTAAAATATTAGCCAGGCATTGGGGAACACGCCTGTAGCCCCAGCTATTCGGGAGGCTGAGGCAGGAGCATTACGTGAGCCCAGGAGGTCCAGGCTGCGCTTCAGCCTGGGTGACAAAGTGAGACCCTGTCTCTAAAAAATAAGTACGTAAATAAATAAAATAAAATAAAACATATATAAAATATATGGAACACTCATGATACAGGGTAAGCATGGAATAAATGTTAACACTTATTTTAAATGTTTACTTAATGATAATGATTATCTTCCACTAAAATAAAGATATCCAGAGACTAAAAAAAAATACCTGTTTAAAAATTGAAATACTAGGCCAGATGCAGTGGCTCACACCTGTAATCCTAGCACTTTGGGAGGCCGAAGGAGGAAGATCACATGAGCCTAGGGTTTGAGGCTGCAGTGAGTTATGGTACTACTATTGCACTCCAGCCTGAGTGGCAGAGACCCCGTCTCAAAAAAAAAAATTATGATATATAAGTAATTTTAAACAATTGGTCTTAGTTTTAAGTTATAAGGGCATTTTTTGGGGGGACGCATGAAGTCCTACAATCTGGTCCTTTATCATTTACATCTCTAATAAAGGTATTAAAATACCCAGTAATTTTAAAAAATCTACTTATATGCAAAGAATATGACTAGAAGGAAAAGTTTTCATATACAAATGAAAATTTCTCATGATTTAGTCTTTGAGCCATTGGAGGTTTGGTAGATAATAGATGTCATTTAAACTTCTCTCAAACATTACCAGATTTTGAAAAATGAATAAAAATATTGAACATATTTTAGATAGATTTATTTATATATAGTTGTGTTTTGTTTGTAGTCCTGAGCTTTGAGCAAATCTGGATAAACTGAGAAAAAATGAAAAATGAAGAATTTATTTCCATTTGTGTTTTCTTTCTTTTCTTTTCTTTTTTTTCTTTTTTTTTTTTTTTTGAGATGGAGTTTCACTCTGTTGCCTAGGCTGGAGTGCAGTGGCGCGATCTTGGCTCACTGCAACCTCCACCTCCCAGGTTCAAGCGATTTTCCTGCCTCAGGCTCCTGAGTAGCTGTGACTACAGGCATGCGCCACCATGCCCAGCTAATTTTTGTATTTTTAGTAGAGATGGGGTTTCACCATGTTGGCCAGGCTGGTCTCGGACTCCTGACCCCAAGTGATCCACCCACCTCAGCCTCCCAATGTGCTGGTACTACAGCCATGAGCCACCGCACCAGGCTCTTCCTTTCTCCCTCCCTCCCTCCCTCCCTCCCTCCCTCCCTCCCTCCCTTCCTTCTTTACTTCCTTCCTTCCATCCTTTCTTTTCTTTCTTTATTCCTCCCTCCCTTCCTTCCTTCAATCCTTTCTTTTCTTTCTTTATTCCTCCCTCCCTTCCTTCCCTCCCTTCCTTCCCTCCTTTCCTTCCCTTCCTTCCCTCCCTTCCTTCCCTCCTTCTCCTTCCCCTTCCACTTCCCCTTCCCTTTCCCCTCCCTTACGACAGATCTCACTATGTTGCCCAGGCTGGAGTGAGTGGCTACTCACAGGTGCCATTATAGCGCACTGCAGCCTTGAACTCCTGGCCTCAAGTGGTCCCACCTCAGCCTCCTGAATAGCTGGAACTACAGGTGCACACCACCATGCGTCACTTCTTTTCCCATTTGACTTATATGTATTTAGGCCATCAGGCTGTTCTAGCCTTTTTTTTTCCAATAAGCTACACATGTAGGTTTCTCACTTTTGTTAGATATTCCATTATTAACATTCTATTTTGTTCTCTCTTACACTTGGTAATAACAGGTTCACTTATTTTATCGGTTTTTAATTTCTTAGACAGAAACATTGATATGGTTTGGCTGTGTCGCCAACCAAATCTCATCTTGAATTGTAGTTTCCATAATCCCCACATGTTATGGAGAGAATTGAATCATGGAGGTGGTTTCTCCCATCCTGTTCTCGTGGTAGTGAGTTATTTCTCACAAGATCTGATGGTTTTATAAGGGGCTTGCTTCCCCCTTAGCTAGGCATTCATACTTCTCCTTGCTGCCGTCATGTGAAGAAGGATGTGTTTGCTTCCCCTTCCACCATAACTGTAAGTTTCCTGATTCCTCCCCAACCATGCTGAACTGTGAGTCAATTAAACCTCTCTCCTTTTTTTTTTTTTTTTTTTTTTTGGAGAGATGGAGTCTCACTCTGCTGCCCAGGCTGGGTTCAGTGTCACAGTCATAGGTCACTACAGCCTTGAGCTCCTGGGCTCAAGTAATTCTCCCACCTCAACCTCCCAAGTAGCTGGGACTATAGGCATCCACCACCACACCTGGCTAATTTTTGTATTTTTAGTAGAGATGGGGTTTTACCATGTTGGCCAGGCTGGTCTTGAACTCCTGGTCTCAAGTGACCCACCCACCTCGGCCCCCCAAAGTGCTGCGATTACAGGCTTGAGCCACCACACCTGGCCAAACCTCTTTCCTTTATAACCTAGCCAGTCTCGCTGGGCGCAGTGGCTCACGCCTGTAATCCCAGCACTTTGGGAGGCCAAGGCGGGTGGATTGCCTGAGGTCAGGAGTTCGAGAACAGCCTGGCCAACATGGTGAAACTCCATCTCTACTAAAAATACAAAAATTAGCCAGTGTGGTGGCATGTTCCTGTAGTCCCAGCTACTTGGGAGGCTGAGGCAGGAGAATCACTTGAATCCGGAGGGCGGAGGTTGCAGTGAGCCAAGATGGCACCACTGCACTCCAGCCTGGCAACAGAGAGAGACTTCGTCTCCAAAAAAAAAAAAAAAAAAAAAATTACCCAGTCTCACGGATGTCTTTTTTATTAGCAGCGTGAGAATTGACTAATATAAACAGTTTTTAGGGCTTGTTACCTCTATGATGTTAGCATGTGTCCCTCTAGACTCTAATCTTGTAGCCTAGTATTTTCCAACATTTAATTTATTAAAACATTTGATTTATTAAATCAAATAGCACATCTCCTATGAAATTGTTAGAAACCTGCAAAGTTGGATAGCCCAATTTTTCTCCCATGATTCTTAATGCTACCTCCATTTTATAACACATTTTATAATGCTCTGTCTCTTTCAGTAAACACTGAACTCTTCAAAAGCAGCAGCACTGTTTTTCACTGTTATAACTATGTGCACAGCCCAACATGTATTAGGTACTCAATAATATCTGCAGAATAAAGACTTATTTTTCCCAGTAGATATGTTACATCCTAATGAAATTACTTCAGCAAATATTATCACTATATTGTAATATTAGGGTATTTTAATTCAATATAAAAGTAAATCAAATGAAGAGTGCAGAGTCTTTATCCAGCATATGTCAAAATTAGACTATAGAGGAATTCTGTTTTCCAAGATCAAATTTCAAATTAATTTCATAATAAATAATTGTGATCTAAATTGCCAATTTTAAGCTGAAATGATTGATATGTGTGTGTGTTTGTGTGCGTGTGTGGGTGTGTGTGTGGGTGTGTGTGTGTGTGTGTGTGTTTGTGTGTGTGTGTGGGTGTGTGTGTTTGTGGGTGTGTGTGTGGGTGTGGGGGTGTGTGTGTGTGTTTGTGGGTGTGTGTGTGGGTGTGGGTGTGTATAAGCTGAACAAGTAGCCTCCTTCTGACAACATGGTCCCATGATCACTTTTAAGGAAATGTTCAAGAAGTAATTGACTTGGCCGGGCGCGGTGGCTCACGCCTGTAATCCCAGCACTTTGGGAGGCCGAGGCGGGCGGATCACGAGGTCAGGAGATCGAGACCATCCCGGCTAAAACGGTGAAACCCCGTCTCTACTAAAAATACAAAAAATTAGCCGGGCGTAGTGGCGGGCGCCTGTAGTCCCAGCTACTTGGGAGGCTGAGGCAGGAGAATGGCGTGAACCCGGGAGGTGGAGCTTGCAGTGAGCCGAGATCCCGCCACTGCACTCCAGCCTGGGCGACAGAGCGAGACTCCGTCTCAAAAAAAAAAAAAAAAAAAAAAAAAGAAGTAATTGACCCTGTTGGCTAATTTTTCTCAGGAGCAACAACTCATATTACTAATGATCAAAACAAAATTGTCATTTTTTGACAGTTGTCCCCAAACATCTAGACAGACTGTTAGATTAATGCTTTTAGTGACCTAGGAGGGCATGTTTTACAGTCTGCTGTAGAAACAAGAGTAGCTGTGACAATTTGGCTATGGGGTAACTTCTTTCCTTCTTTGTGAAATGGGAGTATAATACCAGCCTCTCGGGTATGTTTTTATTTTTTATATATATGAAATGTTTATTTTAGCTTTATTTGTATTGTCAAAAACTTAAACCAAACTGAGGTGAACCTGGAGAGAGATAGTTGAATAAAACTGGTACATTACTGCAATGGAACTATGCATCTATTAAAAACAAATGATCATATCTATGTCAGTTGAACTGGATATATGTCCATCGTATAGTAAGTGAGAAAAACATATCACAGGATAAATAATTGCACTTTTGTAAAAAAAAAAAACCAAAAACAAAACAAAACAAAAAAAAACAAAACAAGCCACAAGTCATAATTCCCAATTTCTGTTTATATAGCATTTTGTTTATGCTTAAAAGGAATGGAGGAATAACTTTCTCTCCATACCTCTTTGGTAGAGTCACTTGAGCATGTATGCTGTTTTTTCCCGCCTCACAAGTTTAGTAGCCAAGGTCACTTTTTTTAAATTGACAAATAAAAATTTTATATATTTATGGTGTACAATATAGTGTTTTGATATATGTATACATTGTGGAATGATGGTCAACTTTTTTATGATGCTTTGCACAGATTTCTGGAGCTCCAACAGAGTTCCACAATTTAAATAGATCCATTGCTGCAATTTGAGAAATGTCATAACCCTCACTGAAACCCTCATTCTTAGTGAAGTGAGATATTCCTTTCAGTGGGCAACAATATAAAACCCCCTTTTTTTTTTTTGCTCCTCACTAGTATCCAGGGCACATAAATTACTCTTTAGCTAGCATAGAAATCCTGAATTTCTTATTGTCACTAGTGTTCTCAATTATGACATAATCCCAGCACTTTGGGAGGCCGAGGCAGGTGGATCACTTGAGGTCAGGAGTTCGAGACCAGCCTTGCCAACATGGTGAAACCCCGTTTCTACTAAAAATACAAAAATTAGCCAGATGTGTTGGCACGCACCTGTAATCCCACCTACTTGGGAGGCTGAGGTGGGAGAATCGCTTGAATCTAGGAGGCAGAGGTTGCAGTGAGCCAAGATCACGCCATTGTACTCCAGGCTGGGCAATGGAGCAAGACTCCGTCTCAAAAAAAAAAAAAAGGCTCAGCTGATACAAGTAAAAGTCAGGGAGAATTGCATAAGGAATCTGGTAGCCATTAAGCCCTGTGGTTTACTAAACTTATTCATCCTTCAAATTTGAATTCTAGAAATCTGTAAAACTAGACAGTATTATTTGGCCATTTGCAAAAATAGTATGTATTGTTTGTTTTTGATGGTTAATACGAGAAAATACCTTGGGGAGGAGTAATTCTCTGTTTTGGTTTTATCAAGAATGGTACCCATTATATTATTTAATGTTTCTGTTATAATGTAGAGAAACCATAGAGATGGAAAACCATTAATAGACTATTTTGTTTATGTATGAAATTTCCTGAACAGAAGGGAGATACATTGGAGAGATATTATACAAGAAGAATTGACAGATTGTGACAGTGAACATTCCTGAGATCTACTGTGTGCAGAAGTAGAGTGAGATCTTAAGGGTTTCTAGACCAAGGTACCTTTAAAAAAATAGAGAGGGTAACAGGAGAAGGTAATTTGAGTGTAAGGTATAGATGAGAGTTCACTTTGGGATATATCAACTTTGGTGGGATATGATATTGGAAAGATGACTAAAAAATTCCCAAGTGCCAATCCATCTTCTTTGAAATTCAAACCAATCAAATTCAAACTGTTAGTAATCAAACTGCTACCAAATTCAAACTGTTAGTAATCAATATGTATCTAGGATGGTTAATAATGGCATTAGGATACAGAAGGTACCTATATGTGAAAGCATCTGGCACACAGTAGGTATGGAGTAATGTTTGTTTTTGTATCTTTAATTCCCAGAAATCATTCTGCCAAAGAAACAGAATCTCAAGGAATAAAACTCTCTATTATTAAGAAGAAATTTTTATGTTTATAGGATTTTTAAATTGTATGCATCATTTTCAATACATTTTAACAGTATTACAATAGTAAGATTACTAGGAATAAATGTTAAGACTAGGAATATAAAAAATGAAAAATCACAGGTTCTTTTATTTGAGATATAATACCATTCATTTTTAACGTCTCAGCAAGCTCATTAATTGCCTCCATGTCACTACATTCAATGGATATCTATCAGTCTTCTTTTTGCTTAATTTCCTAGTCAACTTGTTTATCACTCTCTCCTTGAAACACTCTTTTTTCCCGTCAATGTCATAATGCCACATTTTCTTCCTGGCTTGTCTTTCTACTCTTCTTCTCTGCCTCCATTGCAGACTCATTCTTCTCTCCTCCTGGCCTTTAAAAAGTGCAGTTTCTCAAGGCTCTGTCCTAGGATCTTTTCTCTATTCACCCTCTACTCCCCCTGTCCAACTATTACACCTTTCCCCACTAAATTATCATCTGTATACCATGATACCTAAATTTATATCTCAGTGTTAGATCTTTCCCTTTATATGTCCAACTAACTACTCAGTATCTCTATTTGGATGTCTCAAAGGTACCTCAAATTCAACATGAGGTACCATGTTGAGACCAAAGTGATGATATTCCACTCAAACGCTATCTTTTTCTTCCAGTGTTCCTCATCTCAGTAAACAGCCTCACCATCCATCCAATTGTGTATCTCAGGAAGCCAAGTGTCATCCTTTTTCCATTCTGCACAGTCATATCCCACATCCAGTCCAACACTTGTTACTGTTGATCACCCCTGTACCTTTCCCATCCATTCATTTTTATCCATCTTTACTATCACAACTTTAGTACAAGTGGAGTCATCACTCACCAATAGTAACCTGCTCAGTATCCTCTTTAAATCCATTATGGCTCCCCTCCATTTTGTTCTCCAAGCTAGAACCAGAATAGTCTTTTTTTTTTTTTTTTTTTTTTTTTTTAAGACAGAGTCTTGTTCTGTTACCCAGGCTGGAGTGCAGTGGCATGATCTCAGCTCACTGCAGCCTCTGCCTCCTGGGTTCAAGTGATTCTCCTGTCTCAGCCTCCCAAGTAGCTGGGATTACAGGCACCCACCACCATGCCCAACTAATTTTTGTATTTTTTGTAGAGATGGGGTTTTGCCATGTTGGCCAGGCTGGTCTTGAACTCCTGACTTTGGGTGAGGTGATCCCCCTGCCTCAGCCTCCCAAAGTGCTGGGATTACAGGTGTGGGCCGTGGTGCTCGGTCCAGAATAGTCTTTTAAACATGCAAATCTTTTCATGTCAACCCTGCTGAAAATCCTTTTCATTGGTTTACTGTTGCTGTTGGGAAAATATCTTAAATCCTCAACAGGTCACAAAAGTCGAGTCAATCAATAAGCCCTAACAGATCCTCTCTACATAAACTCTTCTACTTAGCATAACCCTTTTTCAGAGACACCAGCGTCTGTTAGTTGCACATCTATTTGTTTCTTTTGGCTTCTATCTCTGCACAGAATTAGGGAAGTTCATGGAGATGCCAAAAGATTGGCACTAATTCTCTAACCTTTCTCACTCCATGCAAAGAGATTTGGTGGAAGTTTTATTATTGTTTTTATTTCCTGTGGAAAAAATGTATTATTTGCCTCTATTCACATTCTATAAATTTAGAATATCTTACAAAAGGTATAAAAACCTAAACCATTTTATTATGATATCTCAAAACCAAATTATATAGGGATAAAACAACTCCAGCATTAATGTCAGAAGGAGCTCAGGGGCCCTTTATATATCATGGTATTTTAAAACAAATATTTAAACCTATCAAGATTGTTAGATTATATTTTTCTAGTGTATGGTAGAAGTGGTTTTAGAATCATATTGGGCAACACTTTTTCACCTCTCTAACCCTTATTTGCCTTGTAAGGATTACAGAGGTAAAATGGGATAATAAAGTTACCTACATTCCAAAGTTATTTTAAGGACTAACTAAGATGAAGTATGTAAAGTACCTGGCACAAGTGTGGCACATAGTAATGATCAATAGGTGCTAATTATTACTATTTTTGTTTATGATAGTCACAAGTCATTGTTTTAAAAGTTCTTTTAGGTTCATGTAACATTTTTTTCTTCAGAGAAAAGAAATACTGAACAAGTCTATCACTGGTTTTGTTCTATCAAATATGGGTAAATACACTTTTTCAACTGAAAACAGTAAACATTAATCCTATTACTCTGCAGAGAAGAAAATAATCTTACTGCTCTTCAGAAAGATTTTACTATTACTCCTTATTGCACATAAGCCCTGTCTACCTGGTGCTATTGTGAACTAATAATCAATATCCTTTTTTGCCATGTCACTTCCAGCCCCTAGATGAAGAAGCTTGTCCCGTTGGGAGTCCTCAGGCACTAAGTCCACTGCACCACTTCTGTCTGTGCGATGATTTCTGCCAGTGGTGGAGACTCTGCTGTCCCCTGGTGGCATTTGCCGTCTTTCATTTATTCAATGTTCTGGCTCAGAAGACCTACAGTTATCCTTAGATACTCGTAAATTTAGCAGGCAAAACCTGAGAGTTGCTATCTCATTCTGATCTGTAATTATGACTCTTGTAGTGGAAGCATCACTTTCTCTATGTGGTTCAGAGCAGAAATTCTTGGTTAGGAAACTCTCCCACATGTTACTGTCTCATCAACACCAGTGCTTCCTAGGCAGAATTCATTTCGTCTCCTCTTTAAGGAGTTACATGCTAAACTGTTCTTTGGAGTTCTATCTTTGGTTTCAGAGTCTGATTCTACAGACAGGATCCTGAAATTTCCTCTTCTAACTCTGCTATCCTTCCTAATTTCTTATCTTTGACAAAGAGGTTGGATGTTACTTCAAATTTGTCCAGGATCCTAGTAAGGACCTCAGTGATCTACAACCTATGCCCATGTAAAGGAATAAAGTTAGATCTGTATGAAATACAACTTTATTTTTCTATAACTCCGCTGAAATTCAATTCTGAATTGCCTATTTTAAAGGGCTGGTAATATCATAATCCGTGTCTATTTCTGGTATTCCTCCTTTCTCTCCCTTGGGGTTGGATCTAAATTCAAAAAAGCCTAATATAACAGCAAATTTGGGGGTTTGGAGCCTCTGGTTCTCAATGTGATCTGCCTACACAGGCATCCAGTGAGAAATTCACGATCCTAACTCAGTTATCAGTTCTACAAATCTCTAATGAGTTCAGAGTTCCCTTCTGCAGGCTCCCTTTAAATGTGGAGGCTGCCTTTCTTTTCCACGTCATACATGGGTGTACAGGGATATTGTTTTGTTTCCACTTCAAGTTAGGGCATACAAAATCTCTGTGACCCTGTCTAGTTCCCATCTACCTAATCACACCATGAATCTTGTTCTCTTTCTGGGGCCTGTTGCCTTCCTGGGACAGTTCAGGAATCAAGGAACACGTCCCTCTGCTCCTGGATTTCACAAACCCATCTATGGAGGTTTGGTGGCTTCCCAGGTATGTGACGGGGACCATGGTAAGACTCCCTGTCTCTGGGACTGTGGAAATCTGCCTTGCCATTGCCTCCTCTCTCACTTTCCCCTGTGCACCATCCACAATCTTGTCATCTCCCAACACAGAAAGTGGGTTTTTTGTTTGATTTTTTTTCTGAGAATGGAAAGCCATGATCTTATAAAAGATGTTTTGTCCAAATCTTTTGCTATAGCCAAGAGTCTTATCTGTTTCTGTAAAGCCAAGCCTTTTGCAACACCAAAGACAGGAAGAGATTCCCTTTGTTCCCTCTGCTTTCTTTGCTGTCACTTCTTTCTTTAAAAGCAAAGAGCACAGAATGCCTAGCTGCTTGTTTGGGGTGATGGGCAATGAGATTGAGAAAAGAGAATATTGGGGAGGAAGGCAATCTATTAATATTATTCTACCACATTTATGAGCAACAGGCAGAAATTATAACAACAAGGCTATCAGGAAAACTCCCCACTCCATCTGGATGAAACTGTGTTAACCCTAAGAAACGGGGCATGCTTTTGCCTCTTCTGCTCTTTTCCTTGCTAAGCACAGACAAGATGTCAGAACTCAGAAGTCCTGTTCCATGTAATCAGACTGACAGTAGAACAAGTGTTTTCTAGGAAAAGGTTTATCTTTTCACTGGAGATCCAGTTCTGAGTGGTTTTGAAAGGTACAATTCTTTTATTTGGTTTGGTTCTAGGAATATGACAGTTTATATAAAGCTGTTGCTTTACTGTGAAAAACCTAGACATAGTGAGAGTAACATCTGAATTAATCTTTTACACCCAGAAACCAGTAGAGCAGAAAGAGTCACTTTTTTTTCCTTGTAAGAATGCAAAGGAATCCTCAAAACTCCTTTGCAGTTTTAATATCCATTTTGAAATATGTTGATGTAACTATTATAATGAAGTATTAGCTACTTATGGTTAGTAATTGCTTACCCTTATTGAGTACTTACTGTGTGTCAGATACTAAAACACTTTTATTTAATATTTTTCATTTAATCTTCATAATAACCTTAGGAGATACATATTATTATTCTGATTTATAGGTGAGGAAAGTGAGGCACAAAGAGGCTAAGTAACTCGTCCAAAGGCACAAAATATGATGTGTTACAGACTGAATGTGAACCCCAGAATTCTGATGGCAGAGAAGATATGCCTACCTAAGTATATTCATCATGATAATAATGGTTGAGAGGCTATGGCATATGGGTGTCAATTCTTGTAATAAAATGTTAAATTTAAGCTAGTAGATCAGAATAAAAATGTTAATGTGAACTTATTGTGATATATGTGAGACAAAGTTACCAGTTTGCAGCCAAGACATGAAACTGGATTAGTGAATGATTTTGATGCTCTAGTTTATCAAGGGATACAGAAGTTTTGTTCTGAGCCGTCCTGGGTCTTCAGGGAACCACCATGAATAAATACCGTGAATAAACACCAGGAATTGGAGAACATAAGAAATTAACATTTTATATTTATGTTAATGTGCTGGAATTTGGAAGGATCAGCATGAAAATCTGATACACAGAATCATTTTGAATTACACTTAAAGGCATGGAAATAAAATTTCTTGTTAACATTGTTTCATAAAATTCTCAAAGCCATTAGTATTTTGTATAATTCATTCATTCAAAAATATTTACTGAGCACCTACTATGTGTCAGGCACTGTTAGAAGTGCTGGGGATAGAGTAATGAAAAAAACAAAGGTTCTTGTCCTTGTGGAGCTAAATTTTGTTTTTTTAAACTCCTCTTACTATCTATCATTCCCAAGGAGCTGATTTTTAATGAGTATGTGAAATAAGTAAGTAAACAGTATATTACAAAGTTATAAGTGCTATGGAAAGGTAAATTAGGGGTATCTTTGAGTTTGCTCCTCTTAGTGTTCTTTTTCCTTTCTATTTCAGGGATAAAATGGGCTAGGTTATAAAACTGTTACTCATTTTGAAAACTCAATCTGAAGGAGCTGGACAAAAATACAAACCAAAGCATGACTTCTGATTTCAACATTGAAACCAGTTGATATGGTTAGGTCCCAACCCAAATCTCATCTTGAACTGTAATCCCCATAATCCCCATGTGTCTAGGGAGAGACTCCAGGTGTCTAGGGAGATCGGATCATGGAGGTGGTTTCCCCCATGCTGTTCTTGTGATAGTGAGTGAGTTCTCATGCGATCTGATGGTTTTATAAGAGGTTGTTCCCCTTCGCTCCTCACTCTTCTATCTCGTGCCACCACGTGGGAAGGTCCAAGTGTGCTTCCCCTTCACCTTCTGCCATGATTGTAAGTTTCCTGAGGCCTCCTTAGTCATGTGGAACTGTGAGTCAATTAAACCTCTTTCCTTTATGAATTACACAGTCTCGGGTATTCCTTTATAGCAGTGTGAAAAATGGACTAATACACAAGTGGTCCACACCCACCTGAAGTAGCAGCACTATCTAAAAAACTGGCTTCTCATGGAGAAATAACATTCTCGTTGCCCATTTTCACTTTATAAGTATATATAGTTCCCCTCCTTTGAAGATGCTCTTTACCTGTTCCCTCCTTACCTGTCTTCCTTGCCACATATGCTCCTGTGACTGATCTTACTCATATTTCTGACCTTAGAAAAGGCTACTGTGTTCAGTGCCCCTGCTGTGTGCTGAATGTGATTGTCTTTTTCCTATTAAAACACTAATTATATTGCATTGTAGAGGTTTATTCAATAGTCTTTCTCCCCCATAAGACTGTATAATTTGTGTAGTTAAGGATAAGGGGCCAGGCGTGGTGGCTCATGCCTGCAATGCTTTTGGAGGCCAAGGTGGGCAGATTGCTTGAACCCAGGAGTTCAAGACCAGCCTGGGCAACATGGCGAAACCCCATCTCTACTAAAATGTTAAATTTAAGCTAGTAGATCAGAATAAAAATGTTAATGTGAACTTATTGTGATATATATGAGACAAAATATAAGTTATCAGTTTGCAGCCCAGACATGAGACTGGATTAATGAATGATTTTGATGCTCTTGTTTATCAAGAGACACAGGAGTTTTGTTCTGAGCCGTCCTGGATCTTCAGGGAACCACCATGAATAAATACCATGAATAAACACCAGGAATTGGAGAACATAAGAAATTAACATTTTGTATTAACTTTAATGTGCTGGAATTTGAAAGGATCAGCAAGGAAATCTGATAGGAAATCATTTTGAATTACACTTAAAAATTAAAAAAAAAAATTACCTGGGCATGGCGGCATGTGCCTGTAGTCCCAGCTACTCAAGAGGCTGAGGTGGGAAGATCACTTGGGTCCAGGAGGTTGAGGCTACTGTGAGCTGTGATTGCACCACTGCACTCCAGCCTGGGTGATAGCACAAGACCCTGTCTCAAAAAAAAAAAAAAAAAAAAAAAAAGGATAAGGAATATGTTTTTTCATCATTGTATCATCAGCACTCAGAATGGAGGCTGGCATACAGTAAGAGCTAAATATTTGTCATATAATTGAATCAACTTTTGCTGAGTATCTATGTGGACATGCCTATGTATGTATGCATTTTGTTAATAAGGCAAATTTGTGATTACACAGAAAAATTCAATCAATATAATATCCTTACTGATTTGTCCTAAAATTTCACCGACACCTATTATTTATTTTTTCACAAAAGGTATGTTGGTATTTTAATTAAAAACGACTCTATAAATTGGTTTTATTATTTATTTATTTATTGTTTAGAAAATATTTTTTGTAGAGATGAGGTTTCACCATGTTGTCTGGGCTGGTCTTGAACTCCTGGGCTCAAGCCTTCCACCCACCTTGGCCTCCCAAAGTGCTGGGATTACAGGCGTGAGCCATCACACCCGGCCAACAAATTGGTTTTATTATGAGTAGCTAGTAATACATGTAATTTCTCTTTTACTTTTTAAAATATTATGAAAAAATTTAAATGTGCAAAATAAAGAAGAGTAGTATAATAAACTCCCATGCACCAATCATCTGCCTGGCCCTTATGTTTCATCCACAACCCAACCCACTTACCTGACTCCAGGTTATTTTAAAACAACTTCAGGCACTATAGCATCTAATTTTCAGTAATTTAAAAAAGAGTGTATAAGAATGCTTTAGAGATTACAAGGCAAATGCTTACACATTATCTTTTTCCATTCTCATACCCTGTTCTTTGGCACTTTACCGAAAAGGAAATGAGAAGGGTTCAGAGAAATTAAATGACTTTTCTTTGGTAACATGCCTAGTATACATGTAGTCAGAACTTGAAGCTTTTGCTTTTTTTTTTTTCTTTTTTAACATCAACTTTCGTGCTTAGTCCAGTGTATAACATCACAGGCAAATTCAAATTGAGAATAGGAATCAGTTGTTCTTTAACCGTAACCCTTCTAACTTTTACTTATCCTAAGACCGGGTAGCAAGTAGGGCAGGAGCCTTCATCTAGAGGGATGGTGACAGCTCTGATAGGGGAAAATTAGCACTGGTCTTTCCTTCCAAAAAGCCACTCTGGCTGCTGCTGTTGACACAAGGCTCCTGGCTTTTGAGACATTATTTGAGTGCTGGATTCCAATACTTTTTACTTTCTCATAAGAAAAAAAAATGTGAAGCATCTAAGGATATCTCCTGCCTTATTGATAAAGTAAGCCTCAGGCTGAATCCAAATTGCTGAGCTCCAATAGAACTACAGGGCAAAGCATCTACACAGGGAATTGCCACTCTTCTCCAAAATTAGGCTTTATTAAGAGGCAAGGCTATGTTCTCCTCATATATATGTGTGTGTGTGTGTGTGTGTGTGTGTGTGTGTGTGTGTGTAAAAAGTAAATGTTTTACACAGATCCCCATAAGGGAAAAGTGGGCTATAGTAATACAGTATTTTTTTGTTTTTCTTTTTTTTGGGGGGGGGGGGGACAGTTTCGCTCTGTCACCCAGTCTGGAGTACAGTGGCGCGATCTCGGTTCACTGCAACCGCCGCCTCCCGGGTTCAAGCGATTCTCCTGCCTCAGCCTCCCGAGTAGCTGGGACTACAGGCAAGCACCACCACGCCCGGGTGATTTTTTTTTTTTTTATTTTTAGTAGAGACGGGTTTCATCATGTTGGTCAGGCTGGTCTCGAACTCCTGACCTCAAATGATCCGCCCGCCTCGGCCTCCCAATGTGCTGGGACTACAGGCGTGAGCCACCGCGCCCCGCCAAATACAGTTTTATCAGGAATCAAAACTGTGCTCTCTTCTGGACTCTCAGCTTTAGCTGTTTGGAGCGTTTAGTCTAAGCCTTACCACTTACATTGTAATGTGAAGATCAAATTGTAACGACATGGCAATAATAAGGCTCCTATTGGTTGGGTACCACCAGTTTATGCCAGGCATTGTACTGATTCATGTCTTTAATCCTCAAAACGACCTTCCGAGGTCAGCGTTTTTATTCTTTTTCCAGAGGAGCAAACTGAGTTTCTGAGAAGTCACACCCAACTTGGTGGCAGAGCTGACGCTGGCATGGGGTTGACTCCAAAGCTCTCTACGCCACGAGGGTGGGAAAGACAACGAAACACAAGCGAGAAGAATAATGAGAACTGGGATCGCAACTTCATTAAATGAGAAGCCAGGAACAGGTGGCGGAGGGCACGCGGTTCGCTGCACGGAGTCGCTCAGGCTCTTTGAAACACCGCGCGGGGGAGCGGGGCGGTGCCGGAAGTCAGGCCATGGCTTCCGGTTCTTGCGTCGGAAGTGGCCGGTCAGCGTCGCTGCCGGTCTCCGGCGGAGACGGACTCTGGAGTTTGGGCGGCCCGGGCGGCCACTAGGTACTCTGATATTCCGTACTAAACACGTCTGCAAGTCAAGATGTCGCACCCGTCCCCCCAAGCCAAGCCCTCCAACCCCAGTAACCCTCGAGTCTTCTTTGACGTGGACATCGGAGGGGAGCGAGGTGAGCGGAGTCTGACGCTCGCGGAAAAGCCCCGAGGAGGCGGGGGTTCCCGGGATTTGGGGGATTCCAAGGGCGGAATGCGGCTCCGGCCGGTGACTGCTCAGTTTCGCGGAGGGGATGGCTGCCTAGGCTGGTCCGCCGGAGCAGGCCCGGAGATCTAGGGCTAGATCGATCCAGCGCCCTTGTATCAATGCCATCGGTGGTGCGGAAGTTTCTGGAAATTTCTAGTTCGGGAATTGTGGCGTCCTTTAGGTTTGCCTCCTGATTTGGTGGCACTTCCACGCCACCTTTGCACTACCAAGTTAGCATGAAATATTTTATGTTTGCAATGGGACAGTTCGGAAAGCATATCCTGGGATATGCGTCTGCTGGGCCCCAGGAAACTATATTTGCCACATGAGATAATATATCAGCACGTGCTGTGTTATTTATACGTTAAAGGGACTTGTTTGCTCATTGCTTTTGCCTTATTACTGATTCTTAATTTAGAGGTCCGTTCAGATGAGCAAACATTTTCTCTTAATTTGCCATTGGGAAAATGCGCTCAACGTAGTGATGGTGTTGCCTAGGTTACATAGCCGCTCAGAAGTTCCTAAGGCCTGGTGAATTAGGGAGCGTGTTGCTTTGTAACTGGATTGGCCTTGTTCTGGAACACGTTGGAATTGCTGGCCAGGCAATGTGTTTGAATGCATGTACAGGACACACACACGTTTACACGTACATTCAGTTTGTTGCAACTAGCTAGGGCTAGGTTTAATCTCACCTGTCTTAGCTGCTATCTAGAGGAGGAATTTTTACAGCTTTTGCTTCAGAGGTTGCATGAGGCAGTTTGCTCAGAGCACAAAGGCTGCAGGTATACGTAACACGTGGCAAGTCCGCCCACCCAAAGACTGTTTAATTTTCTCCCGTTGGTTGCTTGGTGATTGGAAATTCTCAGTACCTCTTGAAGAAATTACTCAGGATTTAAAACTATTTGTATTTAATGATATCTCTTACATGGTGCTAATCTTTTGGCTACTATAATTGGTTATGATCCTTAGTGTAATGTTTCAAATCTGTTTATATACATACATGACAGTAGGTAGACTAAATTTGAATATTAGAATAAAATAAGATTCACTAATTCTAGTGAGTATATTCAAAGGAAATGAAGTTTGTATGTCAAAGAGGTATCTGCACTCCCATGTTCATTGCAGCATTATTCATGATAGCCAAGATAATGGAATCAAACTAGGTTTCCATCTACAGATGGATTTTTTTTAAAATTTGATATATGTGCACAGTGGAGTACTATTCACCCATAAAAAATAATGAAATCTTGTCACTTCTGACAACATGAATTAATATGGAGGACATTATGTTACATGAAATAAGCTGGGCACAGGAAGACAAGGCATGATCTCACTTACATGTGGTTTCTAAAAAGTTGACCTTGAAGTAGAGAATGGAATGGTGGATTTCAGGGGTTGGGTAGATGTTGATCACGAGAGACCTAATTTCAGTTAGAAAGGGGGAATAAATTTAAGAGATCTATTGTATAACATAATGACTATAGTTAGTAGCAATGTGTTGTGTTCTTGAAATTGCAAAAAAGAAAAATTACAGTAAAGGGGAACTTGGTAATTCATGATTGATCTGCTACCATAATTATACCAACCTTCTTTTTATCATTTGTCTATTTGGTTGTTTTGCATACTGACAAGATTTTCTTTTCTTTTAGTTGGTCGAATTGTCTTAGAATTGTTTGCAGATATCGTACCCAAAACTGCGGAAAATTTTCGTGCACTGTGTACAGGAGAAAAAGGCATTGGACACACGACTGGGAAACCTCTCCATTTCAAAGGATGCCCTTTTCATCGAAGTATGTGTAAATTTTCTTAATCTTGTTATTCTTCATACAGACAAGTCCTGTTCTTTAGGATTTGGGGAAGAAAACACTAAGTAGGAAGTGAAGCTTAAAAAGTACTATTAGCGTCCATGTCTGAGGCAGTAACGCAGTTTCGTAAAGGTTAGGCTGTGCGAGGTGGAATTACTTATGGTACTAAGGTTTATCTATAGAGAAATGGACTCCCCTAGCTTTACCCATCCTCTCATTCTCCTTCACTCTAAGATGATTTGATTGAGAAAGGAAGGCCGTAGTCAACCAACCTTAGGTAGCTTCATTGCCTGGTGACAAAAAAGTTATGCATAGACCGGGCGCAGTGGCTCACGCCTGTAATCCCAGCACTTTGGGAGGCTGAGGCGGGTGAATCACGAGATCAGGAGATCGAGACCATCTTGGCTAACGCGGTGAAACCCCGTCTCTACTAAAAATACAAAAAATAAGCCGGGTGTGATGGTGGGCGCCTGTAGTCCCAGCTACTCGGGAGGCTGAGGCAGTAGAATGGCATGAACTCAGAAGGTGGAGCTTGCAGTGAGCCGAGATCACGCCACTGCACTCCATCCTGGGCGACAGAGTGAGACTCTGCCTCAAACAAACAAACAAACAAACAAACAAACAAAAAAATGCATAATTTTTGGGCCTGAGTGCTTGGGAAGGCAGCAGATTTGAAGATTCAGTGTTTTGGGCACATGGGTGATAGTGTGGTCAAAATATGCCATTTCATACTGCTTATTACACTTTGTAATGAATCATACTTTTGTTTAGTGATAATGGTTCTCCCAATAGACTGCAGGCTCTATGAGTTCAAGAACTGTATGTTTTCACCATTTTGTTTTTGGCATCTAATACAGTTATTGAGTAAGAACTCAGTAAGTATTTGTTTAATAAATAGGCAAATAAGCAATAATCACAAGAGCAACATTTTTTAAACGATTTATTAAGAAAAAATTAACTTTTTAAAAAATATTTAAAATGTTTACTTTCATGTTTAATAAAAACTTGAAATATGCTAATAAACTATATGCAGAAAATATTTAACATAGCAAGTGTGAGACTGCTATCTTTAGAAAGGTCTGCCTGCAAGAGTAGCACTTGTTTGGAGTCTGGGAACTTGACACTTGTACCATTTCCTAAATAGTAATGGTGATTTACTATGCCTAGCCTATTTGTACAAACATGAATGTGTGCTCTCTTTTGGGGAGTCTGGAATTTTGGTACATGCTAGGTAGAGTGTGCCCAATAAATACCTTGGGTGCTGAGTCTCTAATTGGCTCTCCTGGGCAGAAATACTGTGTACATGTTGCTGCATTTTTGTTGCTGGGGGAAGTGTGTGTTCTGTAGCACTTCATGGGACGGAGAAAGCATAAGGAAGCCTGCACATGGATTTTTCCAGACTCTGCCTGTGTCTTTCCCGTCATCTCGCTGTGTATCCTTACCACTGTGATCCAACCACATACTGATTTGTGTGAGCTCTAGGGTTCTCTGAACATGAAAGCAATCTTGGTAACCTTTGACACAAAGTGATATATTTGCTGAAAATTTTCCATTAGGGTAGAACAAATCTACTGGGAATCATTGGTCTGTATTCAGCAGACATTATTGAGTAACTAATATGTACTATGTGTACATGCACATAGTTATAAGGATGTAAAACAATACAGTTGGTGTACTTAAGGAGATCATTGCTGGAAGGGGCAGATCATAATGCCATATGTTATGTAGGCAGAGTCAAGATACTATGGGAGAAAAATTAGGACATACAGCTTAGGGATTTCAGTGACAGTTTTATAGGGGAGGTATCATTTGAACCGATTTTCTGAATGTTAGCAGGGATCAGGCAGTGAAAATAGGTTGGATTCAGATGGTGAAAAGCCTGAAGCGTTTGGAGTTGCGGAGACGGGTGGGGAGCGACAAACAGGAGAGAGACATGACTAGAGTCATGCACTACAAAGTTGTCTTACGTACGTATCCATTAGTAAGCATTGCTAAAGGCATCCATGTCTCAGTCACTAATAGCCATTTTCCTTTTTTGTAGTTATTAAGAAATTTATGATTCAGGGTGGAGACTTCTCAAATCAGAATGGGACAGGTGGAGAAAGTATTTATGGTGAAAAATTTGAAGATGAAAATTTCCATTACAAGGTAAAGTAGAGAAAATGCATGTTATTGCTGATAAAAAGATTGTTATATATCTGGAATACTTGTTGGATTAAGACACCAAAAAATGTTTCAAGTGTGCTTAGATTCTCCATTTCTTGTAATAGGAATCACTTTTGTAAATAATGGTTCTTTAATATGGAAAAGTTTTCATTCAGTAATGATTAATTCAGCATTATTTCATTGTGATCCAGTTTTTATATGCTTCAGTTAAGCCAGTGAGTTTTTAAATGCGACCAGCATCTGGCAAAATTGTTTCCAGGAAAAATGTTTCCATTGTTGGAAGGATGGTAACTTGTGCATCCTTATCCTTGAATTTGAAGAGCAACAAAACCATCACTAATATCCAGGATGTCAGGGGATTTGCACACTAGCAGATATAGTTAAATGTCCAAGCTCCTAAAGGACTTCAGTGGTGCCTGTGCCTTCTTGTCTTCGTTGTCCCAAGATGTAATTGGGGTATATTGCATCATTCAAGTTATAAGAATGGACATGTAAGTACAAAAGTAAAGTGATATTTTTGGAAATAAGGAATATGAGCAAGGGTATTAGGATAATTTGAAAAAATGTCGTCAGTCTTCCAGTCAGTGTTTATTGAGCCACTATCACTGGCACCAAAGGGTTTATAAAAATGAAAGGCCTTGATGACAAGGAATTTATAATCCTACCTCAGAGACAAGATTAAGATACATGGGACTACTGGAGAATAATAGTATATAAATAAATGCTAAATTGATTGAATATCCTTGCTTGTATAACATTGCTAATACTGTCTATATACTGCAGGAGAAAGATGTGATTTATGCAGTCTGAATTATTATGGAAGTCATTGAGGAGGAATGGCTACTTGGGCTGTGCAGACTGGGTCTTGCAAGGCGGCAACATGTCTGAGATTTGGTTAGGCAGGAACTGTAGTATTGATGCAGAATTTAAAAAGGGACGTCGGTGAGGAAAGACAAAGGCAAGAGACGTTGAGGAAATAAAGTTCTAGTTACTGTTGTACCAAAGGAAGCTACCAGAAGGATGAAAACTAAAGGTGATGTGATGATCACATTGACATAGAGAAAAGGGGCCTATAGACAAGACACATGATTCTTGCTTTCTATAAACGTGGTGGCCTTAAAATCTGAATTTGATTTAGACTGAGGGGAGTAAAAGGCATTTTGGTGGGGTGGGGGGTGTCATGAAACATTATATAACATGAGAGTTACGGTGCAT
The DNA here is from genome assembly GCF_000001405.40 of Homo sapiens. Classification (NCBI taxonomy): domain Eukaryota; kingdom Metazoa; phylum Chordata; class Mammalia; order Primates; family Hominidae; genus Homo; species Homo sapiens. The sequence goes on along the minus strand of NC_000004.12, from coordinate 158,717,946 downwards.
GCACCAACAAGGAATACATTTAGAAAGCCTAGGAGATAAAGTGAAAAGGTTAAGAAATTGGGTTTCATAGATCCTTTGACAGGATTATGCCAAGGTAGAATTTTGATTTCAAGATGTATGCAGCAGTTTCTTTTGAGCACTCTCCGAAGAGGTGATTCATCTGGGATGAAAACCTAATCCAAATCCTGTATGATTTGGATTCTTTTGAGATTAGGAAAGTACCAAACTGAATGTCTTGGGTAAATTCAGTATCCCATTATTGTTCCAGTTTATTGATGTTTTGTAAAGGAAGACTTATACTGTAGGCATATTTATGAATTTGGAAGACCGTTCAGGTCTTCCCAGAAAAAAAGAGCATTCATCATAAAGAGGGCAAAATATATTACAAGAGTTTCATAATGCTGCATCTTCATTTTAAAGGTGAAGTGTAAGTATTTTCTCATGGCCAATTTAGAAATAACCCTCCCCCCGACTATTGTTTCTGTTACCTATTTACTTTGATAAGGTTTTTTAAAGTTTAAAGTGATTAAGTGCCCCATGTTTTGTGAATTAAAGGTTGCAGTTTATAAAAAAATAAAAAGTAATTAAAAAATTTTATAAGTGAAAAGTAAAAAAAAGTAGTTTGATCTAAATGGTAGTATAGTGCACCCCAGTTTTATGTTCAGTAAAAGAACAGTTCAGACTAACACACAATTCAGAAAAGAACACATCTAACCTTGGTTTTCTTTTAATTTTTATTTCTACAGCATGATCGGGAGGGTTTACTGAGCATGGCAAATGCAGGCCGCAACACAAACGGTTCTCAGTTTTTTATCACAACAGTTCCAACTCCTCATTTGGATGGGAAACATGTGGTGTTTGGCCAAGTAATTAAAGGAATAGGAGTGGCAAGGATATTGGAAAATGTGGAAGTGAAAGGTGAAAAACCTGCTAAAGTAAGTAAAAAGTTACAGTGAAATACACTTATTATCTTAGTTGCTATCTTTTTGAGACGGAGTCTCGATCTGTTCCAGGCTGGAGTGCAGTGGTGCGGTCTCGGCTCACTGCAGCCTCTGTCTCCCAGGTTCAAGCTATTCTCCTGCCTCAGCCTTCTGAGTAGCAGGGATTACAGGCGCGCGCTACAACACCCGGCTAATTTTTTCTGTATTTTTAATAGAGACGGGGTTTCACCATGTTGGCCAGGCTGGTCTCAAACTCCTGACCTTGTGATCCGCCCACCTCGGCCTCCCAAAGTGCTGGGATTACAGGCATGAGCCACCGCACCCAGCCTGTTAGTTGCTATCTTAAAGAAATATAAGTAAAAGGATCAGGTGATTATTAGCTGGAAAAATGTTATAATAATTTTGGGTATAGGAGCCAGGATCTGCCACTTTTTTTTTTTTTTTTTAACTTTTCTACAATGGGAAAGACAATTAGGGTAGTTTTAAAGGAGATTTTTATTATTTCAACTTTCATTTGGTGATCTTTGCTAGTTTACGTTAAGTCTTCCTATACCTGCAAAACTGTTCAGTTGGTATGTATAGTAGTACATAGTGGAATGAGGATAATAAGCCCAAAATCTTGTCTGGATTGTAGCATTAACTAGAGGCTTGGCCTTGACTTTGTTACTTAACTTTTCCACACGTGTTTTCTCCTGTCTAAATTACTTATGGGTTTAGACTAGATTATCTCTGAAGACCCTTGTGTACTTAATGTCTGTGAATCAAAATGACCTTAATATTGGCTGGGCATGGTAGCTCATGCTTGTAATCCCAGCACTTTGGGAGGCTGAGGTGGGAGGATCACTTGAGACCAGGAGTTGGAAACCAGCTTTGGCAACATAGTGAGATGCTGTCTCTATTAAAAAAAAAAGAAAAAAAGAAAAACCCCTAAACGACCATAATACTACCCAGCCTAAGTGACAGGGTTGTGAGTGGGAGTTGGAAGCTCAGTTACTTGTAGGAGGTAGGCTGTCACTCAGTGTATGACAAGAATAGTAGTAAACCGGAAGCTCATGCCCCACCTAATGCCACTTACATAGACAATGATAAAATTGCCAACTTATTCTGTGTTTATTGAGCTCCTGAATAGCAATAAAATGCTTATGTAAATACTAACATTGTCGTATTAGTTGGAATGTATAAAAACAGCATTATAGTACATAAATGAGCCTTCTCACATAAATCTGTGAATTGGACAGTGCTGCACATGACTTCAGCTGTATAGCTTTTATCTCTCATTATTACGATAGTGCACTTCTACAATTTAGGGTTATTTTTACAGTTGTGCGTTATTGCAGAATGTGGAGAATTGAAGGAAGGAGATGACGGGGGAATATTCCCAAAAGATGGCTCTGGCGACAGTCATCCAGATTTCCCTGAGGATGCGGATATAGATTTAAAAGATGTGAGTACTTTCAGATTAGTCAAACTTTAATTAATTTAGTAAGTGAAAATATTTAGTACTAAAAGTTTGAGCTTTTGTTTCAGTCTCTCATATGATAGAATCTAGCATTAAACCACATTACTTACTAAAATCCAACATATTTGTATTTTTTTATACAGGTAGATAAAATTTTATTAATAACAGAAGACTTAAAAAACATTGGAAATACTTTTTTCAAATCCCAGAACTGGGAGATGGCTATTAAAAAATATGCAGAAGTTTTAAGGTAATATTATTTCTAACAAATTATTTTTAAGAAATTATAAATTGAATTATAAACTAAAATTAAGAATTGCTCATTATATTTTTGCAAATTACTTGTGGAATAACCAGGTGTGTTGAAATAGTTGCATTTCCTTTTTTTTCCCCTCAGCTTGTTTTGAGAAATTTCAAAAGACAGAAGTTGAACGAGTAGTACATAATTACTCATAAGTTTTACTTACATTCACCAATTTTTAACTTTTGCTGTTTACGTTTTTACAGAACTATTTTGATAGGAAGTTGTTGATACTGTGATACTTTACCCTAAGTATTTCAGCACGTATTTCCTAAGAAACAAAGACATTCTGCATAAGTTCAATACCGTTAAAACACCCCAAAGTAATATTGATAGATAATATCAATCCATATTTAGGCTGGGCATAGTGGCTCATGCCTATAATCCCAGCACTTTGGGAGGCCAAGCTGGGCGGATCACCTGAGGTCGGGAGTTCGAGACCAGCCTGGCCAATATGGTGAAACCCCATCTCTACTAAAAATACAAAAATTAGCTGGGCTGGTGGCGCACGCCTGTAATCCCAGCTACTTGGGAGGCTGAGGCACAAGAATTACTTGAACCCAGGAGGTGGAGGTTGCAGCAAGCCGAGATTATGCCACTGCACTCCAGCCTGGGCGACAGAGTGAGATTCTGTCTCAAAAAAAAAAAAAAAAGTAATCCATATTCCAACTTCCCCAGTTGTTTCAATTTCTTAGAAAAATCAAGGGTCCAAACTAAGATTATGTGTTATATTTAGTGGTAGTATCTCTTACGTTTCCTACCTCCCCTGGTTTTTTATTCATTTGCATTTTTGTGGAGTCCAAGTCAGTTGTTTTTATAGACTTTCATCTGTATGTGTTTGTTTCCTTAAGATTAGTTTGAGGTGAAATATTTTGGCAAGAAGACTTAGGTGTTGTTTTGTATTACCTATGATATCACATCCTGAAGACACATTTCGCTTTGGCCTGTTTGAGTTCACACACATGGTTAAAGTAGTGTCAGCCACAAGCATTTGTTAGTCTGAGGTGGTATCGTGAAATTGTATGAATTTCTAGTCCCCAACAACTTTTCACACAGTGGATCTTAGCATCATTGAAAATCCATGCCTGAATCTGTTATACTGAACTTCTAAGTTTATCATCGTACAGTTATTAACTAGCATTCTTCTGTTTGCAAGAGCCTCCCGCATATTTTTTAAGTATCACTATAGACCTGTGGATATTTTTCTTTTCTTTTTTTTTCCTTTTATAGAAACAAGGCCTCCTTTATATTGCCCAGGCTGGTCTGGAACTTTTGGGCCCAAGCAATCCTCCCTCCTCACCTTCCCAAGTAGCAGGGACTAGAGGATATCTTATGGGTAGTTTTCAATTCCGTTTGTTAGTACGCTATTATTGTCATTCTTTTTCATGCCCAAAGGGTTCCAAATTTGTTCAGTGGAAGGCCCCTTTCCTTTGGCATGTTCCTATTAGTCTGCGAGCACTTGCTTGCTCTAAGCTCATCTTACCTTACTTTCACATCTGATATGGCAGTTTCTCCAAGGACCTCTGATTTCTTTTAGAGAAAGAAAACTTTAGAAACCAAATTCTGGGGGCCAGGTGTGCTCAGTTTTGGGGCCCTTTTCAGGGACAATGCAAAATCAACACAATAGAGTTCTCCTTCATCTTTCCTCTACTGAATTCCCTTCTCCTATTATGAGAATCCTGGTTCCAAACATAATTATGTTGGAAAGTACATAGTGGGGACCTGAGTTTTAAAAATAGAAAAGTGTTACTAGTGCATAATTAGATTTGGGAATTGCTCTTAAATTGGCCTCTTTGAACACTTTGGGGAACAAAAACAATTTTTTTTAAGCCTTCTTAAAAATTTTAAAAAGTGTGATCATTAAGATTATTAATAGCATTTTTAGAGCTTTTTATATCAGAAATGACATAACACTTCTGGACATAGAGAAGAGTAATTCCTGTTTATGTGGTCTTTCATACTGCTTTTATTAATGCATTCTGCAGATACGTGGACAGTTCAAAGGCTGTTATTGAGACAGCAGATAGAGCCAAGCTGCAACCTATAGCTTTAAGCTGTGTACTGAATATTGGTGCTTGTAAACTGAAGATGTCAAATTGGCAGGGAGCAATTGACAGTTGTTTAGAGGTAAGTCTGTTTGATTTTGAACTTTTTGAATAAGTTGGATTAAGACTTAGTTTGAATAGTAGCAACTTTTATATACATTAATATATCTTATTGCATAGGACCTAATGAGGCTTAAGAAAACATTTTGTTTCTAAATATTTTGGACCCTCAGTTCTTTCTCTACATTCATTTTGCTTATAACTCTGTGTCACTTAACAGCTATGAAGATCCTTGCCTTTTTTTCTCAAAGCACATATATCAGCTCATGTATTCACTTAAGAGCACCTATTGTGTGTTAGGCATTAGAAGACAAAGTCAGAAATGATTAAGATGTGGGTTATGGAGTCAGTCAGGCATGGCTTTTTTCTTCTTCTTTTTTTTTTGAGACGGAGTCTTACTCTGTTGCCCAGGCTGGAGTGCAGTGGCGCAATCTCGGCTTACTGCAACCTCTGCCTCCCGGGTTCAAGTGATTCTCCTGCCTCATCCTCCCAAGTAGCTGGGATTACAGGCATGTGCCACCATGCCCAGATAATTTTTGTATTTTTAGTAGAGACAGGGTTTCACCATGTTGGCCAGGCTGGTCTCAAACTCCTGATCTCAGGTGATCCACCCGCCTTGGCCTCCCAAAGTGCTAGGATTACAGGTGTGAGCCACCGTGAAGTAGTTATAGAGAGTTATATAACACAATGTAAGGCATTTAGTGTAGTGCCTGGCACATTTTAAGCACCTAACAGAGACGAGTTATTTTAATTAAAAGATCCATACCCTCAAGAAGCTTAATAAGTGATTCAGGATAGGAGGGGGTCAGTTTCAATTTAGGTTCATCAGGACTTGTGTATGGAGAATGGGTTCTATTGGAACAGGTCATTTATCTTTAGGAGGTCATCCAGGTATGCTAACTGATAAAGCTAGAAAGGTGGCAGTTTTACCTTCCTCAAATAGAGCAATTATGACTCTCTTCCCTGTTGTATAGTTTGAAAAGTTTTCCAAATGAAACTTTAAGAATTTTACATATTAAGCCAGGCACCTAGACTAGCTATGCTCAGAGCAAGTAGAACTAAAATGAGATCCTAATTTTGTAGGGTAGATGGAATAAGGGATAGGAATATATTTAGAAGGGATCATACAACAGAGGAAAAAACTTATCAAAAGAAAAGATGGGTCTTCACTCTGGGTTTTTTTTTGTTCTCTGTCACCCATGCTGGAGTGCAGTGATGCAATCAAAGCTCACTGCAGCCTCAACCTCCTGGGCTCGGGTGATCCTCCTACCTCAGCCTCCTAAGTAGCTGGGACTACAGGCCCTTGCCACCATACCCAGCTGATTTTTAAATTTTTTGTAGAGATGGGTTTTTGACATGTTGCCCAGGCTGGTCTCTTAACTCCTGGGCTCAAGCTGTCCACCCGCCTTGGCCTCACAAAGTGCTGGTATTATAGTTAAGAGCCTCTCTGCCCAGCCTCGATCTCTTTTTGACCTGTGAGGCAGGTAAAATCTGAGTATTGGCCATTAAAAGATGTTACATAAACAAAAGATAATTTTAAAATGTTTGTTCTAGGGGAGAGACCTGATGCATAAAGTCTCTTAGGTTAAAAGACCTGTTGTAGGTAAGAACCTAGGTTGGGTATGGTGGTTCATGCCTGTAATTCCAGCACTTAGGGAGGCCACGGCGGCGGGCAGATCGCTTAATTCCAGGAGTTTGAAACCAGCCTGGGCAACATGGTGAAACCCTGTCTCTAAAAAAAAAAAAAAATTAGTCTGGTGTGGTGGCACATACCTGTAGTCCCAGCTACTTGGAGGCTGAGGTGGGAGGAGCACTTGAGCCTGGGGGGTTGAGGCAGCAGTGAGCTGTGATCAGGCCACTGCACTCCAGCCTGGGCCACAGAGTGAGACCTTGTCTTAAAAAAACAAAAAACAAAAACTTAAGAGTTTATAACTTAAGAGTTATTAAGTTATTAATGTTCCTAAAAAACTTATAATTCAAGTAAAAAGTGTATACAAATGTTTCTTCAAAATGATTTTATCTTAAAAGTGTTAGTTCAGGCCCATTCGGGAGATTGAAACCACAGTGGGGAGCATATTGGAAACTAGAGAAATGTCTTTCTCCTCCATGTCCATTCAGTGCCCTCTGCTGACAAAACTTAGTGCCCACTGGCAGAGGAGAGCTATTTGCATGTTTCAGCTCCATTTTCACAGAGCAGTGAAGGATGGGTTTGGAGTTGATAGGCAATGAATTGAAATCTGGCATATAAGCTTAATACTTTGATATAAATACTAGCTTTATACTTTTTTGTAGGCTCTTGAACTAGACCCATCAAATACCAAAGCATTGTACCGCAGAGCTCAAGGATGGCAAGGATTAAAAGAATATGATCAAGCATTGGTAAATTTTGTTCCAAATGTTTAATTTTTTAAAATAGACAACTACCTTTATAAATCATACACCTAACTTAAATGTTTTTTTCCAATTAAAGGCTGATCTTAAGAAAGCTCAGGGGATAGCACCAGAAGATAAAGGTAAGTTGGCAGCTTTTGTAGTGAAAGTTAATTTTGTTATTTAAATACTTATCCTCAGGAACCATTGTTCACTTTGCCAGATTTTAGATGTTTGTTCAACAGACACTACAGAATGCCTGCTGTTGGGCCAGGCATTATCATATAGCAATGAACAAGACAGTCAAAGTCCCTGCCCTCAAAGAGCTTACATTCTACTCCCATTCAAGAATATAGTAGTTTTTCACGTTATTTATTCTTCAAGTTATCATCTCTGTAGTTTTTTATATGTCTAAATACTGTTTGTCTTATGGTATCCTTTGAGACTGTGTTCCTATTCTGGTTAGTCTAGTCGAGAGCTCAGCATTGTAAGACACAGTATTCATGGTAAATTTAACATTTGGGACCATTCAAGTTGAATGTGGCTATAACCTTAGTATTGATGTACTGGTTATATGTTTTAGGAAACTATGACAAAAATAAGCTTGTTTTTCAAATAAACCAACTATGAATAGTGACACTAGATCTGGGTATTACAAAATGTCTTTGGTCTCTTATTACTAAAATGAAACAAGGGAAGCAATTACTGTTCTCTAATGTAGAGGCAGAAGGCAAATCTTGATGTACTTGAGTTCTCTCAGTTGACATCCTCTAAAATTACGTTTCATTTCTGTGTTTGTGTGATTGCTCAGATTTTCTGTTACTAGGGCTTAGTTACTTTGTAGAGAAGTTTTTTCAAGGGGTAGTTAACATTAAAATAGTTTGTTAGTCACCATAATTTTTTGGATATTTTGAGAAATAACTCACATTGCATATTTATTTTACAGCTATCCAGGCAGAATTGCTGAAAGTCAAACAAAAGATAAAGGCACAGAAAGATAAAGAGAAGGCAGTATATGCAAAAATGTTTGCTTAGAAAGGATTCAGTTTTGCTTATTGTGTGTTGATTGTATAAATGCAATAAGAAAATGTAAAGGTTTTTGTCTATGAATATGATCCCTAATGTGTTTCTTTTGACACCTTAGTTCCTTACTGTTTACAGTTTAGGAGTACTGATAGGGGTTCATGCTTAATAAACATGTCACAATACAGTAAGTAAAGTGGTTTTGTTTGTTTCTTTGAGATGGAGTCTTGCTCTGTCACCCAGGCTGGAGTGCGGTGGCGCAATCTCGGCTCACTGCATCCTCTGCCTCCCGGGTTCAAGCAATTCTCCTGCCTCAGCTTCCCAAGTAGCTGGGATTACAGGCACGTGCCACCACGCCCAGCTAATTTTTGTATTTTTAGTAGAGATGGGGTTTCACCATATTGGTCACGTCACGTTGGTCTTGAACTCCTGACCTTGTGATCCACCCCGCCTTGGCCTCCCAAAGTGCTGGGATTACAGGTGTGAGCCACCGTGCCCGGCCAAGTAAAATGTTTTTTAAAATGGTTATGTGCATTATTCATAAAAAATAATGGTGTCCAGTCTTTTTAAACTTGTAAAGACACATCTTATTGAATAAAGAGATGAGAGCTTAAGTTTGTATATTGTTTCCTTCGATTCTTTGATGTATCCATGGTGGATGATGCTAGGTTTTCATACTTATAGATAATACACACACACACACACACACACACACACACACACACACAAACTTGTTCAGGGATGGGCATACTTCTTCTGCAAGGGCCAGATCATAAAGTTTTTAGGCTTTGTAGACCATGTAATGTCACACCCACTCACCTGCACAGTTGTAATTCAAAATTAGCCATAGACAATGTGTAACCAATGGGTATGGCTGTGTTTCAATAAAACTTTAGTCTAGAATATATATTCATTTTTATATTTGATTACTTAACTTTGGCAAGTCAAATGTAAAGTCCAGTAGTGAATTTTGCTCTTGGTACTGAATCTCTGAAGAACTGAAGAGGTAGGAAGATGCTGCATTCTTATAAAGGTTATTTAAAAGCAATACCCGTAATTTCTTTATGGGACAATCTTACATATAGTATAAAATTTTTATTTGATAATCATTTTGTGACTATTCTGTTCAGTAATATGCAGAAAGACATTCTGAAATCTGTTAATCTCTAAACATTTTAACGTTAGCTTGCCATACTTGAAAGAAACTGGCTAGCTGCAGTTTACATTCCATTGTAAGCAGGTCCTCCTCCACCTTCAGGTACCACCCAGTTAATATTCTGACTTGGATCTTTAATATCACATGTTTTACAATGTACACAGTTCTGAGCATTTATCTGTAACCGAAATCCATCACCTTGTTCCACAGGTACAAATTCATAAACTCCTGAAAAGTAAAAATAAATAATATTGAAGTGCCTAACTTTAAAAAATTTTTAAATTCAAAAGTAAAAATTAAGGAAAGAGTAGCCACAGAAACCTTAAAGGTTGCTTTCTGAATGCTTACCCATAGAGATTATGAAGACCTTGGTGCATTGCTATTGATGTGAGTGTAAATTACATGTACATAATAAAAGGAGGTACAGCGGTATTCAGCTGAGTTGTCTCACTATCAAGGGTACTCGACACTGAGTGTTTGAGTTCCACACAACCTCGAAGTCCTCCCTTATTCACAGTCATCCTCTCATTCACAGGGGACAAGTTCCAAGATCCCCAGTAGACGCCTGAAACCTCAGGTAGTACTCAACTTACATTGTCAGTCAGAACACGTTTCTGTTCATGTATTTCACCCACAAATGTGATGCCTTTTCCATCTTAAGGAAGCACTTGCCACACTCTGGCCATAACTTCTACAGTTCGAGGTCCAACAGCAAAACGCACAAATTTCTTTTTCCTCTTTCACAGAAGATACAGTCTTACCATAGACCTTAGCAACCTCAGCATAGGATTTTTTTCTCTTTATAGAGAACTTTCTCCTTTCACTTAAAGGAAGCACTTTATGGCATCTCTGAATTGTCAGCATCACTACTCTTGCGTTGTGGGGATATTTCTAAAGGGTTACTGGACACAAGTATGATAATGTGACAGTAAATCTGATAACTTAGATGGCTACCAAGTAACATAACGAATGTTAGGTGTGAATATGCTGGACAAAGGGATAATTCACATTCAGGGTGGGGCAAGCCCGAATGGTACACAATTTAAAACTTAACGTGCACAATTTAAGACTCAAGAATTATTTGTTTCTGGAATTTTCTTATTTTCAGACCGTGGGTGACTGGGGGTAAGAGGAGCCTAACGGTACAGCTAAAAAACCAAATTTAACCTCAGGGAGTTTTCAACCCACTGTAATGACAAAAGCCAAAAGACCAAGTCACAGTGTATCTTCTTTTGTGAATGTACTACTTTTCGAGTATCGGAATACTATTTTGTTCTACCATATCATTTGAGACCTGGTTCCTATTACTGTAATTTCAGTTGAAAGCTCAGCACTGAAAGAATATTCATGGTGAATTTAAAGTTTCAGAGCATTCCTTGGACTGAATGTAATCATAATGTGCTGTTCTAGTACATGCACCCAAATACATACAGATGAGCTGCCATGACAGAAATGACTTTAAATAGTCACATGAACCTGCAAAGAGAGGTATTTCATTTTCAAGAATCTTCATCTTAGTCTGAGTGTAGACAAAGGGCTTTTTTTTTTTTTTTGAGAAATGTTATCTGAACTAGGCTTAACAAAACCAGTAGTTAAAAGTATGTTTCCTAAAGGAAGCTGGATGAAGTCATTTACAATTTCTAAGGAATGGAAGGAGATACAGAAATCATTTTTTAAAAGAACAAAATCACATTCCTAAAATGTTTAAAGCAAATATTTAGGAATAGATGGAAATTATTACCTGCAGGACAGAATCGCTGCTCGGGCCCATCATATATCGACAGATTTCTATTTACAGGTATACTGTCATCCCTTAAGGTTAAGTGTGCCGGCTGGTCATGTTCATGATTAGTACCACTCAGAGCCACAGATGACAAGAGGTCAAAACTGATCTGTCCATCGGGTTTTGGATACTCAATAGGTGTGCAATCCTTGGCTGGCTTGAGCCGTTCAAAGTCAGAACCTTCAACAATTTTGAGGGAAATGCTTAACAAAATATGATTTTGAAGTACTTTTTCTTAAGCCTATTTGTATAAAAACTTCAAAATATTATCACACCAAAGAAATATGACTAGCCCTCAAGTAATAATATACTGTTCTTAGACACTAAATTTATAATTTCTCCAAGTTGAAAACATTAAAACAATCACTTTCTCTAATTAACAGATCCCATTCATGAATTTTTAATGATCATGTCACTCATACTCTTGTTTGAATTACCTTTATGTTTCAGAGTCCACGGCTCCATTCCTCTCAATATCCAGTAAAAGATTCCAGTGTAAATCATCCCTCCATATACACCCAGTACTCCGTGGCAGGACGGTCTTATATTTCTAACAGAATATAGCTCTTTCCATACCCATGAGTTCTTCAAATTGTCCTCATATTCAGTTACATGGAGTCCTTTTATTAAAAACATGAAATGTTAAGTGCGAAACTGCCCAAATGTGTGTAAAATACGCTAAGTATTTTGCTACTTTGATAGCTGATGAGTGAAGTTTTTCTTTTTTCGAGACAAGGTCTTGCTCTGTCACCCAGGTTGGAGTACAGTGGTGTGATCATGGCTCACTGCAACCTCCACCTCCTAGATTCAAGCCATCCTCCCACCTCAGCCTCCTGAGTAGGTGGGACCAGAGGCACACGCCACCACACCCTACTAACTTTTGTGTTTTTGGTAGAAAGAGGGTTTTGCCATGTTGCCCAGGCTGGTCTTGAACTGCTGGGCTCAAGTGATATGCCCGCCTCAGCCTCCCAAAGTGCTGGGATCACAGGCATGAGCCACCGCACCTGGCTGATGAGTGAATCTTAAGTAATTTTTTAAAACATGGTCCACAGTGAAGGCTCTTTCATGTATAAATGTTGGCATCTTCCAAAAAGACAACCATTAGATATAGATATGTTATTAACAGGCAGTAAGGCATTTGATTTCTTACATTGGTAGCATGGAAAATTAGTTTCAAATTTTAGTGAAACCGAGAAAGAAGCTTTAAGATAAAAAGTTCATGCTACCTGTAAGAGTGAAGAAATTTCATAATTTACAACTCAAACTATTTCTACCTGCTATGGGTTGAAATATGTCCCCCCAAAATAGGTTTTGAAGTCCTAACCTCCAGTACCTTAGACTGTGACCTTATTAGTGGCTGTAGATATAATTAGTTAAGAAGAGGTCTACTACAGTACAGTGGGTCTCTAATCCAATATGGCTGGTATCCTTAGAAGAAGGGACAGAACTGGGCACAGTGGCTCTAGCCTGTAATTTCCAGCTACTTGGGAGGCCAAAGTGGGAGGACTGCTTGAGCCAAGGAATTTGAGATTGCAGAGACCAAGGATTGCAGCACTGCACTCCAGCTTGGGCAACAGAGAGAGACCCTGTCTCTAAAAACAAAAACAAACCCACCACTTCATAGAGAAAACTTGGTGCATGCACTTAATAAAGAGGACAAATTGGTTCCCTTACGGCTTTTGGTGGACTCCACATGACTACTTTTTCCAGTCATTGTTTCCTGTTCTGGCTCCACTCCCCTTTTCTTTAGGCTTTAACCCTCAATCTAGTCTTTGGTGATATACTGGCTCCAGTATTATCTATGTGTGGTACTATATACACATGATACAGTTCAAGTATGGCTGGTGGTCCAACAAGGAACGATACTTGACAAGAAAATTAGAAAAAAACTTCTACCCAGCCACTGCACTCCATCTTGGCTATTCCATTCTCCCTGAAGTAGTACCCTTTGCCCTTTCTGTTTTCCACTTCATCTCCCCACGCTAGGCCTCCATTCCTACAAAGATTTGAAGGCATAACCTGGTTACATACCTCTAACTAGAGGAACATTTACTGGGGATTCTAAGAATTAAGACTCATTTATCAAATATCTATGGAGTCGCTACCGTGTGCCAGGTATGTAGGATTCACACTAAGCAATACCTCTAGTCTCGGAGTTTTCATCCAAGTGGCAGAAGACAAAAGTTGATAAACAAGTAAGTAATATAATGTACCAAAAGGTGGAAAATGCGCTAGAAAAGGCCATGCAGGGGGAACTGGGTGTGTGCTGTGTGTTGTGCATTAATTGGTGTGGTCAAGGCAGGGCCACTGTGAGTGCTATTTAAACAAAGGGAAAGAGAACAAAGGAGCCAGCCGTGAGCAAAGACCATGAGGTGGGAGTGCTTGGCATGTTCTGGGAACTGTAAAGAAGCCAGTGTGGCTGGAGTTGGTAAAGGGTCTTTTTAGATTAAAGCTTTACGGAGGTATAAGTGCTGGCTGTTTCTCTCCACCACAGCAGAAGAGTCATAGGCCTATACTTACAAAGCTTGCTAAAGAATAGGTAGCTAATTCTGCCTTTTGTAAAGGTGTTTGTTCTATTGATACTTAGGTATTTGGGAGGTATCTTAATTGTGTGTATTACATGTATGCAATATAAATGCAGTACTGTCATATTTGTAATAGTTTCTAACTAGGTGGGACACCACTGGTTCTTTTCTTTTTTGTGTGTGGGGGATGGAGTTTTGCTCTTGTTGCCCAGGCTGGAGTGCAATGGCACGATCTCAGCTCACTGCAACCTCCACCTCCCAGGTTCAAGTGATTCTTCTGCCTCAGCCTCCCAAGTAGCTGGGATTACAGGCACCCGCCACCACACACAGCTAATTTTTTTGTATTTTTAGTAGAGACGGGGTTTCACCATGTGGGCCAGGCTAGTCTCGAGCTCCTGACTTCAGATGATCCACCCGCCTCAGCCTACCAAAGTGCTGGGATTACAGGCGTGAGCCACCGTGGCTGGCTACCACTGGTACTTTTCTACTTTTTTGATGTGAATAAAACAGAACATTACAGTAAAAAATCACTGACTGTAATTATTGAGAATAAGCCATGTAGTTTTCTTTGCATAGCATGCTTATTAATACTTTCTATAAAGTGACAGATGCAATACAAATCTTTTAATGTCAATTGAAATACACATAACCCAGCAATTTTCTTTTGTATACTTTACACAGGAATTTCTTACCTATTGTCTTTGATTGGAGATTTTCACTAGTTAGTTGATTAAAAATAGATTCTGCTGCTAAAATTCCACTTTTCATTGCTGTGTGAGTACCTTTGATCTTGGGAACATTCATAAAACCAGGACTACAACCAATTAGTAAACCACCAGGAAAGGTGAGTTTTGGTATAGACTGAGGAAACAAAGATTCAGAATACATTTGTTAGTTCATATTAAACAAGAACAACAGAATACTCCAAATCAGTCTTAAAGTATTCTAGAGCTGTAGGGAAAGGCTGAAAAATAAATACATGAAAATGAATTGAGCAAAGGAATAAAACAGAGCAAGGGCAGTTTTCTTCTTCCTGCCCTAAGAGTGAGGATTAAGACTATTACTATTTTTCTGTGAGAGTTTTTCTTTTTCCATCCTCATAACTGATCTACATGGGACAGATTTATGACTGAAGCATCAATATGTTTTAAATAGAATGTTTTATTTACACATATCCATGTCATAGTTAAAATATTCTCTAAACCTGAATGCTGTTATCTAAATTGTGATTTGCTTGCAAATCAAAACCACAATGAGATACCATTTCACCCTAGTTAGAATGGCTATTATCAAAAAGACAAAAAACTTACTGGTGAGGATGTGGGAAAAAGAAAACTCACACATTGTTGGTGGGAATGTAAATTAGTACAACCATTATGGAAAACAGTATAGAGGTTCCTTAAAAAAGCTACAAATAGAACTACCCATATGACCCAGCCATCCCACTATTGGGTATATATCCAAAAGAAAGCAAGTCAGTATGTGGAAGAGATATCTGCACTCTCATATTTATTGCAGCACTATTCACAATAATTGCCAAGATACGGAATCAAACTAAGTGTCCATCAACAGATGAATGGATCAAGGAAACATGGTATATATATACACAATGGAATACTATTCAGCTGGAAGAACAAATGAAATATTGTCATCTGTGACAACATGGATGAGCCTGGAAGACATGTTAAGTCAGTCAAGCACAGAAAGAGAAACACCCTATGTTCTCACTCATATATGGAAACTTAAAAAGTTGATCTTATGGAAGTGGAGAGTAGAACAGTGGCTACTAGAGGATGGGAATGGTAGAAAGGGATGCGGGGCGTGGGGGCGGGATATGGAGATTGGTTAATGTATACAGAAATACAGCTAAATAGGAGGAATAAGTTCTATTGTTCTATAGCACTGTAGAGTGACTATAATAAAGAATAATTTGTTATTTTTTTCAAATAGAAGAAAGATTTTAAATATTACCAACACAAATGACAAAGGTTTGAAGTGATGGGTATACTAATTACCCTGATTTGATCATTAAACATTATACACATGTATGGAAATATCACATTGTATCCTCTCTCCCCCCAAAATTAAGTGGACCTGAAAATTTCAAAGGGCATATAAAAAAAAAAAACCTGTGATTTGCTTTTACATGCATTCGGGGTAATACAAGACTTACAAAGGATACTATACACCCTCTTTATTTTACTTTGACAGCTAGGGATAGAAACCTATGCTCTAATCATGGCACCACTGCAACTAGCTACTACCCTAAACAATAGATTTTGATTAAGGACAAGCTGAATTTCCAAAATAAAATAGATAAAGACAATTCTTTGGATCTTGGTATACATTTCTGATTAAAAAAAACAATGTAATAAGGGTGGGATATTTTTCAGTTTAGACAATAAATGTCCATATGTAGCCCACAATATGGCAACTGAACTATAGATTGTTTGCATGGGAAAATGTACTCTTATAGTTTGAAAAGAAGAGAGCCAAGCAGCGTTGTTCTTTCCACATTCTGTATTTTTTTCTTCTCTGAGGATTTCCTAAAGTAAGCCATGGGGTCTTTGTTGAGAAAATGGTGAGTGGTACATTTGGCTGATGGTATTAAGAGGGACTCAGAGGAGGGAGCTAACAAGAAAACTATTGACACCAACTGCAAAAGAGACATGGTGAGCACTCTGTCGCCACAGCTCTCATCAGTGATACAATTCTGTGAGGGAATAGTGGTGAAAAGCAAAACTAGGGGGCAGAAGGAATGCTGGTAAGAGAGAAGGATCAGGGCCCAGGTCCTTTCACAGTATATGTGGGGAATGAATTTATGACTGTGGTTCTCAGACCAAACTCAGGATTAGGACCACTTAGATAAAAGAGCATTAAATCAGGACCACAGAGCAGACAATGGGGAGGAGGTGCTATCTGGAGTGCTACTAGCTGAAAACAGATAAAGATTAGGGACTTAGATGATGACAATGCTTTTCTCAAATAAGGCTGTGGCTTTGTTGACACCAAGTTCGATTCAAGAACCAGAAGAATGTGAAATTTAATAAAAGGATATAAACTATGAGTGCAAGTTCTTCCAAAATAGGTGCTTAAATCCTAAGAATAAAAATATTACGCCCAAGGAAAATGTATGTTTTTAAGTTCTAGGAGGATCCTACCTTGGGTGGGCTGGGTTACTAGCAGCTACGCACCTTGTTTGGGACATTCATTAAACTAGGGCTACAAGTAATTAGAAACCTACTAGGGGAAGATGATTTTTGGTATAGTCAGCTGAAGAAGGAGAAAAAAGTTAGACAGTATTTGTTAGCTCAAAATAAACAAAACTGAATGTTTCGAATTGTTGCCTCTTCTTTTTCTTTACCTAAATGGGAGCCACTTGGACTGCATCCTTTCCCTCTCACTCTTCCTAAGGAAGGATAAAACAATCATCAATGCCGAATGGCAGCTGAGCAAAGCAACATCAAGAGACGGGCGGCATCACACTTGGGAGAGAATACTGCACTTTCCTCGTGGTTTCTGGTGCTTGCTACACCTTCAGAGAAACTTCTGTAGTATTGAACTAGAGAAATGATCCCTGAAAGTATAGTCTTTGTTGCCTCTTAAGGTCTTTAAGACCTTAACTGGAAATAAGTTTCTGAATCTCTGGCCAATGAAATCAGAAAATTCAGGTGAAAAGTAAGTGTGTGTGTGTGTGTGTGTGTGTGTGTGCGTGTGTGTGTGTGTGGTGGGGGGAGGGGAGAGTCATCTCCTGTCAATTTGCAAATCATTTGACATGTTTGACATGCTTAAGTACACAAGGTAGATGGTTTTCAATAAAAATCTGGGTGTACTATTGAATATACTGAAACCTTTATAAATTAGAGTAGGGTTAGATTGACAGTAACTATTATGGACATTATTTTTAAAAGTTTAATAGGCTTGAATACAGTTATGTAATTCAATACATATTTCTACCAAAGGAATTACTACTCTAGAAACAAAAACAATCTCATGAGAAGTAATCTCATGACAGACTTTGGGGACAGCATTATTTTAAGATTCTAGTGATTATATTTATAATGTAGCTATGGTTTTGAGTTTATGAAATACTATTACAGTAATAAAGTATTTAGAACCTCACTTTTAAAGATAAGGCAATTTCTCCTCCCCAAATTTTCCTATTATCTGTTACTTTTATAATAAGTTTTTAAAAAGAAATCCAATTTCTAAGATAGTCCTAGATTCCTAGAATATTAGAGACAGAGGGATCATCTTTATTTTACAGATGATCTCTTAAGGCCAAAGTTAAAGAACTTGCTCCAAATAATTTGGTACAAGCTTTAGAGCACATTTTTAGATCATCTTACCTGTATGATAACATTTCTACAACAGTATTAACAGCTTTTATGACAATTAGCTACTAGGTCTTATTTCATTGTTTAATACATACTGAATACATTATATTTGAGAAGATTTTGAATGTATACAAAAATAGGACAATTAAGGTAAAAGCTTAACAGAGGTAACCTAAAAGGCATGAATGTTACTAGGTAGTTGGAATGAATGAATTATGTTTGCTGAAAACTAAATTTGCCTTTGAGTTTCCTGGCAGTTAAGGAACAGAGAAATATTATGGATTACAGTTTTTATTTTCTGGTTAAAACAACTAACAAACAAAATGTCCATGAATTTATCTCTAGAGATCAATATATTATTTTTTGCTTTTGTTTTTGAGATGGAGTCTTATTCTGCTGCTCAGGCTGGAGTGCAGTGGCACAATCTTGGCTCACTGCAACCTCCACCTCCTAGGCTCAAGTGATTCTCCTGTCTCAGCCTCCTGAGTAGCTGGGACCACAGGCGCTCGTCACCATGCCTGGCTAATCTTTCCATTTGTTGTAGAGATGGGGTTTCGCCATGTTGCCCAGGCAGACTACCCAACTCGGCCTTCCAAAGTGCTGGGATTACATGTATGAGCCACTGTGCCCAGCCTAATATATTCTTAAAACTAAATTCATGGTGTAATTGAAGTATTGTGTGACACAGTTTTATAAACTCTACATACTTTTCCTATTCCAATATTGTTTTTATTCTTTATCTAAATTTGTTACATTATATGTTCAATTCTGAATTTATAATACAGAAACAAGGAAAATAAAAGTTGGAAGAGTTACCTGAAAGCCACCTTCATTGAGAGCTCTGGCTCCGTATGCAATCCTTTTTCCACCTTCCAAGGTTGGCCGAATGCTAGGATGGTGTTTCCACCTTTGGAACTCTCTAAATGGACTCAGGTATGGATTCTGATAGTCTAGACCAACCTTAAAAATTTACACTTATATTTAATTAGACATTTTTATTTCAAATTAAATCAAGCTAAAATGTAAGCAATGTTTATCAGAAAACATGTAGGTTAAATTTCTTTTACTCAAAAGTATTTGGAGCACTATGTGCAGTAATCCAAATGTAAATTAAAAATTGTATAAAATCTGTTTGGAAAAGAAAAGGTAAAGAAAAGGATAGCATGTGTTTATTATCATCAAAATTATGAGAATTTAGAACATATTAAGAAATCCTTGTGCTCTGGAACTCAAAGTCCAAATTAGAAAAACAATCTATCATGAGATTAGAAAATAAAAATGAACAACAACAAAAAAAACAAATTAGAACAATATCTGTAGGTAAGCATCTCAGATTATGTTTCTATGAAAGGAGCTGTAATGATTTATTATACATTAATCAATACCAATTTGAAAGAAACTAATAATCTATACTACAGTAC
The DNA here is from genome assembly GCF_000001405.40 of Homo sapiens. Classification (NCBI taxonomy): domain Eukaryota; kingdom Metazoa; phylum Chordata; class Mammalia; order Primates; family Hominidae; genus Homo; species Homo sapiens. The sequence goes on along the minus strand of NC_000004.12, from coordinate 158,698,525 downwards.
AACTGGGGCAAAAATAAAGAAAAAGGATGTAAACTACACTCAGAAAAAAAGAGGAAAAGAAATATAGAAGGTTATATTTTATAATGCATTACCAAAGTGTTAAAATTAACTGCATCTTTTTCCTTTGATACAATTAAGTCACAGGAATAAATATCCAAAGGTGATGGGATGAACATTGGACTGGGGGGTCAAAAAACACCAGTAACACATAAATTTAACAATGTATCATATGGAGGTCTAATCATGACACTAAACTATAAAGCTGCCACCAGTTGCAAGGTACAGAAACTAATTTTTCCATTCTTTGTAATGTTCAACATGTAATTTACTGCAAAGATGTGTAGGAGGCCAAAAAAGGAGAAACTGCTGGTATTTTTAAAAAGTTCTAAGTTCAAATCTAGTGCTGATTTCATTTTCAGTGGTAGCATGCCACAGTGGAAATGGGATTTGAGGTCAGACAAGGTCAGGCATTTCTGCCTGTTATTTAATGGGTGTATATGGGTAAGTTGTTTAACTTATTTGGACTTCAGTTTTCTCATCTGTAAAATAAAGATATACCTATTTCACAGTTATTATGAAACTTACTTAGAAATCTCAGAAAAGCATCCAGCACAGTGCCTGGAGTGTAGCAGCTACTATTGCTATTGCTACGTGTGTTTAGTAGACTTAATGACACAGCAGCCATAAGCACTTTACATATTGATAAAATTAGAAAGCTTTAAATAAAAAGCATTTTACAGTCTTCAGATTCAAAACCCTTATTTTATAACACTGATGGTAATATAACTCTAGCAGCAGAATTTTCCCTAATGGGAATATAACTTACCACAAGACCAAGAGCTACTAGGGGTTCACCTTCATTCAAATGATAGAGGAAAGATCCTCCATAGGTATGTCTGTCCAAGGGCCAACCAACAGTGTGATCTACTCTCCCAGGTTTCCAGTTCTTTTCATCAATAACCCATAACTAAAAAAAAAAAAAGCAAACAAAAAAGTCCTGCAGTATTTTAAAAATGTTTTTATGTCACCACAATGCATAAAACTTGCCAGGTTTAATGTCTTATTTATGAAAATTACAAGTGAAAAACTGTGATATAAGAATACAACAAAATTACTTCAAATATCAAAGAAGGCTGGGCACGGTGGCTCACGCCTGCAATCCTAGCACTTTGGGAGGCTGAGGTGGGCAGATCACTTGAGGTCAGGAGTTCGAGACCATCCTGGCCAACATGGTAAAACCCTGTCTCTACTAAAACTACAAAAATTAGCTAGGCATGGTGGCGGATGCCTGTAATCCCAGCTACTCAGGAGGCTGAGGCGTGAGAATTGCTTGAACCCGGGAGGCAGAAGTTGCGGTGAGCCAAGATCATGCCACTGCACTCCAGCCTGGGTGAGAGAGCATGACTCAGTCTCAAAAAAAAAATAAAAAAATAATAAAAAAGAATACAGGTGGATCACCTTGAATAACAAAGAAAATTATATCAAACTGCAGCATGAGTCAGATTAAAGAAACAGGTCAGAAAACTTATGAACTCTTTAAGACATTAAATAGATTCTCAAATTGGTAAAGACTTTTATACAATTATAGGAAATTAGGAAATCCTACTGAAAGGCTGAGGGAAAGTTCTGCGGTACTGGTAGTGTTCTCTATCTTCATCTGGGTGACAGCCACATGGATATGTTCACCATGTAAAAATTAATGTAGCTGTACACTTAAGGTCTCTTCATAATGGACATGTATTCTCCAACAAAGCAATTTATTCCCTCTACCCTGCCCCCCACAATTGAAATAAATTGTTCACCCTCTTTTCAGACTGGTAAATTTTAAATTCTGAACAATTTCTATCTGAAATTTTATCTAAGTCAGATAATATTATGTGCAATCAGACATATGCAATCTATCAAAACAAACCCTTATTCACAATATAATGAATCTAGTTTTATATAGACTTTGAACCTTTCTGAGATTTAACCTAAAATAAATTTTTTGTTGTTAATTACTATATTCTTTTTTTTTTTAGAGATAGGATCTCACTCTGTCACCCAGGGTAGGGTGCAGTGGTATGATCACAGGTCACTGCAGTCTTGATCTCTTGGAGTGAAGTGGTTCTCCTGCTTCAGCCTCCAGAGTAGCTGGGACTACAGGTGTGCACCACCACACCTGGCTAATTTTTAAATTTTCAGTAGAGATGAGGTCTCACTACATTGCCCAGGCAGGTCTTGAACTCCTGGACCCAAGCAATCATCTTGCCTTGGCCTCTCAAAATGCTGGGGTTATGGGTGTGGGCCACCATTGCTAGCTCCACAAAAATATTTAAGCAAAAGGGTTATAATGAAAATTTTACATTTACATTCTAATAAGCCTAGGATTTGGGAAAATAAGACTAGAGAATGGATAAATTGAGAAAATGTACAATGCATAACCTAATTAAATTTTAGGTTGCAGATTAATATACTATGGCTGAGTGTGTCTTTCATAAAGAAAATTAACTTCACATTACAATTTTGAAAAAAATAATTCTTCGTAGGATGTGGTCATCCTACAAACAGCATATGGATAACAAGAACAATCCTAACAGGGCAGATGGCATTACAATGAAAATAAAAAAGATTCAAATATTCACAAGTTCAAGATTCACTTCAAGCAACACTTGATACGACAATTCCAACATGTAAAACTAACTTAACCAGTAATATAATTTGATCAGTAATATCTTCTAGCCCCTTGAAAAATATCGCAAATAAGTTTTAGTCATAATGAACATTTCAAGACAATGAAAAAATATAACTAAAATTAAATCAGTATTATAAACTACCTGATAATACAAATAAATTTAAATTCCATCTTTCAAAATTAAAATTACAGAAACAAACCAGGATACCTCCTTCAGTCCAATCCCGTAGGTTTGAGGTTCACAATTTGCTCTCAAATCAAACTTCTTATATAGTTGCTTGGCTAGATGTCCATGGCAACCTTCTGCAAAAATTGTGACTTTAGCATGTAGTTCCAGTCCTCTCTCAAATGTTGCCTGAAAAGCAAAAACATGTTAAATGGCAACATTTGACAATTTAAAATACATTCACATTCTGGTCAGATTTAAATTGAACTATGATTCAGATGTAGAAGAGACAGTGCAAATGTATAATATTATAAAGAATCACATAGTAAATATATAATATATAGAATCATATAATCTTACTCTTCTCACTTAAAATACCTCATGGAAATCTTTTCAAGTCACTGTATAGCTCAAATCTTTCTCTTTAATGACTAGGTAGTAGTCCATGTAGAGAGACAGGATAGATTATCCAGCTCCTCTGCCAATGGATAATAGCCATTCACTGTTTCCAGCTTACGCATGAACATAAACAATGTTATAAGATACAAACACTCTTGAATATATATTTAATATAGAGCTGACCCTTGAACAAGATGGGTTTCAACTGTGTGGGTTCACATATACAAGGACTTATTTTTAACCAAATGAGGATTGAAAATACAATATTCACCAGATGTGAAACCCGAATATATGGAAGACCGATTTTTCATATATGTGAGTTCTGCAGGGCTAACTTTGGGACTTGAGTATGCATGAATTTTGGTATACTTGGAGGGTCATGGAGCCAGTCTACCGTGCACACCAAGGGACACCTGTATACACGTACAATATTGGTGCTTTTATTCCTATAAGATAGATTCCCAGGAGTGGCCCTCTTAGATCAAAGGGTACATCTATTTTTTTAAAATTGATATTATCATATTACTTTCCAAAAAGCCTGAAGCAATGCATATATTTCCATCAGTAGTATATAAGACCCTTTCCCTATAGTACAGTTAGTGACAGATATAACTGTTCCTTTTACATTTTTGCTAGTGTATCAAGTGTGATAACTATTTTATTTTTTAATTTTTTAATTTTTTTTTTTTTTTGAGACAGAGTTGTGCTCTTGTTGCCCAGGCTGGAGTGCAATGGCACAATCTCGGCTCACTGCAACCTCCGCCTCCAGGGTTCAAGCTATGCTCCTGCCTCAGCCTCCTGAGTAGCTGGGATTACAGGCACCCGCCACCAAGCCCAGCTAACTTTTTGTATTTTTAGTAGAGACAGGGTTTCACCATGTTGGCCAGGCTGGTCTCGAACTCCTGACCTCAGATGATCCACCCACCTTGGCCTCCCAAAGTGCTGGGATTACAAGTGTGAGCCATGGTGCCTGGCCCTCAATACTATTTTAATTTGCATTTCCCTGATTACTATTTTGAGCATCTTTTCTTTTTGATTCAAGAAATAGTGAATGAATACCTACAATGTGCCAGGTTCTGTGCTAGGCATTGGGAATACATGGATGAATTGAAAAAAATATACGTTCCTTTTCTTTGGACTAGCCATAGACAGACAGACATTAAATAAATACATGAGTATATAATTACAAATTGTTTAAGTGCTATGAAAGAGAGCAGAGGGTATTACAAGGGAGAATAATAGAAGCCAGCTATTCTAGATTGAGTGATCAGGAAAGTCCTCTTTGAAGAAATGACATTTAACCTCTGGACTCTGAAAAAAACATATTTAAGTATCTTTACTTATGATTAGTGGTCATTGGAGTTGTTCTTCTACGAATTGTTAATTTTTTAGACTCTACCCATTTTTCCAATGTGTTGTCTTTTTTCTTGTCGATGTTTAAGTGCACCTTGATATTACAGACAGTCAAACATTTACAGACTTTATAGTATACTTTGGTATAAAGAAGTGTTTAACTTTTATATATTAAGTTAAAAAAGGTTTGTCTGTTTTTTCACAGGTTTTTAGTATCTTGTTGCGGTAGGGTGGCTTACCCTACACCAAAATTGTTAACTGTCATCTCTTAGATTTCTGATTTGTATTGTTTTAGATCTTTAAATCACCAGAAAGAAACAACCAGCAAACCGGGGTCCAACTCTATTTGCTTCCAGATGGATATAGTTTCCCCAGCACCACTTATAAAACAATTCAATCTGTATGAACTAAAATATTCATGAACATATTTCTGTTTCTTCTTAGAGGTAACATGCCCTTTAGTGTTCAAGGGACAGGCCGTGGAGCCACACAGCCTGTATTCAAATCCCAGCCCTACTACTTACCAGGTGTCTGACCCCAGCCAAGTTACTTAACCTCTGTAACTTAAAAATGTCCAAATCAGAATTCTTATGATAAGATGCATATTGGAGATAGGAACCAAGAGAAGGCTGTAAGAGAGCCAAGTCAAAAAAGTGTTTCAAGAAGGAAAACATAATCCAACTGTGTCAAGTGCTACCCACTAGAAGGTCAAGTAAGGGAAAACAGAGACCTGTCCACCAGATTGGCAAAATGGAGGTATTTGTGACTCTAACAAGAGCTGTTTCAGTGAAATCGCAGGGAGAAAGCTTAGCTACAGTGGGTTAAATAGAGAATGGAACAACACCTTAAACAGAATCTTTGATTTTCCCCACTCTAATCTTGTGGTAGTACTATTTTTAAAAACTTAGATTTTGGGGCTCAAATTACTAAGACTCCATTGTACTCTTCTATGCTATTAGATCTGTATAAATACAACATACAAAATGTAAACGTTTTTACAAATGCAAAGCATAAAGTTAAAAACCATATATATATATATATATGTTTTTTTTTTTTTAATCTTTTTTTTTTTTTTAGATGGAGTCTCACTCTGTCGTCCAGGCTGGAGTGCAGTGGTGCGATCGTGGCTCACTGCAACCTCTGCCACCTGAAATAAGCCCATATTTGAACAAATGAGAACACACAAAAATGAAATATCAGAATGGTAGAATTTGTGTGCTTCAATTTTGTTATAATATAAAATATAAAAATATTTAGACTAAAATATAATTTATAATTAGTCATAATATAGAAAAGAACCGTAATATATGAAAAACCATATTCTTTTACTGAGAGGCAGTATGAGATAACAGTTCTTTACAAACCTGGCTATGCATCGGAATCCCTGGAGGCTTGTTAAAAAACAGCTTCTTAGGCCTTACTGCAGGACAGGCTGAGCCCCAAGATGTCACATGATTCTGATGGGGTCAGTTAAACCACTAGGAGTCCCAAACAGGATTTGCCATTTGCTTTTTTTTTTTTTTTTTTTTTTTTTGAGACGGTGTCTCGCTCTGTAGCCCAGGCTGGAGTGCAGTGGTGTGATCTCGGCTCACTGCAAGCTCCGCCTCCTGGGTTCACGCCATTCTCCTGCCTCAGCCTCCCGAACAGCTGGGATTACAGGCGTGCGCCACTACGCCCGGCTAATTTTTTTGTATTTTTTTTTTCAGTAGGGACAGGGTTTCACCGTGTTAGCCAGGATGGTCTCTATCTCCTGACCTCGTGATCTGCCTGCCTCAGCCTCCCAAAGTGCTGGGATTACAGGCGTGAGCCACTGCGACGGGCCGCTATTTGCTTTTAAAGCAGGAAATGTGAGAAGGAGAAAATCTGCTGGAAGAGACTGTAGATTCCTAATTCTATTCCAAGAGTGGCAGAGAGGAGGATAAACTATCAGTTGACACATATTTACTGATACCTAATAGGTACCTGGCATTATGCCAGGCACTAGAATAACCCCAGGATCTCCATCCTTAGGGAGCTTATAATCTAGTTGGGAAATTGGATAATAAATAAACCTGAATAGGCAGGTTAGTTGATTGAGATGTTAATTTGTGTTTTGTTCATATTATAGGACAGCAAGCTATTTTTTTCCTTATCTTTTCCAAAGAGTGAGAATTCTATGTTCTAACGGTTTTGCTTTCAGATTCAAAAATACAAGATGTGAAAACCTGAAAATTATCCAGGTTTATATTTTGAATGGGAGGTGGAGAATCAGTTTTATATCTACCAAAAGATGTTAAAATCATGTCAAAGTGCTTAAGAATACTGTGATAAAGGCCAGGCACGGTGGCTCACGCCTGTAATCCCAGCAATTTGGGAGGCCGAGGTGGGTGGATTACTAGGACAGGAGTTCAAGACCAGCGTGGCCAACATGGCAAAACCCCATCTCTAATAAAAATACAAAAAGTAGCCAGGTATGGTGGCGCACGCCTGTAATCCCAGCTACTCGGGAGGCTGAGGCGGGATAACTACTTGAACCTGGAAAGCAGAGGTTGCAGTGAGCCAAGATTGCACCACTGCACTCCAGCCTGGGCAACAGAATGAAACTCCGTCTCAAAACAAACAAACAAACAAACAAACATGTCAAAGTATATCACTATTTACCTACTGATAGTAATGCAAAATGATTCTTGTCCAAAGAAATGAAAATTGTGGAGAAATAAAAACTGTGGAAACTATTTTCATTTGATGTATTTGGTTAATGCAGTGGATTGATGGCCTATAAATGTGTATATGTTTGAATTCTCCTTGCACTGGTTGTAACATCTTACTGATTCTCTCCTTAACTAAATGAAATAAAATCTTTGACATGTGTTTGACTTATGTTTGTATATTTGTATGTTATTATCTTTTAAAAAATTTTTAAACATATTATAACTACTTGCCTAAACCATTGTTAGCTCAAAGTTGCTTCTATATTTTTTAATGAAAGAAAAATTCCATATTAATTACTGTATTCTAACACCCACATTTTTTGACATTTTAAAAATTTTTATTTATTTATTTATTTATTTATTTTGAGACCAGGTTATAAGACTGGCTAATTTTGTATTTTTGATAGAGACAGGGTCTCACCATGTTGCTCAGGAAGTTCTCAAACTCCTGGGTTCAAGTGATCTATCTGCCTTGGCATCCCAACACCCATATAATTAATGTACAGTTTGTAGCAAGACCTTTATTAAGTCAAAGTTGGTTCTTTCTTCTTCTTTTTTTTTAAGACAGGGTTTTGCTCTGTCACTCACCCAAGCTGAAATGAAGTGGCGTGATTATGACTCACTGCAGCCTCGAACTCCTGGGCTCAAGTGATCCTCCTGTTTCAGCCTCCAAAGTAGCTAGGACTACAGGTGTATACCACGAAGCCCAGCTAATTTTGTTTTCTTTTTTTGGAGAGATGGGGTTTCACTTTGATGCCCACACAGTTCTTTCTGTTGTTTGTCGCTTTATTAAGCACGTAACTATTAAAAAGGTTTACCTTTGGTGCACCATCCTTTTGTATCCCTACATCGTTAGTGGCAATTCCTTTTACACTACCATCATCATGAAAAAGGACCTAAAAATGATAAAAAACAAATTTATTAATACCTTAGAATTCATAATAATCTTGAAAAAAACAGTAAACAGCCTTAGGTTTCTTAGAAGGTGAACATCTTCTCTAGATTATAGAAATACAGAGTTTAAAATGTTCAGGTAATAAAGAGACATGTATTAAGGTACTCCCTTCCAGAGTATTAAAGAACAGAGCTCGCACAATGGGAAATGAAAACAATGCCACAACCTTGATGAGAAAGAAAAGGGGGAGACTACTAGAGAGATTACTAGGGAAACCAGTAAGATTAAACAAGAAGTGCCCTTCAGATGTCAAATCGTGTAAAGAATCTGAAATGGAGGCCTGTAACACATGAAGAACATGAAGGTGGAGAGAAACTGTCAGGAAAGCTTACATCTCAAATGAGTGAAGACTTCATTCAATAAACAAAAATAAAACAAAACAGGGAGAAGCTGAAGACAGACCAAGGATGATAAAAGTTTATTTTTGGAGCAAGAAAAAAGGGGAAAATAGGTCAAAAGTGTAATTCTGATGAGGAGAAATAGCAATAGTCTGTAACCCTTGGTTTCTGTTTTCTCTGTGGAGGAAAATGCTCGCTGGATAGTAAAGTACAAAATGTACAATGCAATTACACAGCAGATTGTAAGAAAGCATGGGCATGGAGAAGTACAAGAAAAGATTAGCAGCAATGGATATGAACCCACCCCCCCACAATATATATATATATATATATATATATATATATATATATATATGAAGGTTTTATTTGAGATCCTGAAAACGAACAAATCAACAGCAGAATATGGCTACAGACTAAACTGAAGTTTGGCTCAGTGTACCCTCAAAAAACCCTGGCAAAGAGATCAATAATCTGTTGATGGTAATCATTAAGGACCCGAGAAAAAGAAAAGTGATACAAGTGACTATAAGTGTTCATGTATGTATTCCAAAAGTGAAAATCATGGATTCTACAAACCACCTACCTGTGACTTTGACACCGATTCCAGTCAACAATGTTTAACAAGGAGAAATGCAAAATCCCACACTTGGGTCCAAAAACCCCAAATGCATGTATATGGGTTAGGAAAACAGAAATTTATAGCAGCAAGTATAATACAGGGACCTACGTGTTTTATTTGACTTACAAACTGTAAGGGTAAAAACAAATAAAAAAAACTGAATTTTCCTTGCTGCCAATAACTTTTCTTTCAGCATTTCCTTTAGCAAACTTCCAACTGTAAATCCTTTATTTGTCTCTCTGAGATACATGGCAGTCTTTTTAAACTGCATTCCAGGAATGTCTTTTTTAGGGCTTTGGAGCCATTGCTTTGAAATGGAACACCAAGAAGGATGCCTCCTGTCTTCCTGTGTCTATGGGAATTTGGGTAGGTGTTTGGCTCTAAGTTGTAACTTCCTGCTTGTCAAAAAACAAAACAAACAAAAAAACCAACAACAAAAAAACGAGATATTTTATTTTTCCTTAGAGTAAAAACAGTTAACATGTATGTAATGAATAGATTGTATCTGTAAAAACAGTTAACATGTATGTAATGAATGGATTGTATCTACCTGGCTATTTAAAAGGGTGAGATTTCTGTCTTGGCCTGTGATATGCATCAGTCTTGGTTTAAGCCTAATTCAAGAATAAAACTGTTTCGTTCTTTTTTTTTGTTTTTTTGAGATGGACTCTTGCTCTGTCACCCAGGCTGGAGTGCAGTGGCGTGATCTCGACTTACTGCAAGCTCTGCCTCCCGGGTTCACGACATTCTCCTGCCTCAGCCTCCCAAGTAGCTGGGACTACAGGTGCCCACCACCACGCCCAGCTAATCTTTTGTACTTTTAGTAGAGACAGGGTTTCCCCATGGTCTCGATCTCCTGACCTCGTGATCCGCCCACCTCAGCCTTCCAAAGTGCTGGGATTACAGGTGTGAGCCACTGTGCCCTTTTTTTTTTTTTTTTTGAGACAGAGTCTCACTCTGTTGCCAGGCTGGAGTGCAGTTGCACCATCTCGGCTCACTGCAACCTCTGCCTCCCGGGTTCAAGTGATTCTCCTGCCTCAGCCTCCTGAGTAGATGGGACTACAGGCGCCTGCCACCACACCCAGCTAATTTTTGTATTTTTAGTAGAGAGGGGGTTTCACCATGTTGGCCAGGATGGTCTCGATCTCTTGACCTCGTGATCCGCCCACCTGGGCCTCCCAAAGTGCTGGGATAACAGGCATGAGTCACTGCACCTGGCCTGTTTCATTCTTTTTTATAATTTATGAAGAGAATTTTTCTGGGTCCTCAGGCGATTTTATTTTTTATTTTTTGAGATGGAATCTCGCTCTGTCACCCAGGCTGGAGTGCAGTGGCATGATCTCGGCCCACTGCAACCTCTGCCTTCTGGGTTCAAGCAATTTTCCTGCTTCAGCCTCCCAAGTAGCTAGGATTACAGGCACGTGCCGCCATGCCCGGCTAATTTTTCGTATTTTTAGTAGAGACGGGGTTTCACCATGTTATCCAGGATGGTCTTGATCTCCTGACCTCGTGACCTGCCTGCCTTGGCCTCCCAAAGTGCTGGGATTACAGGCATGAGCCACTGCGCCCGGCCAAGATTTTATTTTTAATAATTTCCCCAGTAATGCATAATAAGAATCAATAGTGTGATGTAGTTGCCAAAAAAGTAATTACTTTGAGGGAATTAATGGAAGACCAGTTTCTAGAATGGAGAAGATAACAGTTCTACACTAGACATGAAGTGGTTTATTCATTCTGGGTGCCACTTTGTAAAGGGGGTAAGAAGAGGTTCCATTCAGAAGTGGGCAGCAAGAATACTGAAAGAACTCAAAACTCAAATTATGTACCGTCATGGCTGAAAGCACTGAGAATATTTAAGCTAGTGCTGGGGCTCTTAAGATAATACCCTAAAAAGTATGTCCCTGGCATGCTGATGTTGAGGCTCAGAAACCGATATCCCAAAATATGGTGCTTTGACATGCTGAACTGAAGAAGCTTCAATGTCTCTCTGACCTTCCCTGGCCAACTGTCCCTGTCTCTTAATCGTCTGTCTCTCCCAAAGCACAGGATGAAGTTGTTCTCTGAAGTTCCCTTATCTTCCTAAAATACGGGCCTACCAAAGAAGCAAACAATTACTTCTGGTCCCTTTCCTGAGTTTTCATGAACTGAACTCATATTGCAGGAAGAATGACTGAAGTCTGTCAATAAACTTGGACAGGCTTCTGTCAGAAACCATTGTTTCCTCTGCAGGCTCAAGAGACTTTGTCCCAGGTTGCTGTATGTTCTTCAAGCCCACTGAATTCCCCTAAAAATCACCTACTATCCCCCTAAAGTCATCCATACTTCTCCATCTCCATTTTCCCTACCAAGAAAGGCATATAACTGTACCCCATTGTGTGGCAGGGTCATCACTCTGTAATATTCCCTTCATGCACGCTGATAAACCTGTATGCCTTTTCTCCTGCTAACCTGCCTCTTGTGAGCCAATTTTTCTATGAACCTTCAGAGGGTGAGGGGGAAGTCTTACCTTGGCACTCAGCCCCTATGCTGAGTACCTGGAACTGAAGAAAGACTGGAAGGCCTCAGAAACAAGGTCTTTCTTACCTTCTCCCATCCCTCTTTCTCCCCTAAAGCAAGTCATAGAAACCAGGATTCCTCTTCCTCAAGGTTGAGTCATAGAAACCTGAAATCCTCTCCCTTAATACAGGCCATAAAACCTAGAAAGGTTATTTTCTTACTTCTCCCTTTCCCCTTGAAAACTCTCACTCCAGAGGAGTTCTGCTCCAGCCATACCTCGGAGGAAGAAATGCTACACAAAAAGGCCAAAGAGAATGTGAACAGACAGGCCTTGCTTAGCTTCCTCTCTCAGTCTACTACCGTTAGATCATACCCTTCTGTCTAATCACATTTCAACATGGCTGTCCATTCTTATTGTACCTAAGCATAAAAATGGTTTCCCCTGGGTCTTTGGGGCCTTTATTTCTGAAGGATTTCATATCATGTAAAACTTTGATTAAACAAATGCGGTATGTTTTTCTTGTTACCCTGTCTTTTGTTATAGGAGTGTCAGCTATGACCCTTATGATGGGTGAGGAAGGGTATCACACCTTTCTGCTATTGGGGCTCAGAAAATGATAGGCTAAAATATGGCACTCTGGCATGCTAAACCAAAGCAGCAGCTTCAAGGTCTCTCTGACCTTCCCCTCCTCCTGTCTTTCAATCCTATCTCTTCTAAAGCACTGGATGCGGCTCTTCTCTGATATTCCATTCTCTACCTTAAGACTGGACCTGCCAAAGAGAACACAATGGTCTTCCATCCCATTCCTGAAATCTTATTGTTAATATCTATTGCAGAAAAGAAAACAGAAAAAAGCAACTACACCTAGACAAACACTTTTTCATAAGATCATGCCTGCCTCTCAGGCTCATTCAAATTCCAAAGAGAATCATTTACAAGTTAATTTCTGTGTCTTGGGTGCATTCATTTTCCCTAAAAATCATTCACTTCCTTTCAAGATTGCTAAACACCCAATTTCCCCTTCCCTTCTGCTGAAAGGTAGATAAGCATTTGGACCTCACTGGGTTATCGGGTCATCATTCTCTTGTGCTTATGCATGTTAAATAAATCTCTATGCTTCTTCTCCTATTACTCTGTCTATTGTCAGTTCATTTCTGGTGAACCTTCAGAGGGCAGAGACAAACCTTTCCCTTAACTCCTATACCACCCCTATACTGGGAAATAAAAAAAAATTCCAGAGTAAAGATAGGGAGGAAGAGAGAGCAGGGAATAATTATAATTAGAAAGTTGTCCTTGGAAGAGGGCATAGATTTGTTCTGGATAGTATAAAACCATAGGTAAGTTCTGTTCAAAATAAGGAAGAGATTACCAACAATCTACAATTTTTCATCCCTTATGGTGATCAATCATAAGTTGGATAATCACTTGATGGGGGTACAACATGAGGAATTCAAGTACTCTTTGGATTAGATACTTTAAAGATTCCTTCTAATCTTATAATTCTAAAATCCCATGGCTTTTAAAAAATATTTATTTCTTCAACTTTATAAAATTCTCCACTTATTAAAAAAAGAGAGTTCCTATAAATATTAAAACAAAACAAAACTATACAAACCTCAGCAGCTGCATAACCAGGGTATACTTCAACACCAAGGGCTTCTGCTTGTTCGCCCATCCAGCTCACTAAATGTCCCAAGCGTACAATGTAATTGCCATGATTATTCATTGGAAGCCCTATAAATATATGCTTAATTTATAAATCTGACTTTTTATTGATAAGACATTACAAAAACATAAATACTTTAAAATTTCGAATCAATATGTATTTCTACATAAGTGCTACATTGATGGTCACACTTTCAACTTATTTTCTACAATTTTGGTCTAGAGTTCTAATTTATTACATTACAAACAACATTAAAGCACTAAGTTAGAAATTCCTGCTTGGCTTACAAGGCTATCTCAATTCTTCTAGACTGGAAGACAAAAGAACTGAGTTCTAGTCCTGCTTTCCCACCAGCTAGCTGTATAGCTTTGAGTAAGTCCTTCAAATATCTGGGTCTCAGTTCTTGTCTGTAAAAGGAGGAAATTTCGTCAGATGAAATGTAGTTCCTTCCAGCTGTGGAATTCCATAGTTCTATGCATATTCACTATACCTTACCTGGAAGAATTGGCACAGGAATTCTGTATTTCTCTGTTAAAATTCCAAATCTGTCTTCTGTTACAGGAGTGTTAAGTGGAGCCTAGAAATAAAAGAAGAAAAAGAAATGTTTTTAGTTTATATTTGCAAGTGTAAATATAAATACAAAAAAACTATAAAATGTACTCTGATGACAAAAAAAGAACTCCCCCCTAATTTTCTTTTGGCATTTCCTTTATAAAACTTGTCACTGTGAATCCTTTCTCTGTCTGAGATGTACAGAAATCTTTTTTTTTTTTTTTTTTGAGACAGTGTCTCTTTCTGTCACCCAGGCTGGAGTGCAGTGGTGCAATCTCAGCTCACTGTAGCCTCTGCCTCCTGGGTTCAAGTGTTTCTCCTGCCTCAGCCTCCCAAGTGGCTGGGCTTATAGGCACCTGCCACCATGCTGGGCTAATTTTTGTATTTTTAGTAGAGAGGGGGTTTTACCATGTTGGCCAGGCTGGTCTCGAACTCCTGACCTCAAGTCATCCATCCGCCTTGGCCTCCCAAAGTGTTGGGATTACACGCCCGGCCAGCTGGGAATCTTTTAAAAATCTAAATAAACCTCTTGCCAGTTTTGCATCCCAGGAATATATTTCTTGGGAGTCTTGGAAACACCTTTGAAACGTGACCCTCATGTCTTTTTGTCTCTGTGGAGAGGTTAGCCAAGTTGCTTGGCTCTTAAGTTGAAACTTCCTGGTTGGTGAAAGGTAAGAGAAGTTTTATTTTCCTCTTGGATAAAGAGAATTAACATGTTGTTACACTGTACCTGCTGGCTATACATATTAAAAGGCACCAAAGTCTGTGTGGTGGCTCACAGGCCTGTAGTCCCAGCAATTTGGGAGGCCGAAGCTAGTGGTTTTGAGCCCACATGGCAAAAATCCTGTCTGTACTAAAAAAATACAAAAATTAGCTGGGTGTGGTGGTGCACGCCTGTAATCCCAGCTACTAAGGGGGCTGAGGTGGGAGGATTACTTGAGCCCCGGAGGTTGAGGCTGCAGAGAGCCATGATTGTGCCACTGTACTCCAGCCTGGGTGACAGAGTGAGACCCTGTCTCAAAAAAAAGGTGCCAAAGCAATAAAGGGCTTTAACATGAAAAACATTTTCTATTAGAATTGATATTATGTCAGTGTTAATTCAATAATATCCATTTCTGATATAATATCAAAAGGATAAATTCAACTGGGCCTAATTAAAGTATTTCTAGTTTAAGGGAGCTTGATATTTCAGAAAGGAGAGACAGACGAAATTTTTGGAATTCAATTTATTCCATATGGAAAAAATACAGATATTTATATAATTTTTGATCTTTGCAAGTATATTCACAACCACTGAATAATCTAATCTAGGAGGTAGGACAGGTATAATATAACCCATCTTAGAGAAGAAAAAATTGACAATCTAAGATTTTAACCAAATTCATACAAATTTTATTTAAGACAATAAAACTTGGACTTGGTCCTCTGTATATCACACCTGTGGTTTTTCTGCTTAGGTTATGGGAAGCCATATTAATATGTTTCTTCAGAAAATTAGGTTATCCTCTTTGGCTTTAGATATTGCATTGTCCCAGGAATTATTACTTTATTAAGAACAATCATACAAAGACTTAAAGAACAAGTTTAAAAATACCCTCAAAATACAAAATGCCTCCCAAGAAATATTCAAAGGTCTTCTCAAGTTATCTTCTCATATACCCATTACATAAATACATGTAGAAAGCATTACACAAAAATATTTGTTAATATCATAAATTACAATTCTGATATAAATTTTTTTTTAATTTAAAAAGTATATAATTATTCCCTTAGAGTTACATGGGCTGGGCGTGGTGGCTCATGCCTGTAATCCCAGTGCTTTGGGAGGCCAAGGTGGGTGGATCGCCTGAGGTCAGGAGTTCGAGACCAGTCTGGCCAATACAGTGAAACCCTGTCTCTACTAAAAATACAAAAAATTAGCTGGGAGTGTTGGCAGGTGCTTGTAAACCCAGCTACTAGGGAGACTGAGGCAGGAGAATCACTTGAACCTGGGAGGTGGAGGTTGCAGTGAGCCAAGATCGCGCCATTGCACTCCAGCCTGGGCAACAAGAGTGAAACTCCATCTCAAAAAAAGAAAAAAAAAAAAGATAGAGTTACATGAAAAGGGTTTCCTATATTCCAGTAATTTGGGAACAATTACTGAAATACAATTACAAAAGATTAGACTTTGTATAAAAAACAATTTTTCATACCCCCTTCTCTTTCCAGTCTGGGAAGAGTTCTTTAAAAGCACCTGGATCAAGGCAAGCCCCTGAGAGAGTATGAGCTCCTATCTGGGCAGCTTTCTCCACTAGACACACACGGATGTCCTTTTCATGTGCCACAGCCAACTGTTTTAGACGAACAGCTGCAGAGAGCCCTGCAGGGCCTGCACCAACTATTACAACATCTGCTTCTTCTGCAAACCTTTCCATGTTCACTCCTGGGAGAAATAAAAATTCTGGGATTAATATAACCCAATAATCACATGATAAATCACATGACAGTTAAAAAATATCCACTGTGCTTTAGAGTATTATTTATGGAAATTCTCCCTGTGTTTTGCACAATAATTATATTAAGCATATTACTGTATTAGTATGATTATATTCTTAGGTTCTGTTCCAGTACATACTTTATTTCAGTTTCCATAAACTAATTCTTGGCTTTGAGATTTATTATTATACATTTAGCAAATATTTACTTGTGTAAAATACAGTCACAAGTCACTTAATGACAGAAATGCTTTCTGAGAAATGCATCGTTAGGCAATTTTGCCCTTTTGCAAACATCATAGAGTATACTTACACAAACTAATTGAACAGCCTATGATACACCTAGGCAACAGGGTATAGGCTATTGCTCCTAGGCTACAAAGCTATATAGCATGTGACTGACTATACTGAACACTGTAGGCAACTATAATAGTATGTATGTAACTAAACACATCTAAACACAGAAAAAGTACAGCAAAAATACAGTATAAAATATTTAAAAATGGTATATCTGTACAGGGTACTTACCATGAATAGAACTTACAGGACTGGAAGCTGTTCTTGGTGAGTGACTGAGTGAGCAGTGAGAATGTGAAGGACAAGGACATTACACTACTATAGACTTCATAAACACTGTATGCTTAGGTTACACGCAATTTATAAAAAAATTTTTTCGTCAGTAAATTAAACTTAGCTTACAGTAATGTTTTTATTTTATAAGCTTTTAAATGTTTTAAACTTTTTGACTCTCTTGTAATAACACTTAGCTAAAACACAAACACATTGTACAGCTGTACAAAAAATGGTTTTTATATCATTTTTCTATAAGTTTCTTTCTTTTTAAAATTTTTTTTCCTTTTACCTTTTAAACTCTTTTATTAAAAATTAAGACACAAACACACACATTAGTTAGGCCTACACAGGGTCAGGATCATCAATATCTTTCACCTCCACATTTTCTCCCACTGGAAGGTCATCAAAGACAATAACACGCATGGAGCTGTCATCTCCTATGCAAATGGTAGCTTCTTCCAGAATACCTCCTGAAGGACCTGCCTGTGTCTGTTTTACAGTTAACTTTTTAAAAAAATTAAGTAAGAGTACACTCTAAAATAATGATAAAAGTATAATACAGTAAATACATAAACCAGTAACAGTCGTTTATTATCAAGTATCATGTACTGTACATAATTGTATATGGTAGACTTTTAAAGAACTGGCAGTAGAGTATGTTTGTTTACATCAGACTCACCACAAATAATTGAGTAATGTGTTGAGCTACGATGGTCTGGAAGCTATGTTCTAAAAGATGTCACTAGGTGATAGGAATTTTCAGCTCCATTATAATGTCAAGGGATTACCATTATAATTGTCGTGTTGTTGACTGAAGGGTCATTATGCAGCATGTGACTTGGTAAAGCCACAAAATATTATTAGATGTTTTTAAATTATGAAAAATATTAATACTCTCCTCCACAAAATGAAAACAAAGTATCCAGAAAAGTCTCAGGAATTGTACACAAATTATTACTTACCTTCCCATCTCTTGTCCTTATCCCGGGGATAAATAGTATAATGGGTAGTAATTCGAGGCACAGTAGAAGTTGAAGACCATCTTGTAGCACATAGAGGTAGATAATTTTTCTTAATTTTTAAGGCATGAAAGCACTGATATGCTGCACAAAAATTACGAAAATTATTATCTTCCTTAAAATTAGTTTTCCTCAGTAGACTGAAAAAATATAAGTGAATGACTATACTCAATGAGTATAGTGAAATATACTATAATCTTTCCTAGGTGAACACTTTGAATAGCTTTTTCTCATAAAGCAATGTTTTCAAATCTTAAATATTTTAAAACTAATAAGCAAATTTATTCAATTTAGCTCATGTCAGGCTTAACTATGGATTAGTCATGAAAGCTGAACACTTTGAGAGTAATATGGAGTAGTATAATCACCGTGTTAGGTCAATGGCTTTAAGCACAAACTTTGTTTTATGGTCAGGTTCTTAAGGCAGTATCTTCTTCTTTTTCTTCTTCTTTTTTTTTTTTTTTTTGAGACAGAGTCTCACTCTGTCACCCAGGCTGCAGTGCAGTGGTGCAATCTCAGCTCACCACAACCTCTGCCTCCTGGTTTCAAGCGATTCTCACGCCTCAGCCTCCAGAGTATCTGGGACTACAGGTGTGCACCACCACACCCAGCTAATTTTTGGATTTTTGTTTTTTTTTTTTAGTAGAGATGCGGTTTTGCCATGTTGGCCAGGCTGGTCTCGAACTCCTGGCCTCAAGTGATCTGCCTGCCTCAGCCTCTAAAATTGCTGGGATCATAGGCGTGAGCCACTGCACCTGGCCACAGTATCTTCTGATATCCTTAAAAATGTATACATTTTTGAGTCAGCAAAAAGTATTTTATGGAAATGAACAGAAATATGCAAAGATTTATCTGCAAAAATGTTCACTGAACCTTCTCTGTTGTCCTCAAACCTTCAACTCCACCTCTTCTTTCCTTTATCCAGGGCAGGTACCCTAGCATCAAACCTCATAAAGACAGAAGCAATTAGATGGGAATTTTCTCAACTCCTTGGCAGTAACTTCTAATATAATCTGTATTTGTGCCCATACTTTGTTCATTATCTCAGTTTATAGCAGAAGAGATGTCTTTTCTCCCGTTGATTGTACTCAATGAATATAGTGAAACAGACTATATTCTTCTCCACTGGGGTTAATCTTTCTAGCTGGATGAGAAGGCTTATCTCTCCCGTTGTCTAGAGACATTCCTCCATCTGATACCATCCCTTCTGAGCTTCAATTTTGACTCCCTTCTCAGGCTCTGTTCATCTTGATAATCGTCCCTATCATTAAAAAAAGACAAAGAATCCTCCCATGAAACCACTCTTGACAGATATAGAAACTTATATTTGAAGCTATATTCATTAGAAGTCTGTTATAGGAGAAGGGATAGAATAATTAAAAAAAGAATAAAGAGTTCAGAAATAGAATACACATAGGTATATGGTATATAATAAAGATACCATTTCAAATTAGGGAGAAGAAATGGTTACTCATTAAATGGTGCAGAGATAGCTAGAAAGCCATTCAGAAAAAAAGTATACTCTGCTCCCTAGGTCAAAATGAATTATATTTGATCGAAGATTTTATTAGGGTAGGTTCAAAGTATAGAAGACTATGGTTGGCTGGGCACAGTGGCTCATGACTGTAAATCTCAGCTAAGGCGGGAGGACTGCATGAGGCCAGGAGTTCAAGATCCTCCTAGGCAATATAGCAAGACCTCTTCTCTACAGAAATAAAAAATAAAAAGTAAAAAAATTAGCTAGGTGTGGTGGTATGCACCTGCAGTCCCACCTACTCAGGAGGCTGAGGTACGATGATCACTAGAGCCCAGTAATTCGAGGCTACAGTGAGCTAGGACCACGTCACTGTACTCCAACCTGGGCAACAAGCACCTTGTCTCAAAAAAAAAAAAAAAAGATGGTGATATATCCATAAATTCTTCAATTCTCTCCTCCCTTTGAGTGATGTGGGATGAACTTATTGAGTAGCTTCTAACAAGTAGAGAATGGAAAGTGAAAAATGTTAACTTTACAGTAGAGAAATATGGCAGATATCACTTTAAGCAAGTGATCAAGTTTAATGTTACCAGCAATAAGACATATTGATACCATGTATCCCTGATATGATGTGGTGAAAAGGGTTCTTTATCTCTGTGGTATTTATCCCCAAAAATCTTTAACCTCAGTCTAATCATGAGAAATGATCAGACAAACTCAGATTGAGGGACATTCTACAAAATGCTCGACCAGTACATATCAAAACTGTAAAGGTCTTGGGACACAAGAAAAGACAGAGGAACTGTCAAATTGAAGTAGACTATGGAGACCTGCCAACTAAAGGCAACCTTGTGCCCTGGACTGGATCCTGGAACAGAAAAAGAAGATCTGAATAAAATCTGTAGTTTAATTAACTTTATTTCATCAATGTTAATTTCTTAGTTTTGATAATTATACTATGGTTACATAAGACATGAAGCTCCGCAAAGGGCATATGGGAACTCTCAGTACTATTTTTGCAACTTATCTGTAAATCTAAAACTATTTCAAGATAAAAAGTTAAAAAGATTATGGTGATAAAAAAAGTTAACTCAAGAAAGATCAAACCCTATATTTGCTAAAACCATAAAACTCTTTGAAGACATGAGTGTAAATCTTTGTGACCTTGTGTAAACCAAAAACAAAATTCTAAGGCCCCCAACCACTGAATGGACTCTCTTCTTGGCCAGGGGGATTCCAAAGAAACCCAAAAAAGTAGTTCATGCCATGATGGTAAGTAGAGGGTCAGACATGCCTCATTATACCCTCTCCCTTTTGGAGTTTAGACATAACTGACCAGCATTAACATTAATATTGAAATCCTAAGACTGACAGAACAGACTCTTTGTAGCAATAAGATACCAACTCCAACCTGACTCTGGTATAACATCACATGACAACAGGCCCTAGAGGAAATCAATGTATTGTACCCCAAAATATATTTCTTGGACATAATTTTTGGATTGGCCCTGCAAAGCTGTCTCTTGTGAGGAACATTTACATTCTGTGGAGAATTCTCTTCCCTTTCTAGGCCTTTTCCTGATCTAGGAGAGATTTAACTAAGAGTCTGATACCTTTTAAGGCAAGCTTGTCCAACCTGCAGCCTATGGGCCACATGTTGCCCAGGATGCCTTTAAATGTGGCCCAACACAAATTCGTGAACTTTTGAGATGTCCTGCCTTTCCAGGCCAAGCCAATGTAAACCTTACACGTATTGATTAATGTCTTTGCCTGTAACTTTTCTCCCTAAAATGTATAAAATCAAGCTGTAACCCAGCCACCTTGGATACATGTTCTCAGGACCTCCTGAGGCTGTATCGTGGGTCATGGTCCTCACATTTGGCTCAGAATTAATCTCTTCAAATAGTTTATGGAGTTTGGCTTTTTCATCAACACTTGGGTTTAGGCAATGGTTTCTTTGATAGAACAACCAAAAACACAAGCAACGACAAAAAATACAGTTAAACTGCACTTCATCAAAATTAAAACCTTTTGTGCATCAAAGGATACCATCAAGAAAGTGAAAAGATAGCCCGTGGAATGGGAGAAAATATTTTCAAATCATATATCCGATAATGGACTTATATTTAGAATACAGAAAGAACTCTTATATCTAGTAACAAAAGACAAATAATCCAATTAAAAAGTGGGCAAAGGATCTGGATAGACACTTCTTCAAAGATGATATACAAACGGCCAATAAGTACATGAAAAGATGCTCAGCAGCATTAGCCATCAGGGAAATGCAAACCAAAGCCACATGAGGTACTATTACATCCACTAGCATGGCTATAGTCGAGAAGTCAAGCAATAATAAAACCACCTTTGCAAAAATTATAACTGAGAAAATTATTACAGTGAAAGAGATCTGACCTAACTGACTCCATCTTGCTTCTAACCTCCAAGTAGTCCTTGTTCATTCCTGGGAGTAGGCTGAACTAACTTTGGGAGTTTATAGTTTAATTTTGAAACAAAGACAATCACAGCCCTTTCCCAGAACAAACCCCCTTCCTTCCTGGGGACCAGACTGTCTTTGCAGGACTAACAAATTAGCTACAAGATTAGAAATTATGGTTTAAGAGTCATGCAGCTGGAGGTGGCAAGATTCTGAACCTTCCCAAATTGCTCCTGGGGATAACATCACTATTGTAAAATCTAGGATCACTACTTGAGATATTTTGCAGATCCTGCACTTGATGGATCAGCTGGCACCACCCAGATCGATGAACTAGCTCATCTGGTCGTTTGGCTCCCACCCTGGAACTGACTCAGTGCAAGACGACAAACTCATCTCCCTGTGATTTCACCTCTGACCTGACCAATTGGCACTCCCCACTTTCTGACCCCCCTACTCATCAAATTATCCTTAAAATCCCCAGTCTCCAAGTTTTCGGGGAGACTGATTTGAGTAATAAAACTATGGTCTCCTGTACAGCCGCCTCTGTGTGAATTAAACTCTTTCTCTATTCTAATTCTCCTGTTTTGATAAATTGGCTCTGTCTGGGTAGTGGGCAAGGAGAACCTGTTGGGCGGTTTCAATAACAAGAGTTAGCAAGGATGTGGAAAAATTGGAACCTTCATACACTCCTGGGGGAATGCAAAAATGATGCAGTCTCTTTGAAAAACAGTCTGGCAGTTCCTCAAAAGGTTAAACATAGAGTTTTCATGTGACCCATTCCTAAGTCTATCCCTAAGATAATGAAAACATACTTCTACACAAAAACTTGCACATGAATGTTCCTAGCTGACTTTTTTTTTTTTTTTTTGAGACAGGGTCTCACTCTGTCACCAAGGGTGGAATGCAGTGATGTGATCATGGCTCACTGAAGCCTTGACTTTCCAGGCTTAAGTGATCCTCCCACCTCAGCCTCCTGAGTAGCTAGGGCTACAGGTGCATGCCACCATGCCCGGATAATTGTTTCTATTTTTTTGTAGACAAGCAGTCTCACTGGGTTGTGTAAGCTGATCTCGAAATCCTGGGCTCGAGCAATATGCCCGTCTCAGCCTCCCAAAACGCTGGGATTCCAGGTGTAAGCCACCACACCTGACCAACAGCTGAATTATTTATAACAGCCAAAAAGTAGAAACAACCCAAATGTTGATCAATAAATGGTAAGAAGTGATATATCCAAATAATGAAATATTTAGCAATAAGAAGAAATTGAATACTGATATATGCTACCACATAGAACTTTGAAAACAATATGCTATGTGAAAGAAGCCAGTCACAAAAAGACAACATAGTATATGCTTCCATGTACAGGAAATATTCAGAATAGGCTAGTTTATAGAGACAGAAAGTAGATTAACTGTTGTCTAAGGCTGGAAGGGGCTTGGGAGTGAATAGTTTCTTTTTGGGGTGATGAAAATGTTCTAAAATAGACTGCAGTGATGGTTTCACAACTCTGACTATACTAAAAACCATTGAATTGTCCATTTTAAATAGTATATATTGTATGATTTGTGACATATCTTATTAAAGTTTATTAAAGCTGTTATAAAAAAGAGCATTTACAGCCACACACAAAAATATTATGAAGAAAACAGGTAATTTTTTTTTTAGAATCTAGGATTTTTCAAAGTTATTTTCTAAGAATGATAAAAATCTAAAAAGTTACAATATCATTAGACTAAAAATTTAAACCATTTATGTGACCAAAAAAGGGTAAAAATATAAATGTCTTTAGTTGTCTGTATTCTCCAGCAGATAGCATGCTCCAAAAGCACTGACCTTGTTGTACGTGAAAACCTAATGTTAGGTATACATATTTGTTGACTAAATATTAGATAGTCCTTGACACATGGTACTATAAAAGATTAATGCTTTTCAGAGTAATTTTCTGTGAAAAGGCAATAAAAATCTGTGTTTGGTCATTTTTTTTAAAGTGGCAAAGAAATGAACTTACTTACGCATACTAAAAACTATAGCACTGGGGCCAGGCATGGTGGCTCATGCCTATAATCCCAGCACTTTGGGAGGCTGAGGTAGGAGGATCACTTGAGGCCAGGAGTTTGAGACCAGCCTGGCCAACATGGCAAAACCCCGTCTCTACTAAAAATACAAAATTAGGCATGGTGGTGGGCACCTGTGATCCCAGGTACTACGGAAGCTCAGGCACGAGAATCACTTGAACCCGGGAGGCAGAGGTTGCAGTGAGCTGAGATTACATCACTGCCCTCCAGCCTGGTCAACAGAGCAAGACTGTGTCAAAAAAACCCCAAAAAACAAAAAAACTATATTGGCAACACTTTTTAAGCCTTAGATAACTATTCACCTATCCTCAATTTTGGAAAAAAAAAAGTATATTAAATACATAAAGATATTCTAGAACTCAGTTCAAGAGTTCAAATACACTATAACGAATATTTAAAATATTTAGTTTTCAATGCATTGTAGTTTAGTGCATAGAAGTTATTTACTTCTGAAAACTGATGACTGACATATGACAAACTATTTCTACTGCTTGTATAGCTACTGATTTTCTTGAGAATATTTGGAACTGTGTAGTCTGAATTTCTCCAAAGGATTGGAAAAAAAAGTCACAACCTTTACCCCTTTTCTGAAAACACATCTGATATCTCACTTTAGAGATTGGAATATTCAGTCTCCGTGGTTGAGAAGAGAAGTCACAAAGTCCACTGAACTCATAGCATCACCATATCAAAGTCACACTGATGGCACATTGGTGTCTACCTCTTTCATGCCAGCAGGCTACGAAAATGGCAATGAATTGCCATCCAAAGAAAACAGAAATGGTAGTGGAATTTGGTTAGCACTGGGCCCAAGGCTGATTGCATCTAAATTAGGCTCTAAGGCAGATAGCATCTGACTACTTTAACGTTCCAAACACCATCTTATCCATACATTAAGTGCAGCAAAAAATGCATGGGTGACATGAAATTTAAACAAAGTTCTAATTTCTTAATATATGGAAGCCAAATTTAACAAAATTCTACTTTCATGAAATTTCATAAGAATATCCTTGAATTTGGAATATTTAGACTTAATGATTCTATCACCAAAACTTAAGTAAACTAAAGATTTAAAAAAATTAAGCCAGTTATGACAGAATATGAGATCCTTTAGGGAACTTTTCTGTTTGAATTAACGACAACAACAAAAATTTAAGTAAAACTTTAAAAAGACCATCCAACTTCATCTGTCACGATGGTTCACAGAATACCCATAACACGATAAAGCCCTTAGAGTTAATTTAATTTAATTTTTTTTTGAGACGGAGTCTGGCTCTTTCACCTAGGCTGGAGTGCAGTGGTGCGATCTCAGCTCACTGCAACCTCCACCTCCGGGTTCAAGTGATTCTCCTACCTAAGCCTCCTGAGTAGCTGGGATTACAGGAGTGGGCCACAACGCCCAGCTAATTTTTGTATTTTTAGTAGAGATGGGGTTTCACAATGTTGGCCAGGCTGGTCTTGAACTCCTGACCTCAGGTGATCCATCCGCCTCAGCCTCCCAGAGTGCTGGGATTACAGGCTTGAGCCACCACGCCCAGCCCTTAATTTTAGACAACGCAGAAAAACTGGCTCCAGATACACTTGGGTGACTTGGTCAACATATGAATGTTAACCATGATGTGACAGATCAGACTTCAATTTCTTTAGACTGAACTAGAATGGCTCCGAAGACGAAAGTCAGGTCAGGACCAGGGAGAAAAACTGGGCAAATACGATTTTTTTTTTTCCATTTCCAACAGAGGTTTGAAGATTAGAACCAGGATTTGGGAAGCCTCAGTTCAGGAGTCCACCGAGGTGTGTGTGTGTTGACAGGTGGTGGTGATGCCGAGGGCGTGTTGACAAGTTTTCCCCGCCCTTGACCTTTAGCCTAGATATTAATTCTACCAACTGGGGCAACCCCAGAGGGAGGAAGCCAGGGTCCCCCAACAGGCTGACAGCGCGTGACCTTTGCCCTAGATAGCCTGAGAAAGCTGATGAGAGAAGGGGCGAGAGGTGCCTACAGCCCCCAGGACCGGCCTTGTCCCTTTTGCCCTAACTCCTCCACTTATCCCCACCGCCCGTTTCCTCTCACCCAGGCAGGACAGCTTGGCTAGCGGCACCAGCATGTTCAAAGTCACCAGGACTCTCGGTCGGACACAACAGGAGGACTGTCCGCTGCTCGCGGCGGGCGCTGGACCTCTAGGCCGCGGGGGGCGCCATCACCTGCCGGAAAGCAAGAACTCTGCTGCAGTTCGCCTCCCCGCTCTGCCGACCGCTCTTGCTTCACGGCGTTCCCACCTCCTTCTCGCTCTGCGCCGGCGCCATGGATGACGCAACGGCCAGCCGAGGCTTCCGGGTCATGTACCAAACCAGGGAAAGATAAGGGACTCCAAGTCCCAGCCGGGGAGCGGTGAAACAGCCACAGCGCGGCCAGAGGGGTCCGCGAATCCCACAGCACGACGCACGCGCAGTGAAAGGCAGTAGAAGGCGGGGCGACGCACACGGCTTCCTGGGAGGTGTAGTTTTCTCTACGAGTGCCCTTCGAGATCGATTGGAGGCTCGCGCAGGAGCCGTGAGTTGCCTAAGGTGAATTGACTCATATGATTGGCTGTCCCGAAAAATGAAACGTCTTTGTGGTCCGGGGCTGAGACCCACGAGGAGACTGGGCGGGATTTCTGGCGTTAGGAGGCGGGGCCTTTCGGCTTTGGGCGCGAGTGGTTAAAAGACAGTTGGTGTCGGTTCGGCTTCTCGGGTCGGATTCCGCGGTCCCAACCCTTCCCCATGGCCGACCCTGAGGAGTTGCAGGTTTCTTCGCCGCCCCCGCCGCCTCCCTCTTCTCCCTCCTCTTCAGACGCCTCTGCAGCATCTTCCCCGGGCGGCCCAGTGAGTTTGGGCTGGCCAGTTCCGAGCAGGAGCAGCGGCCCAACGGTGGACCAGCTGGAGGAAGTGGAGCTGCAGATCGGAGACGTGAGTGTGGTGTCGGGACCGCGTCCCCCCTCGGCGCCTCTGGGAAGACCGGCGGCGGCGGGGCTCGCGAGGCTAGGGAATCGGTCCCCCAACCCCCATGACCCGGGACGACCGGCCCTTCTGCGCCCCAGAGCGTGCGGGCGGGAAGCGGGGGGGATGCCAGCAGCTAAAGTGCCACCCCTCTCTGAGGGTTCCCCCTTTAGATTTAGTGGTGAGGAGTCTTAAGGGGTTTTCCTTCCACCCGCCCCACCCCTCACTGGTTTCTTTTTGTCTCGCCTTCTGGTTTCAATCATCCGCAGTAACCCGAAGCCACGCAGCTCTGCGCTGCCTGTTGCTGGCTCTCTGCCTCCTCCTTTCCCATCGGAGAATAGTTTTCATTGCATGGGTTTCGGAGAATAGTTTTCACTGCATGAGTTTGCTGGCTTTCTGTGGGTACTTGAGATCAGGCTGTGATTTCTTTCCATGGGACTTAGAGCCTGCTGTTCTAGTTGGCCACCTGCCCAGGGACAGCTGATAATGCCATTGTCTGCCCCAGGCCTGCTTAGCGCTGGACCCAGCTTGAAGGGTTTAGGTCACGTGGATTGGCTTCTTTGACGGTTTAGTTCAGGACTCCTCCCTTTGTATGATTGCTAGAATGCATACTTAGGATAGTTTCTGTTAAATCTCGAATCCCCAGAAACTAGCACCCCACCTCCCAACCGTAACTCACACACCACTGGAGGGGAGAAGACAGGGAAGGGGAGTTTTATGTTCTCTTGAGTGGGTCAAGTGGAATGAGGTATGTAGAGTGTAACCTGGGAGAGTTCTGTGGCCTGACCTTTCCTGCAGATTGGAAACTAGGGGATGAACTAGATTATCTCATTGCTCCGCAAGTATTTTTTTTTAAGGATGACTAGAGTGCTTAACCAGCTTTTATTTTTGCAGAACAAACTGATTGCAAGTAAATATGTAGAATGAAGTGCTAATGTGTTATTGAGGAACACTGTTTTATTTTATATCATTGGTGAAGAAAACGTTTGGCTGAAAAGTGAATTTTCCACCAGGAGCTGAGTGTTTTCTGCATTTGTGTGTGATTTTTTAATGTTATTTGTCAGAGCTCAGAGTTTCTGTTCTTTGATCTATACATTTTCATTGTTTAAAGTGTTCACAGGTCAATGCCCATGTTACCCAAATAGCAGTAAGAATTATTTATGATGAAATCTCTCAGATATATCTGGCGCTTAGTGTCAAGGGGTCCAAGTCATCTTGTTGAGCTGAGACTCTAGTGTATTTTCATAGAAAACAGCAATCCTGGGCCAAGCACGGTGGCTCACGCCTGTAATCCCAGCACTTTGGGAGGCTGAGGCAGGCGGATCACCTGAGGTCAGGAGTTCGAGACCAGCGTGACCAACATGGAGAAACCCTGTTTCTACTAAAAATACAAAATTAGCTGTGCGTGGTGGCGCATGACTGTAATCCCAGCTACTAAGGAGGCTGAGGCAGGAGAATCACTTGAACCCGGGAGGCGGAGGTTGCAGTGAACCAAGATCGCGCCATTGCACTCCAGCCTGGGAAACGAGCGAAACTCCGTCTCAAAAAAAAAAAAAAAAAAAGAAAACAACTATACTGATTTGTCATATCTCAGACATAATGGATATTTTTCTAGCAGACCTGTTTCTTCAAAGTCTACTCAATATTAAAGAATTTCTTAGGTTCCGTGAAAGAGCCAGTGCTGTAGTTTGAAAACTGATTACTTTGAAAGAAAATAACATGGGCATTGGATTCAAAGCCTTAAGCTATTTTCAGCCTGCTTATAAAATGAGATGAGAATTTTAAAAATAAAATTATGTTTGACTTTTTTTTTTTAGGCAGCCTTTTCATTAACCAAACTTCTTGAAGCCACATCTGCAGTATCAGCTCAAGTGGAAGAACTTGCCTTCAAATGTACAGAAAATGCACGTTTCCTTAAAACGTGGCGGGACCTCTTGAAAGAAGGCTATGATTCTTTGAAACCTGATGACTGATTTGGCATACTTCGTTGTTTAATAATGACTGCAATAATTCATACTTCTTATGTCATATTTTGTACATGTACCACACATATAGGATGACCTCTGTCCAGCAGTTCTGTATATACTCAGAATGAAATTTTTCTTGGTTTTCTTGGTTTTTGTGAAAGCAGAATACCGATGCTATTTTTGTTGCGGACCAGTACTTGTTTGTCCTTAAATACTTTATGCCTCTGAACTTTCATAGAATCCTTTATGAAAGTTAACTTCATCAATAGACGGTTAATATTAATAGAGCCACAGTGCTACCAGTAGCAAACTAGGTAGACCATTATTTGTTTTGCAACAAGATGCTAAGCATGGCAGACTTTGAAGTTGCGTTTCATCTTAAGGACCAAGGGAGGTAACTTTAAGGTTGCCAGTGGTGGATCCAGCTCCGTTAGGCTAAGTTGTCTACAGCTAATGATTGTGTCTTTATTCTATATCCCCAGCACCTAAAACAGGGTCACACAACATTCACTAAATGTTTGTTGAATAAAAGAGTTAACAAACATAATTGAAAGCTTTTTTTCTTCCTATATTTAGCATGAAGACTGTCATTGTTTCTCTAGGAAATGTATGAATCTGAACTTTTTTGACTTGAAGAAAAACATTCTTTTTTTACAGAGATTTGGACTTTGATGATAGGTTTTAAAAATATATGATAAATATTTTTTGTACTTGTTTGATTTTTTTTTTAAAGACTTTACTTCAGAAAGGGAAAGACTGTTTAGAAAGAATGCATATTTTTTCCCTATTTATTTCTGTGGTTACTGCTTTTGCAGTTTAACAGTGTTTGTATTTGATATTTGTATATGTTTGATTGCTATCTTTAAAGTGCCTTATCAGATTTATGGCTCTGTGCTATTACTTTTTGAGCTTTGCAAGTTGTGTACATAATAATTCTAAAGAAGTTACTTTGTTTGCAATGCATCAAATTTAAATGATGTGATTTTTTTTGTATTATTTGATCTTAGTGACAGTGTTCTATTTTGCATCCTGTATCTTATGTTGCTTTTGGTGTTTTGTGTTGTGTGTCAACGATTAAGCCAACTAATTCTCTACCATATATAACTTCTGGACATTTTTGATACAACATCTTAATTCTTTGTAGATATGGAGATAGGTACAGAACTATATTCTAATGCCCCACAATGGGGCTATGAGAGGGGACAGATGGATGGGCAAAGAATAGTTTTGTTTAACATATTAGGTCATAGTTCTTGATTAGTTTTTTTAGTTAAAGATAAACACATAGGGTGTGATTTCTATACCAAAGATATGCTTATTTCAGTATTAGAAAAATATTCTTCTTACATCTCCTGAAAATTGCAATTTTTAAAATGTGTAAAAATAAATTATTATTAAAAGCACATTTTATTTCCATTTGTTTGGATTCATTACCTTAAAACTTTATTGACATATTTCAAAGATATAGGAAAGGTAAATGATTTCAAGAAAATCCGTGTATTTCTACCATGCAGATGTAATAAATGTTAGCATTTGGCTATATTTTCTTCAGACACACATATGCATGTAATTGCAAATGTTAGATACATTTGAAGTTTGCTTTGTTACCTGTTTGATCCTGTCCCGTTCCTCCCTCCCCAGAGTCCCCAGAGGTAACCACTAGAGGGGGCATAATATAGCATGTGTTTTTATATTTTTAATACAAATATATTTTTTAAAAGCGCTACAAAATATTGTTTTATATATGTGGTAGCCAGCTTCCAGATGGCCCCAGTGATCCCTGGCCTCCTGGTGTTCATGCCCCAGTATAGCCTTCTCCTGCATTTTACAGTGCTGACTTTTGTAACTACCAGGATATTGAGCAAATGCAGTGTGTGATTTCTGAGGCCATATCTTTTACTCTTTTTTTTTTTTTTAAGAGACAAGATCTCACTCTATTGCTCAGGCTGGAGTGTGGTGGCAGGATCATAGCTCACTGTAACCTTAAACTTGGACTCAAACAATCCTCCCATCTCGCCTCCTCCTATAAAGCACTGGGATTACAGGCATTTTTGCTCATTTTTCTATGTTGTTTTTTTTACTTGTCAGTTTTTAGATATTACATATTTTGAATACTAATGATCTGTTATGTATGTTCCAATTATCTTTTTTAGTCTGGTTTGTCTTCATATTTTGGTTATGAAATCTTGAATTTTTAAAAACGTAATTTTACCAATCTTTCATAATGATTTGCTTTTTCTGGTTTTTGTATAGGAAATGTCATAAAAATAGTCCTATTCAGCCTTCCAAAAGTTACAAAATTTTTGTTTTTAACATTTAGATGTTTAGTCCAACTGAAATTTGTTTTCTTTTATGGCATGATTTTGGAATCTTGTTTTAATTATTTTTACATATTTATAGCTGTTCCTCCAAGTATCAATTTTTCAAGTGCAACATCTGTCATGCAGTTACTATGTAAGGGCCAGATTCTGACCTTTCTGTTCTTTTTATCTGAAGGAAATTTGAACATGCCACCCCCAAATATGCCGATTTGGCATACTGATTATTTCGAGCTAAAGGTGCTTGACTAACAGTAGTTGCAGAAATGGCTATTTTAACTGTCCTTTCCTACCTGTAGCAAGCCATACAAACTTCTTTGATAAAGATGCTTTCCTGATACCAAGATGAGAAGATGGCTCTAATCAGCTGAGACAGCACCAGAGGAATCTACAAACAAGAAACTATTAGTTTCTTAACATATATTTACCTTCCACAGTTTCTGCCTCTGGAAGCCTAAAACTGCTTTCCTTCGTCTTGTCACACTTCTCTGAAATGTATTCTTTGTGGAAGATGCTATATAGTCCAGAGTTGTAAGCCACTACTTGTGTTTACCTTTTCATTGAGTTTTCTCCTGTGTGATGTACGTTGCATATATTAATAAAATTACTTGTTTTTCTCTTGTTAATCTGTCTTTTGTTATAGGGATCTGTCCCAACTGTGAACTTATGAGGCTTGAGGAGAAATTGTATTTCCTCCACTACAGATTTATTTGCTTAACTCCATGCTAAAACTCAATTTGTCTTTCCCTGTAAGAAAAGAAAAAACATGTTACTGATTTCTAATTCTATTGAGTTATGTCAGCTTAGGACAACTGCTGGTGTCAGGTAGTGAGCTTTCTATGGGCACTTTAAGAGTTTACAAAGTGACCTTTTTACATTTCTGTTTGCTTTATGGGAGAGGTTGGGGAAGAGCTGAAAGCGTAAATATTTCCTCAAAGACTTAATAATTTTTTTTAAACGTAGTAAACGGTCCATTACCAGCCCTACAAAAACCCCAAAGGAATGATGTAAATTTTTTTTTGAGACAAATTCTTACTCTGATGCCCAGGCTGGAGTGCAGTGGTGTGATCTTGGCTCACTGCAACCTCTACTGCCCGGTTCAAGCGATTCTCCTGCCTCAGCCTCCCTCGCTGGGATTACAGGTGCACGCCACCACATCCGGCTGATTTTTGTATTTTTAGTAGAGATGGGGTTTCACCATGTTGGCCAGGCTGGTCTTGAACCCCTGACCTCAGGTGATTCTTCTGCCTTGGCCTCTCAAAGTGCTAGGATTACAGGCATGAGCCACTGTGCCGAGCTTATGTAAATTTTTTAGACTCGAGACTAAAGTCAGTAAGATGAAATTGTTAACATAAAAAAAAATGTGTTATGTTTCAAAAATTCTGAGTTTGAAAGATGTGCCAGGTACTATATTAAGAGCTTTATGATGGGGCACGGTGGCTCAAGCTTGTAATCCCTGTATGTCCGGAATTGGTGGTTCTTGGTCTCGCTGACTTCAAGAATGAAGCTGCGGACCCTCGCAGTGAGCGTTACAGTTCTTAAAGATGGTGTGTCCGGAGTTTGTTCATTCAGATGTTCAGATGTGTCCGGAGTTTCTTCCTTCTGGTGGGTTTGTGGTCTCGCTGACTTCAGGAGTGAAGCTGCAGACCTTCACGGTGAGTGTTACAGCTCTTAAAGGCGGCACGTCTGGAATTGTCCGTTCCTTCTGGTGGGCTCGTGGTCTCACTGGCTTCAGGAGTGAAGCTGCAGACCTTCGCGGTGAGTGTTAACAGCTCATAAAGGGGGCGCAGACCCAAAGAGTGACCAGCAGCAAGATTTACTGTGAAGAGCGAAACAACAAAGCTTCCACAGCATGGAAGGGGACCCTAGCAGATTGCCACTGCTGGCTCAGGTGGCCTGCTTTTATTCCTTTATCTGGCCCCACCCACATCCTACTGATTAGTCCATTTTACAGAGAGCTGATCGGTCCATTTTACAGAGAGCTGATTGGTCCGTTTTACAGAGAGCTGATTGGTCTGTTTTGACAGAGCGCTGATTGGTGAGTTTACAAACCTTTAGCTAGACACAGAGTGCTGACTGGTGCCTTTACAATCCTTTAACTAGACAGAAAAGTTCTCCAAGTCCCCACCTGACCCAGAAGCCTAGCCGGCTTCACCTCTTGATGGCACTTGCCGTGGGACTTCGTGGCACCTAGCCCAGGCACTCCAGCAGCCCAGAGGGAGCTCGTTCCTCGATCAAGCCCACCTGGAACCCACGCCGGCCCGCAAGCACCGTGCACAGCCCCAGCTCCCACCCATGCCTCTCCCTCCACACCTCCCCGTGAACAGAGGGAGCCGGCTCCGGCCTCGGCCAGCCCCAGAGAGGGGCCCCCACAGTGCAGCGGCAGGCTGAAGGGCTCCTCCAGTGCATCCAGAGTGGACACCGAGGCTGCGGAGGCGCCAAGAGCGAGCCAGGGCTGCTAGCACATTGTCATCTCTCAATCCCCCCCTCTAAATAGGATACCTTAACTGCTGTTGGGAATTTGGCTGATGACTGCTCTAGCTACTTCCTGCTGGATAGGGGCGAAGAAGTGGCCCTGCAGTTGTGTCCTCCAGAGGGGAACTCTTTAGGCCAGTGGAAGGGCCAGCAGGTCGGTCCAGGGGTCCTCGGTAGAAGTTGTTAGTTGAGCTCATTTGGGGTTCCATTTGTAAGACCATCTGTAGCTTGATGGCCTCGATTCTAGAGGAAACAAATTTGACAAGAAGGTTAAAAATACAGGGTCCAAAGGCGAGTAACAGCAACATGGCTGCCACGGGACCTAGAAAGAGGAGAAGCCATGTTGCCCAACTCTAGAAGTTGGTATAAGAGTTTGAAAGGCGTTGTCTGATTTCAGAAGCCTTTTCCTGAAACACCAGGCAGCATCTCGTACTATCCCTGACTGGTTAGTGTAAAAACAACACTCTTCCCCTAAGAAGGTGCAGAGTCCTCCTTTCTCAGCAGTGAGGAGGTCTAGGCCTTGGCAGTTTTGGAGAGTCACTGCTGCTAAAGAGTCTATTTGGGATTGTAGAGTAAGGATAGATTTCATCACTTCCTGCAAACTGAGAAATCCTTTGAGAGTGTGTGGCAGTATGATAACGCATGTTACACTACTAACTTTTAGCAAACTTTACTTTAGTTGAAAACCTTGTAAGTTTGGGATTTCAATTATTCTTTGCTATTAATAAGACCTTGTTCAGTCCATATTAACTTAAAATTGGTATAGATGGCTCCTTCCTGATTCTGCAAGTACTTTAAGGTTTGGCTGAGTGCAAACAGCTCGAACGTTTAAGCAGACCAATTATTGGGCAATTTTCCTAACTCTGCTTCTGTAAGAGTTTCCTTATCACTTACTGAATACCCATTGTGTCTTTTTTCCTAATTGCCTGGGAGGAACCATCTATCATCCTGTCCTGAAGGGAGTTCCTCCTATGTGTGGTCAGACCTTCAGATTTAGATCTCCTATTAGGAAACCTGCTGGGTTAAGGATTTTTGATAGGAAGGCTATGGGTTGTCAGTGGCCTCAGTGCTTTCAGGCTATGCCCTTGTTTACACTGACAACAAGGTGGTATTGGAGTGTTATAGGGTTACAGAGAAGACCTTAAATTACCAATTGTAGGTTTTAAATTTGCCCTGGCTTTTAAAGGAATAGGGTACACCGTTTTTTCTTTACTACTTCCATCTCTCTTTCTCTTTGACTTCTTTGTCTCTCTCTTCCTCTCTGTCTCTCTCTTTGACTCCTTCTTTGTCTGTCTCTTCCTCTCTCTCTCCTTCTTTCTTTGACTTTTTGTCTCTCTCTCTTTCCTTTCTGTCTCTTTCTCTCTTTCCTTCTTTGACTTTGTATCTCTCTCTCTGCTGGTCTTTCTCTGCCTCTGCCGGCTGCTTATGCTGCTGTTCTCCCCTCACCTTCCCCTTTTTGATGGCTTCGGCAGTGTAAGACTGCCACCTCTTTGGGTTTTTGCACTGCGTGCAATAACTCCATGGTTTCCTTGTGGTATTTAATGGGGGTTCCCCCAGAGGTTAGGAACTCCCTTTCTTTCCATATTGCAGCATGGGCATGTAGGATTAGATAAGCATACTTGCTATCTGTATACACATTTATTCTTTTTCCCTTTCCCAGTTCTAAGGCTCGGGTAAGTGCCACTATTTCTGCTAACTGGGCACTGGTCCGTGGGGGAAAAGCTTACTTTCAAGTACGGTTACATCACTAACTATGGCATAACCTGCCCTTCATATCCCATTATCCACAAATAAGCTTCCATCGGTATACAGGTTAAGGTCAGGATTAGCTAAGGGGACTTCTAAGAGATCATCTCGGGCAGCATAAGTCTGGACTATAATTTGTTGGCAGTCATGCTCAATTGGTTCCCCATCCTCTGGGAGAAAAGTGGCAGGGTTGAGGGCCACGCACGTATGTATCTGAAGCACAGGTACCTCAAGGAGTAGTGCCTGGTATCTAAGTAGGCGGTTGTCTGATAGCCATAAACTTCCTTTGGCACCTAGTATGCCATTTACATCATGAGTAGTCCAGACAGTGAGATCCTTTCCTTGTATTATCTTGATAGCCTCTGACACAAAGACGGCCACCGCCGCAACTACCCATAAACAGTGAGACCAGCCTTTTGCTACTATATCAACTCCTTACTTAGGTAGGCCACTGGTTGTGGGGTTGTCCCACGAGTCTGAGTAAGGACTCCAAGAGCTATCCCTGCTCTCTCTGTGATGTATAAAGAAAAGTTTTGTCCTGTGGGAAGGCTTAAAGCTGGAGCTTGTACTATAGCCTGCTTTAAGGTTTTGAAGGCTGTTTCTGCCCCTGGTTCCCATTCTACTAGATGAGTATTTGCCCTCTGGGTCTCCTTGATTATAGTATAGAGGGGCCCAGCTATCTCGCTGTATCCGGGGATCCATAGTCGCCAAAAGCCGGTGATTCCAAGGAACCCCTGCAACTGTTTTAATGTCTTAGGGTGAGGATAAGCCAGTATAGGCTGTATTTGTTCCTTGCTGAGGGCCCTGGTCCCTCTGGCTAAGATTAGGCCCAGATATTTGACCTGCTGTAGGCAAAGCTGGGCCTTCGACCTAGACACCTTGTACCCTTGATTAGCTAGAAAGTTCAAGAGATCTAGAGTAGCCTGCTGGCATGAGGCTTCCAAACTGACAGCCAAAAGTAAATCATCCACATACTGAAGGACCAGAGTGCCTGGACTTGAGAAGTGACCTACATCTTGGGCCAGTGCCTGACCAAATAGATGAGAGCTATCCCTAAACCCTTTGGGCAAGACTGTCCACGTAAGTTGGGATGTGTGGTCTGTGGGATCCTGGAAGGCAAAGAGAAACTGGGAGTCAGAGTGCAGGGGAATACAGAAGAAGGCATCCTTGAGGTCCAGAACAGTGAACCATTCTGCTTCCTCTGTTATTTGAGAGAGCAAGGTATAGGGGTTGGGTACAACTGGATATAGAGGAATTACTGCCTCATTGATGAGTCTAAGATCTTGCACTAGTCTCCACTGACCGTTTGGTTTTTGTACTCCTAGAATTGGGGTGTTGCAGGGACTGCCACATTTCCTTAGTAAGCCTTGAGCTTTTAAATGTTTAATAATATCCTGTAAACCTTTATGAGCTTCAGGCCTTAAGGGATATTGCCTTTGAGAAGGAAAAGTGGTGGGGTCTTTTAGCCTGATTTGGACTGCATGGGCATATTTTGCCCTTCCAAAGTGTCCTTCCAATGCCCAGACTTCAGGGTTGATTCCCTCTTCAAGTAGGGGACAAAAAATGGGTAACTTGTTCTCCATATTCATGTAGATAATAGCTCCAGCCTTTGCTAATATATCCCTCCCTAATAAGGGTGTGGGACTTTCAGGCATAACAAGAAAGGCATGTGAAAAGAGCAAAGTCTCCAATTACAGCTGAGGAGGTGGGAGAAATACCTGGTTACAGGCTGTCCCAGGATTCCTCGGATGGTAACAGACCTTGAGGACAGTCGTCCAGGACAGGAGATTAACACTGAGAAGGCCATGCCAATGTCCAGGAGGAAGTCAATTTCCTGGCCCTCAATGGTTAAACATACCTGGGGCTCAGGGAGGGTGATGACATGAGCTGGCGCTTGCCCCAGGAACTCTTAATCCTGTTGTTGGATCATCTGGTTGGGGGCTTCTGACCCAAAGAATCTTTGTCCTCTGGAGCAGTGCACCTTCCAGTGATTGCCTCGGCATAGTGGATATGGAGGAGGGGTTGGCTTGTTTCTCATTGGATAATCTTTTTTAAAGTGTCCTTGTAAACCACACTGATAACAAGCCCTACCAGGTGATTGGCCTGCTCCATTTTCTGTCCTCTCTGAACCACCAAGGTTTGTTTGTCTGAGGGCCATGACTAAGGCTGTGGCCTTTCTCTGATCTCACTTTTCCTTTTGGGACTGTTCCTCTTGGTCCCTATTATAGAACACCGAGGTTGCTAGGTTTAATAATGCCTTCAAATTTTGTTCAGGGCCCAGGGCTTGCTTTTGGAGCTTTCTTCTGATATCTGCTGCTGATTGGGTAATAAACTTATCTTTTAGAATCAATTGAATCTTGAGTGATTCAGGTGACAGGGGAGTATATTTTCTTAAGGCCTCCCATAGCCGCTCAAGGAAGGCAGAAGGATTTTCTTCCTTTCCCTGAGTTATGGCGGACATCATTGAATAATTCATGGGCTTTTTCCTAATTCTCCTTAGTCCTTCTAGAACACAGGTCAACAGATGTTTATGACTCCAGTCCCCATGATCTGAGTCAGGGTCCCAATGGGGATCCATACTGGGGATGGCTTGCTGACCAGTAGGGAATTTATCCCTTTCTTTGGCTGTCATTCTATCATTTACTTGACTAAGATACCAAGTATCTCCAAACTCTCAGGCTGCAGCTAAAGCTGCATTCCTTTCATCAAAGGCCAGGGTTTGATCTAACAGTAGCATGACATCTCTCCAAGTGAGATCGAAGGTTTGCCCTAGACCCGGTAGGACATCTATATACCTATCAGGATCATCTGAAAACTTCCCCAGGTCTGCCTTGATCTGCTTTAAATCAGAGAGGGAGAAGGGGACATGTACCCAGGTTGGGCCAAATTCCCCTCCCCCTACAGCTTGAAGGGGACATAACTGATGGTCCGGGGGGATTTGTGGTCCTTTGGAGATTTCTTTGCTTATTTCTTTCTGAGCAGGGGAGATTAGAGGAGGATTATCATTAATAGTAAGGGGAGCTACAGGGAGGCTAGGATATGGGGGTAAACTGAGAGGTCCTCCTGTGGGATGTAAATTGCAAGCTTTGCATAGTTGTGTATTCTCCTTCAATGAAAAGAAAGCTAGGACATAAGGTATTTCTCTCCATATTTGCCTTCGCTCTTACAGAAAAGGTCAAGCTGCAGGATAGTATTGTAATTTGTACTTCCCTCAGGTGGCCATTTTTCTCCATCAGAGAGAGAATATTGGGGCCAGGCCATAGTGCAGAAAAAAATGAGCTGCCTCTTTTTCAGGGTTTGTGGGTCAAATTGGCCCCAATGGCTTAGGATGCATTTCAAGGGTGAGCCTGTTGATGCCTGAGTGTTTCCCATCTGAAAGACAAAACCACCCACAGTTTTGGTTTGTTTTGTTTCTCCCTCTGCCTAAGAACCTGCAATGGTCCCTGGACCCTGCTGATCAGAATAGTTGTGCTTACCGACGCAGCAGCAGAAACAACCCCTGCCCAAGAACCTGCAACCATCCCTGGACCCTGCTGATTGGAATAGTCGCACTCACTGACGCAGCAGCAGAAACACTAGTTTTCCTCCCAGGCCACAAAGAGGACTGAGGAAGGTTGGATTTAGTGGCCCTTACTGACACATTCTCAAAAACCTGCAACCTTGCCTGTCCTCCTAGACCACAAAGAGGACCAAGAAAAATTGGATTTAGTGGCCCTTACCGACACATTCTCGAAAACCTGTTAGAGTCCTAAGCATTCTCCTGTTAGTATTGTGACCTTACCCGTGTCCTATAAAGATGTTATGCCCCAAAAATGAAGTGGAGGGCCATACCCTGAGGGAGGGAAGGGATCTCCAGAGTTGGAAGAGTGATGCCTTTTGTCCTCACTTATATGAACAGGAAGGATACAATTTCTGAGGCTCCCCATATCCTAGCTTCAGGAATAGCTTTTGTTACGCCTGCTTGTCTGAGGAGGTATCCTAAAATTCCAGATAGTTCCCCCTATGATGGGGCTTTGGGCAAAAATTATGTCTTTCTGATTGGTGAGCCTGGGTGCCTAAAGAAGGTAACAGAGTCCTGAAGTTGATACTAGAAATCATTGTTATAGGAGAAACTAGAAAAGCACCAGAGATAGGGAGTGGTTTTTAGAAGGGAGGCTAGCCTCAGAGAAAAGAGGCAAGGGGAAGTTTGTCTGGCAAGCATTAGGACCCAGAGGACAAGGGTCAGGATAGATAGGATAGATGGGTGAGTCTCACTTGGGCGACATGCCTTTGAGAGTTCCGCTCATGGCTGCTGGGTCAACCAACTTGTTGTCGGCACCCCGGAGCTGAATGGCTTTCCTCTCTGTCGATGCTCGGCTCAGCCCAGAAGTACAGGAAAAGCGGAAGCTGGTTCCAGGCAAACCAATGCTCCCAACTCTGAAGAGTCGGAGATTGTTAGAGAGCTCTTTCCCAGAAAGCCTGACACCCATGTCTTTAGTCCAGTGGCCATGCTAGTCACTTTTAACTGGCTGACAGGTGCCCGGTATTTAGCCCCCGAATTCTACGGAAAAATAGGACAGAATAGCAAGCGAAAGGGGTTCGATGGGACTCTCCACTTGGCGATAGGCGATGGTCTCAGCAATAGGCGATGGTCTCACTGCTTGACGATAGTCTCACCGCTTGACGATAGTCTCACCACTTGACGATAGGCGATAGTCCCCTCGTGGTCGCCAAAATGTGTCCGGAATTGGTGGGTTCTTTGTCTCGCTGACTTCAAGAATGAAGTCGCAGACACTCGCAGTGAGTGTTACAGTTCTTAAAGATGGTGTGTCTGGAGTACGTTCCTTCACATGTTCAGATGTGTCCGGAGTTTATTCCTTCTGGTGGCCTCATGGTCTCACTGACTTCAGGAGTGAAGCTGCAGACCTTCACGGTGAGTGTTACAGCTCTTAAAGGTGGCACGTCTGGAGTTGTCCATTCCTTCCGGTGGGTTTGTGGTCTCGTTGGCTTCAGGAGTGAAGCTGCAGACCTTCGTGGTGAGTGTTATAGCTCATAAAGGTGGCGCGGACCCAAAGAGTGAGCAGCAGCAAGATTTATTGTAAAGAGAGAAAGAACAAAGCTTCCACAGCATGGAAGGGGACCCGAGCGGGTTGCCACTGCTGGCTCAGGTGGCCTGCTTTTATTCCCTTATCTGGCCCCACCCACATCCTACTGATTGGTCCATTTTACAGAGAGCTGATTGGTCCGTTTTACAGACAGCTGATGGTTCCATTTTGACAGAGCACTGATTGTTGAGTTTACAAACCTTTAGCTAGACACAGAATGCTGATTGCTGCCTTTACAATCGTTTAGCTAGACAGAAAAGTTCTCCAAGTCCCCACCTGACCCAGAAGCCTAGCCAGCTTCACCTCTCAATGGCACTCGTCGTGGGACTTTGTGGCTCCTAGCCCAGACAGTCTGGCAGCCCAGAGGGAGCTCGTCCCCCTGATCAAGCCCAGTAGGTGCTGGCCGGCCACTCCTAGTTCAGGGCCCACTGAGCCCACACCCACCCAGAACCCACGACGTCCCACAAGCACTGCATGCAGCCCCAGCTCCCTCCCGCATCTCTCCCTCCACACCTCCCTGCGAGCAGAGGGAGCCAGCTCTGGCCTCAGCCAGCCCCAGAGAGGGGCCCCTACTGCGCATTGGCGGGCTGAAGGGCTCCTCCAGTGCAGCCAGAGTGGACACTGAGGCTGAGGAGGCACCGAGAGCAAGCCAGGGCTGCTAGCATGTTGTTACCTGTCACCTGCACTTTGGGAGGCTGGGGGGTTGTGGGGTAGCAGATCACCTGAGGTCTGGAGTTTGAGACCAGCCTGGCCAACGTGATGAAACGCCATCTCTATAAAAATACAAAAAATTAGTTGAGCATGGTGGCAGGTGCCTGTAATCCCAGCTACTCGGGAGACTGAAGCGGAATAATCGTTTGAACCCAGGAGGCGGAGGTTGCAGTGAGCTGAGATTGCGCCACTGTACTCCAGCCTGGGCAACAAGAACGAAACTCCATCTCAAAAAAAAAAAAAAAAAGCTTTTTTCATGTAACCAAATCAGTTTTTTGAGGAAAGTGTCATTACTGTTTACTGAAACAGGCTGAGATAAAATATGCCTGTGAGTCTTGACACCAAAACTGGTACGCTTGTCTACACCACACCTAGCCACCTAGCTAGACTTATTAATACTCAGGCTTATTATATTATTTACTCTCCCCATGTGTGATGGTTAATTTTATGTTTCAACTTGTCTGGGCTACAGATCCCGAGATATTTGTTTAGATAATATTCTCACTTTTCAGTCAGGATGTTTTTGGATGAAGCCAACATGTAAATCAGTGGACTAAGTAAAGTGGATTGCCCTTTCTAGTGTGTGTTGTGATCATCCTATCCCTAGAAGGCCTGAATAGAACAAAGGGCTGACCCTCCCCCACCAAGGGAGAATTCTGCCTGAAGGCCTGGTCTTCCAAAATCAGCTCTTCCTGACAGCCTTTGAATTGGCACTGGCTCTTCCTGGTTCTAAACAGCCTGTGTGTCTTTCAATTGGGACATTGGCCCTGCAGATGTTTAGAGTTGCCAGTCTCCATAATCATATAAGACAATTCCTTAGAATCTCTCTCTCTGTTTCTATGGCAAACCCAAAATAATACAACATCCAAAAGCAGAATATTTGTGCTAGTAACTGTATAACACTCAATTTTTTTTCTAAGATTATTTTTAATTTTTTTCGTAAGCTCTAAAAACCTATAAAGATCAATTGACCAAATTAGAACTGGAGGTATGGAGGCTTGTTAAAAGGTTATTGCAAATATCCCAATGAGACATAATGTTGGCCCAAACTAAGGTACTGGGAATTGGGATGAAGAGAGTGGAAGGATTTAAGAGATGTGTATGAGGTAGAATCAAGGGAGGACTGGGTGATTTGATATTGTGGATAAAGGAGAAGGAAGAGTCAAGGATGACTCCCAGATTTTGAGCTTGGGCCATCGGGTGCAATTCAGCAAGACAGGGTCTATAGGAGAAGAATCAGATGTCAGATTCTAGTCTATTATTTAATGCAGAATAATGACATTAAAAAGCCAGTGAGATACTCAAGTGGAAATGTCAAGTGGGCAGTTGTATACACAAGTGGGCAGTTTAGGGGATAGAATAAGCTAAAGGCAAAAATATGGGAATCATTAGTATATCCACGGTATCTGAGGACATATTAAAGTAGTCTGTAGATAAGAAAAAGGCTTAAAACAAGAGTGAATGAAGCTTCCAGTGAAAGATTTTCTCTAAAAGAGAAGCAATTTTATAAAAAGTAAACCACTTTTTGTATTTTTGAGGTCTCTTACCTAGAGCAATTCACTTGACACTTTGTCGAGTAAAATGCATGGCTTTACAATTCCAGCTGTGTCTTCCTTCCACTTTGCTCTTTGCCTTCTACTTTATCCACATCTAAATTGCCAAGGTTTACCCAGTCATTTAGGAGAGATGATGTGTTAGTATGATGAATTAGTAATTCTTAAAAAATGTAAAAAATAAAAGTTGAGGTTTTCCTGATATAAACTTTAGATTTTTAAAACAACTTAGGCTGGCTTGATTTAGAGGATTGATTTGACCTAGATCATGGTTATAAGCTACATTTCTAAGCAAACCTTGATACAAATCGTAGTTAACTGAGTGCTTCTGTTGCATTATCTGTGGAAGTTTCTAAGGAGATAGTTATGTAGTATGTTAATAATTACTTATCAAATTAAATTAAATCGAAGTTACTCTATTTCAGGAGGTCGAAGGGTGGAAGAGCGAATGGGTTGAGCAGACAGGAAGTCAAATGGCCTCTAGAAAGTTGTTTAAAAATATGTTAAATGCTAAAGGAAGTTTCAGATGTGTACTTCGTAAATTTAATGCATTTCTAAGACTCTTAAACAGGTTAAGACCATGATTTTTGTTGGACTAAATTTCTTGTATCCATGAGTATTGTTTTTATTCTTTTTTGGTTATTCTTTTTAATAAAAATATTTGGCTGGGTGCGGTGGCTTACACCTATAATCCCAGCACTTTGGGAGGCCGAGGTGGGTGGATCACCTGAGGTCAGGAGTTTGAGATCAGCCTGGCTAACATGGTGAAACCACGTCTCTACTAAAAATACAAAAATTAGCCGGGCATAGCGGTGGAAGCCTGCAATCCCAGCTATTTAGTAGGCTGAGGCAGGAAAATCACCTGAACCCTGGAGGTGGAGGGTGCAGTGAGCTGAGATCATGCCACTGCACTCCAGCCTGCAGTGAGCCGACATCATGCCACTGCACTCCAGCCTGGGCGACAAGAGAGAGACTCCATCTTAAAAAAAAAAAAAAAAAAAAAAAAGGCTGGGCGTGGTGGCTCACATCTGTAATCCCAGCACTTTGGTTTCAGAGGCCGAGGCAGGTGGATCACAAGATCAGGAGTTTGAAACCAGCCTGGCCGACATGGTGAAACCCCATCTCTACTAAAAATACAAAAATTACCTGGGCGTGGAGGCGTGCACCTGTAATCCCAGCTACTTGGGAGGCTAAGGCAGGAGAATTGCTTGAACCCAGGAGGTGTAGGTTGCAGTGGGAGCTGAAACTGCGCCACTGCGCTCCAGCCTGTGTGACAGAGCAAGACTCCATCTTGGAAAAAATAAAAATAAAAATAAAAAATAAATAAATAAAAATAAAATTTCCTATTCTATTACTTGGAATTAGTAGTAATAGGACTTCTAAGGAACTAATCCTAAAATAATCTTAAGAAAGAATTAGGCCGGGCACGGTGGCTCATGCCTGTAATCTCAGCACTTTGGGAGGCCGAGGTGGGCAGATCACGAGGTCAGGAGTTCGAGACCAGCCTGGCCAACATGTGAAACCCTGTCTCCACTAAGAACACAAAAATTAGCCAGGTGTGGTGGCGCGTGCCTGTAGTCCCAGTTACCTGGGAGGCTGAGAGAGGAGAATTGCTTGAACCTCAGAGGCAGAGGTTGCAGTGAGCCGAGATGCACTACTGCACTCCAGCCCGGGCAACAGAGTGAGGCTGTCTCAAAAAAAAAAAAACAAAAAACAAAACAAAGAATTTAAAAAAATTGTTTTCAGAGACAAGGTCTTGCTCTGTCACCCAAGCTGGAGTGCAGTGGCACAATCACAGAACACTGCAGCCTCCAACTCCTGGGCTCAAGCAGTCCTCCCACCTCAGCCTCCCTATTAACTAGGACTATAGGCATGTGCCAC
The DNA here is from genome assembly GCF_000001405.40 of Homo sapiens. NCBI lineage: Eukaryota > Metazoa > Chordata > Mammalia > Primates > Hominidae > Homo > Homo sapiens. Next base: position 158,653,850 of record NC_000004.12, on the reverse strand, counting down.
CATACCCAGCTAATTTATTTTATAATTTCGGGTCTCGTTGTTTAGGCTGGTCTTGAACTCCTGGCCTCAATGATCTTCCTGCCTTGGCCTTCTAAAGTACTGAGATGATAGGTGTGAGCCACTGCACTTGGTCTTTCATTTTGTATAAGCTTTTTTAAATTTACTTTTTGTAGGCTATCTTTAAATTTAAAAATTGCAGCCTATTTTATTTATTTATTTATATTTAAGAGACAGTGTCTCACTAGGTTGCCCAGATTGGACACAGCCTCTCATGTAGCTGGGACTACTGTTGCATGTCACTGCACCTGGCTATTTTATTTATTATAGAACTATCAGTAGTTATATTATTGAATATTATAAGCAGAACTATAGTTTTCTATTATGCTCTGAGTTATATTGAAATTATACCATGTTCTTCATGTAGAAAACTTATTGAGATTATTCCAAGTAAGCAGAGAAAAAACCCCGAAGCAATCCATTTTTAATAGTTAAATTTCAGATAATTTATTTTCAGAACAAATCTATACAACTATATATTCAATAAGTGCATTATGGTTTGATTCCAGTATTTTTGTGTTTCAAACATTTTTGGTGTATTTGAAACTATCTGAAAACATTTTCTTCTCCTGCTTAAAGGTTTCACATTATGAAAGCAAAAAATTCTAATAACGTAGAGACTAGAGAAGAACAACTAGTTAAAAAGTTAGTATCTCACGTGCTGGCAGTGCAAAGAGAAAGTAAAGTCATTTCTTGAAGAAAGATTTTCTGCTTAAAGTGAAATGTGTACATACAGACCTTTCCTTCCTGAAATTAAGTTCCTGAATCAGTGCATTCCAGCTCTTTTTCCTTTTAACTGCTTTACTGAGATATTTCACACACCATAACATTCACCCATCTAAAGTGGGTGAATTAAACCACTTAGGTCTGTTCTTAAAACAGCACGGTTTGTTGAAAAGCCTTTTTGTCTTGGCATCCTTGTTGAAAATCAGTTAACTGACAATACAAGGATTTATTTCAGGAGTTTCCACTAATGTAAATGTTTATCCTCATTCTAGTTTTTCTGATCCACTTCTCTGCCGTACTCATACTCTCCTATTCCAATTCCATATGATGATGTTCATTTAAAGCAAAGAGAAAACTGGGCAGGAAGTGCCAAAAGAAGTGCTGTTTTTGAGTTTCTAGCAAAGCATCTTTTTAGTAATAAATATGTTGTGTTGGCTCTCAAGTGTATGGAAACTTAAAGAGAGGTAAGATGGATTCTTAAAACAGAATATTATTTTGCAAACAGTCAGACATTTTCTATGATGCAAATACACTGAGTATTCCAAAACTTTAAACCTTTATTTAAAAGTGCCTATGATTCTTGCTGATGCACATGACAGGTAAAGCTCTACTTTAAACTAGGAACTGCAGATGGACTTTGTATAGTCTTTTGTCATTAAACACCATCTACAGATTGAAAGGTTCTGCACTGTCTACTTCCAGGACTATATTGCAATGCTATGCACATAGTAGTGGGTACTCAATAAATGCATGTTAGAAAAATGAATGAATGTTACTGAAGTAGATTTCTCTTAATTTCTTATGCAAAATGTCTACTAATATATATACATTATTGATATAATTACTTCCCTTTGTAAGAGCATTAGTCATTTTTATTTTTCCTCATGTCCTTGTAAAATATTTATCTTAGCTATTATTATAAATTAATTTTGTGGTATTCATTTCATACCAGTAAATCCCTCATGAAGCACCCCCACAGTATTCTCTGCGAAGAAATGAATTTCAGAGTCAGTCATGAATAGGAATTGAGTCTCGTTGATTGAGAAATCAGTGACATTTCACAGGGGTATGTGAAAAGGTCCGGCTTCATTAACTCAGGTGGCATCTCCTGCAGTGGCCACATTTCCACCCAGATGAATGATGGAGCATATGTTTTCTGACCTTTGCTGTCCATAGATTTTCTTTGTCTGTAGTTATACCAAAACCGATGAATCATTTCTTTAAATGGTCTTGTGGTCAGAGTATAGAGAATTGGGTTCAAAGCACTGTTAATGGGCAGAATAAAAATCACTACCCAAGAGGTTATGGTACCTAAAAAAGAAAAATGAAATAGTTTTAGTGTTTATAGATGTTTACAAGGTATAGAAACCCAATTTCCCTGTTTCTTTCATCCCAACCCCTTTTTGAGTTTTGATTTTTTTCCTTTGATGTCACATAATTAAATACCAAGTCTATATTTGTTTCCAAGATATCTTTCCAGAGTGCCAGTGTGTGAGGGGAATGCTAGTGCTGAAAAAGAATGGTATTCTTTGCTAAGTAGCTCTTCTTGAATACACTAACAAAAATATTCCTTTAGGTAGAAATATTTTTCACAAAGTGATTACATATTATGATTATATTTTAGGAAAAACATATTGTTTAGTATTTAAGTCATAAATTTAAGTGCTTAATAATTAAAACACTTTTTGAGTATTTTAATGGTGCATATAGTATTTGTCAGAATATGTAAGCTTGTATTTAATAGATTTCTTTTTTGCCATTTGATTTTAAAACAAAGTGTGCATTTTTTTAGCTTTTGACCAGATATTTATTTCTGTAAAAAATAACTTTGGCTAAACCCATCTTAAAAATCACTCTAATATATATAGAAATACCAAAATACTCTGATTTGATTATAATTTAATTGATGCTGTCATTACTCTTTGTTTTTATGTTTTTGTTTTTGAGACAGGGTCTCATGCTGTCGCTCAGGCTGGAGTGCAGTGGTGTGAACATGGCTCACTGCAGTCTTGACCTCCTGGGCCCAAGCGATCCTTGTACCTCACCCTCTTGAGTAGCTGGGACCACAGGCATGTGCCACCATGCCTGGTTAATTTTTTATTTTTTTATTTTTTGAAGAGTTGGGGTCTCAGGGTCTCCCTGTGTTGTCCAGGTTGGTTTCAATCTCCTGGGTTCAATCAGTCTTCACCACTTGGCCTTCTTTTTGTTGTTCATAAAATGTAAGATACTATCACCATCATCCATAGTACAGAACACAATTAAAATTATGTATTAATATATACAATTGTTTTTTTTTCCTGAGATAGAGTCTTGCTCTATCACCCAGGTTGTAGTGCAATGGCACAATCTCCGCTCACTGAAGTCTCTGCCTCCCAAGTTCAAGCATTCTCATGCCTCAGCCTCCCAAGTAGCTGGGACTACAAGTGCATGCCACCAGGCGCAGCTAAATTTTTGTATTTTGAGTAGAGATGGGGTTTCACCATGTTGGCCAGGCTGGTCTCCAACTCCTGACCTCAAGTGATCTGCCCACCTCAGCCTCCCAAAGTGCTGGGATTTCAGGTGTGAGCCACTGCGCCCTGCTACATGAAAATTTTAAAATGTGAATACAAACTGCATTATATATATATATATATATTTATATATATTTAACAGGATATATGCATTTTCATTGTGGTAAAATATGCATAACATAAAATTTACCATGTAACCATTTTAAGTGGACAGCTCAGTGGCATTAAGTACGTTCATATCATTGTACCATAACCACCATCCATCTCCAGAATGATTTCATCTCCCAAACTGAAACTCTATGCCTATTAAACACTCTCCATTCTCCCTTCCCCCAACCCCTAGAAAACACCGTTCTATGTTCTATGAATCTAACTATATCAGAAACGTCATGTAAGTGAAATAAAATATTTGTCCTTTTGTGTCTAACTTATTTCACTTAGCACAGTATCTTCAAGGTTCATCTATATTGCAGCATTTGTCAAAATCTCCTTCCTTTACAAGACTAAATACTAATCCATTGTGCGTATGTACCACATTTTGTTTATCCATTTACCAATCTATGGACATTTGTATTGCTTCTAACTTTTGGCTATTGTGAATAATGCTGCAATGAACATGGGTGTACAAATATCTCTTTGAGTCCCTGCTTTCAATTGTTTTGGTTTTTTCCTTAGAAGGAGAATTTCCACATTGGATGGTAACTGGACCATTTCCACATTGGATGGTAACTAAACCATTGGATGGTTTAAATTTTTGAGGGACTGCCATATTGTCTTCCATAGCAGCTGTACCATTTTATTTTTCTACCAGCAATTCACAAGGATTCTAATTTCTCCACAACTTTACCAACACTTATTTTTTTGTATGTGTGTTTTTTTAAAATAGTAGTCATCCTAATGGATGTAATGCACATTGTTTATTTTTTATTTTTTATTTTTATTTTTTTGAGACAGGATCTTGCTCTGTCACCCAGACGGGAGTGCAGTGGTGCAATCATGGCTCACTGCAGCTTTGAACTCCTGGGCCCAAGTGATCCTCCCACATTGGCCTCCCAAAGTGCCAGATTACAGGCGTGAGGCAACATGCCAGCCAACGTTCTTTCTAAATGCCAAGAATGTTTGCTTCTATTATCTCTCACACTCTGGCATGATCTTCTCTAAATTGCATGTATTACAGGAAGAAAATTTTCTTACATTTTGAAAAAAAATGCAGTAATTATTTAAGAATTGTTTTGGCCTGTTTTCCTTTCTAGTCACCTTAAGCATGTGATGATTAGAATTTCAACACCGTGTGGAATTTATTTTGGTCACTCATTGCTTCTTTGTTCCATAGTAATTGTATTGTTAGGCATTTATGGAAAAAAATAAACAGTTCTTCCCCAGTAAATGTTATATTGATGAGCAGAGCCAAAAGTACCTACAACTCTGACTTACAATTTTTACAATTTTTTTTTTTTGGCTCTGTCACCCAGGCTGGAGTGTAGTGGTGCAATTTCGGCTCACTGCCACCTCTGCCTCCTGAGTTCAAGCAATTCTCATGCCTTAGCCTCCTGAGTAGTTGGGACTGCAGCGGTGCACCACCATGCCCAGCTAGTTTTTGTATTTTTAGCAGAGATGGGGTTTCCCCATGTTGGCCAGGCTGGTCTCAAACTCCTGACCTCAAGTGAGCTGCCCGTCTTGGCCTCCCAGAGTGCTGGGATTATAGGCATGAGCCACTGTGCTCGGATCTGATGTACAATTCTTTGAATTGTTTAGTGTTAAGAATTTTAATTGTTTTCCTTAAAAGAACACTGTAAAAACAGATTTATTATTTCTTTAAGGAGATTAAAAAATATTGTACCTGGTATTTCTACCTGAAGCAGTGAAAGAAATTTCACTACAAAAATGGGTATCCAGCATAATGCATCAGTAAATACTATAAAGAAAAAACGTTTGGCAAGGATCATCTCTTTTTTAACTTGATTCCGTATTTCAGTTGCTGTTATGGCACTTTGATGAACACTATAAAACATGCTTCCATAGGAAAAAACTATGATGATAAATGCGGCCAAATTAATACCTATTTGGAATACAAACAGTATTATTAATGCATAGAAATATTTCTTTCAAAATGAACAAACATAAATAAAACATTTTTATTATTAAAGATACAAAGATGTTATTACTAAAGATACAAAGACTATAATGTGTGGGTTTTTTCTTCACAAAGAATTACTAAAGTCCACAAAAATCATGAATTTTTTTGAGATGAGGTTTTGTGGAAGTAGTGAAGAATGATAAAATGTTTACTTTTAAAATGAGATATTGAAATTACAGTAATTCAATGAATATCTTGGGTTTTTAAGCTTTCTAGTATTAGTGATGTTTTATTTTTAATTTTTTTAGAGATGGGTTCTTGCTCTGTCACTGACTGAAGTGCAGTGGTACAATCATAGCTCACTGCAGCCTCAAACTCCTGGGCTCAAGCAATCCTCCTGCCTCAGCCTTCCAAGTAGCTGGGAGTACAGGTGCATGCCATCACACCAGCTAATTTTTTTTTTTTTGAGATGGAGTCTCGCTGTGTTGCTCGGGCTGGAGTGCAGTGGCACTATCTTGCCTCACTGCAACTCTGCCTTCTGCGTTCAAGCAATTCTCCTGCCTCAGCCTCCCGAGTAGCTGGGACTACAGGTGCGTGCCACCATGCCCGGCTAATTTTTCTATTTTTAGTAGAGATGGGGTTTTACCATATTGGTCAGGCTGGTCTTGAACTCCTGACCTTATGATTGGCCCGCCTCGGCCTCCCAAAGTGCTGGGATTACAGGTATGAGCCACCGTGCCTGGCCTCACACCAGCTAATTTTTTAAAAATAATTTTGTAGAGATGGGGTCTTGCTATGTTGCCCAGGCTGGTCTCAACTCCTGGCCTCAAGTGATCCTCCCACCTTGGCCTCCCAAAGTACTGAGATTATAGCACAAGCCATTGTGCCTGGCCTAGTGATTTTTTTCTAATTCAGTTACTTTTTGCTGTACTCTGAAAATATTTTTACATTGCTGATTTAGAACAGTTGTATATATACTCACAAGCCAAAGATGTGTGTTGCCATGAATTTGAAAAGATAATAAATATCATTATGTTCATATTGTAAAACAAAGAGCCAAAACATATGTTGCTTAGCATGTTTAGGGTGAATACATGAAATACAGGTGTTTAGTGTCTTTTATTAAGCTGTGTCAGGTTGGAATTTATATCAGAGTATAATTTGGGGAGGAAAATCCTTGCTGGGGATTCTGATAGAATTCACCCTCATTCTTACTAACAAAAACTGGTTGGAAGATTTGAAATAAAAATTTGTGAACATTAGTTTCTTAGTTTCTTACCAAGAAAAATTGCCACTGAATAAATCTGGGCTCCAATACTTTCTGTATCTTCTGAATGAAGAGGGAAGCATACTCCATTGGTGCCATAGTAGTTTTTGAAAAATTCCTTATTGCTCAATGGAATGAAAGCCACTATAAAACCAGTAATCCAAATGAGAATCAGAACTGTAATTGTTCTGCATTTTCCAGGTCTCACACATCTAAAAGGATAGACAATGCAGATGTATTTTTCCAATGTCAGAAATGTTAACAGTAAAACTGATACTTCTGTGGACAGAATGGCCAAAGATCCTACAAGCTGACAATGAGTACTCTCCATCCACAGCTGCGCATGCTTATTGTATTCTCCACGAAACTTTAGGTCAAAGCCTCCGATCACGAATAAATATATTCCCATTAAGCAGTCGGCACCTAGAGGAGTCATAGTTTCACAAATTTAGAGAAATAAATAGGTATCATAAAATCATCAATAAGCAATAATATTTTTAATGCTAGAAAAAATAGTCAAGTTTCTTCCAACTTAGGAAGAGGTAATTTTTATTCTCCTAATAATTCATTTACAGATGAGGATCTATTCATAGACTCTCTTTGGTAACCACTCTCAAAGTTACTCTCTACAGTTAATTATGCAATCATTTCTTCATTTTCCTTTAAAGTGCAAGTCTCTAACAGCACAGATCTTGTCTATTGTTCTAGACCCATCACATAGAAGTGTCGAATAAATGAACAAAATGCAATCACGTAGAGCATTCAGTTAGGGACTCAGATGAGGATGGCATTACTTGGTTCTGCTCTTCCACTGAAATTCTCCCAACGCAACAAGCTCAAGGTGTCATATAAAATCTTGGAGAAAGTAATTCACAAGTTCCTATGATAGAATAATGACTGAATTCTGAAGCCTATAATTTAAGAGATATGTATAATTATGAACTGCTTTGCAGTCAGTACAATTTTAAGGGGCTTAAATTACTTACCAGAGTTGGTCTAAGCAAAACTGTTTTCTCTCTCTTTCAATTTTTACATCTTTTTCTGTCTCTTTTTAGGGTCTCCGATCCCAGGAATTAGCTCTCTTACACTACTTGGCATATTTCTTTTTAAGCAAACGTTACATATCAGAAAGTGGGTGAGATTTTTGGATCGCACAAGCATTCTACACAAAATCCCTAAAATCACATCACTGTATAAATCACAAGGCTGACCCTAAGCCTTTAACTCTGAAGTTACAGTCTAGGCTTCACCACGGAAATTGAACTTACTAAAAATTTTGTAGCTAGCAATACAAAATAGTAAATGGCTTCTGAGTTCTGTTTCTTACATAGCTTGCAATAAAAAAAAAACATTTAGACATTAGACTTTGAATAAGGATGGGGACAGCACATGGGGGCAGCACACATACAAAAGTAGAACCTCATGTAGATTGATGCTTTACTTGCTTGAGGGAGCATGGATAAATTCTAGAACACTTGACCTAGACTACAAACATCCTGAGGACTGGTTTCTTCCTTATTTTTCTTTGCAGTGTTCATTTAACATAACACCTTGCCATTACATTGCGCACACTTTTTGAAAAAATGAATACTCCCTAAAAATATTTTCTTATTTACACATTTCAGTTAGAGTGGAAAAAACTTCTAGTAGCTCAGAGATCAGGAAAACATGTAGTTGTTAAGTCAATATCTGTGAACTGGACATACACATAAAAAAGTAAGTATAGGTCTGCATGTAAAATTGTGACCATAGGAGGTTGCAATTTTATTTGTAGTAAAAGATTTTAGATGCGTCAACAAAATATTGTGCCTTCGGAGCCACTGTATGAGAGAGAACTAATAAATGAAAGCTTCCTTAATTTGCATAAGGTGATTAAATTTCCTAGTTTAAAAAACATATTTTTTTATTGCTAAAGTAATTCTATTTTCTTTGTAGAAAATGTGAAAACAGCATACAAGCAAAAAGGAGAAAAATGTAAAATTCCATAATTCTACCACTCACACAACTTATTTTCTAATAATAAAGCTTTTGTATATTTCAAAACTACAATTCTCCTTTAACCAGGAAATACTCACAGCAGAGAGAAATGATTGACATGGCATACAGCTTGTTCTCAGACCTGATATAAGGTCGCATGCAAATGACAAAAATGTTTCCAAAGCAGGTAACTGCAGATACAACCCAGACAAATACTCTCTGAATAATGCTTGCCAAGAGATTCTCTAGAGATGAAATTCCATCAGTGTTTGGTTTACAGCTGCGAACATGTGGTGCATACCCACAGTACTGGAATTTCTTAAAATATCTGGTGTACAAAGAGAAAGTAAAATAAGATTTTCCATTTAATTCAGTGTCACCATACATTCATATTTATTTCCTACATTTTATCGGTAGAAAGAAAATGTCTTAAGATGAAATTGAGAGGACTAAAACATTAGGGATTCTGAAACTTTAAACTTACATCCAATTATCATTAGCTTGATTTCATTGTTAAAGAATGTGTGGGTGAGAGTAGCAAATAGGCATAATAAACATAACAAGTGTTAGACATGTCTTAGAATACAAACTGTTAGATGTGATCAAGAGAATGAATCCCTCCAGAGAAACCGTTATCGTACTCGCAATGGTTAGTATACGTAAATGCAGTTACACAGCTCCTATTGTGCTGCAAGTGACTGCTTTCTATCCCTCAGGGGAAGAGTTAAGTGTTTTCTTTTCTGTGCTTCCGTGGCTTTTTGTTATTGAAGTTATGATGTTATTTCAACACCAATGAAAGAAAAAAAAAGAAAAGAAAAAAAGAAAAGAAAACATCCCATTAAAAAGTAGGCAAATGATCTGAACAGATATTTCTCAAAAGAAGACATACAAGGCTGGGCGCGGTGGCTCACACCTGTAATCCCAGCACTTTGGGAGGCCGAGGTGGGTGGATCACGAGGTCAGGATATTGAGACCATCTTGGCTAATATGGTAAAACCCCATCTCTACTAAAAATACAAAAAATTAGCCAGGCGTGGTGGCGGGCTCCTGTAGTCCCAGCTACTCGGGAGGCTGAGGCAGGAGAATGGCGTGAACCTGGGAGGCGGAGCTTGCAGTGAGCCCAGATCGTGCCACTGCACTCCAGCCTGGGGGCGACAGAGCGAGACTCTGTCTCCAAAAAAAAAAAAAAAAAAAAGAAGACATAGAAATGGCCAACCTATGCTTGAAAAAATGTTCAACCTCACTAATGATCAAGGAAATGCAAATTAAAACCACAATGAGGTATCATCTTACTCCAACGTTGGATGGATGGCTATTATCAAAAAGACCAAAAAGTAACAAATGCTGATGAGAATCTGGAGAAAAGGGAACTGTTATTGGCGGGAATGTAAATTAGTATAGGCACTATGGAGAACGGAGAACAATATGGGGGTTCCTCAGAAAACTACAAATAGAACTAGCATGTGGGCTGGGAGCAGTGGCTCATGCCTGTTATCTCAGCACTTTGGGAGGCCGAGGTGGGTGGATCACGCAGTCAGGAGATTGAGACCATCCTGGTTAACACGGTGAAAACCCGTCTCTACTAAAAATACAAAAAATTAGCCAGGCATGGTGGCGCACACCTGTAGTCCCAGCTACTTGGGAGGCTGAGGCAGGAGAATCGCTTGAACCTGTGGAGGCAGAGGTTGCAGTGAGCCGAGATTGCACCACTGCACTCCAGCCTGGGTGACAAAGAGAGACTCTGTCTCCAAAAAAAAAAAAAAAAAAACTAGCATATGATCCAGGAATCCCATTCCTGAGAATCTATTCAAAGAAAAGAAAATCATATCAAAGAGATATCTGCACCCCCATGTTTATTGCAGCACTGATACAGGAGCTAAAAAGAAAGTATTTAGGCAGTTAGTGAGGGTAAGAGAGTCCTTGGTAAGCTTTCTCTTTTAATAAAAAGCAGCCCCAAATAATTTCTTTTCTAACAAAGAGCAGCCTGAAAAATTAAGCTGCAGACATAGAAAAGCAAGCTAGAAGCTTGCACAGGTGAATGCTGGCAGCTGTGCCAATAGGAAAAGGCTACCTGGGGGCCAAGCATGTTCAACATGGAGGCTCCATCTTTCCTTTTCTTTGTCAACCACATGTACAATAAAGAAGCAGACAACATGGTGCCAAACAGGTAGAGAACCCATCTGCATAATGAAAGATTAGGGTGGGGCAGCCAGCTTCTTCGCATGCTATACAAATGGCACACCTGGTCCAAGCAATCTTTTGGGCCCTATGTAAATCAAACATGGCTTCCTCAAGCTACTGTATTAAAACCCTGTGCATTTCACCACAGAACTGGAAGACCTATTCAGGAGCCCCTCTCTCTCTGCAGGAGAGAGAGCTTTTCTCTTTCTCTCCCGTATTAAACCTCTGCTCTTAACCTCACTCCCTGTGTGTCCACGTCCTTAATTTCCTTGGCGTGAGGCAACAAACCTCAGGAATTACCCCATACAAACAATGCTACTTCAGCACTATTCACAATAGCCAAGATATGGAGTCAACCTAGGTGTTGATGAACAGATGAATGGATAAAAAAATGTGGTAGATATACACAATGGAATATTCAGCTATAAAAAAAGAATGAAATTCTGTCATTGTGGCAACTAGGTGGGAAATGGAGGACATTACATTAAGTGGAATAAGCCAGGAATAATGTTAAACACCTCATGTTCTCATATATGGAAGCTAAAAATGTCGATCTTACAGAAGTAAAAGTAGAACAGAGGATACTACAGGCTGGGGAGGGTAAGGAGAAGGAAGAGACAGGCAGACTTATTAAAGAATTCAAAGTTACAACTAGAAAGAAGAATAAGTTCTCATATTCTATACCATGGTAGGATGTCTATAGTTAACAATAATGTATGGTTTCAAATAGCTAGAAGGAGGATATTGAATATTCTAAACATAAAGAAATGATAAATGTTTGAGAGGATGGATATGCTAATTATCCTTTATCCTGATCTGATCACTATACATTGTATGTACCAAAACATCACTATGTACCCCCATGAAGATGTGCAATTATTATTTGTCAATTAATAAAAATAACAAAATAATATTAAAGATTTTAAACGTGGAAGTGCCACAGTAAAAGAAAAAAAAAAGAAGTTATATTATCTGTAACTACTTGCTAACATGCCTATCTCTCACACTAGATTTTGGTACATAATAAAGCGTTCAATAAATATTTGTTGAGTGACTTCTTTCATCAACAGAGAGAATTTCCTTGTTGATAAATATACCATGTGGATAATTTATAATTACTATTGTGTTACCACCAACACCAACACCTTTTATTGAGCATTTCTTAAGTATCAGAAATAAGTTCTCAAATGAATTCCGTGAGGTAGGTGTTAGCATCATTAATAGGAAGAGATGAATCTTCAGTGGAGGCAAGTTATTTGCTAGGAAATTTTCTACTAAATATGCAAATTGAACTTCAAATTAGATCTATTTGTCTATAAAGCCATGTGTTCTGCCAAAAAATATAAACGATCTTTAGTGTATAAAGAGCTATAATAAGAAAAGATAAAAACCTGATGATTACAATTTGTCCTGTCAAGCTCAAGGTCAATTGCTGATATTTCCCCATTCGGTTATATCCATTTATTCTGTAAACCATGAAGGACAGGAGAGCAGAACATGAGGAAAGAAGGAGTGTTGATTGGTATTTTACTATGTGTCTTAGGCTGAAGTTTTGCTTTTATCAACAGAATTATAGTAACTCTGTTTGCCGCTTTGGCTGCCCAGCACTCAATCACTCTTCTGATAATAGTGTTCTGATTTCCTTTGAGAGAATTACTTCTCCCTTTTTGAGAAGTTATGGTGGGACCTTCAGTGGAGGCAATCCCTAGCCCAGAGTAGGTAAGTACCCTAGACGTGATCAACTAGATTCTCTTCCCTGAAACTGAATCTGATTGAATGACACTTGGATGGATAATTCCAGAGGCTATAAATTATTCCTCAGATTCTGTGTTATACCATTTTCTTCCAATAAATTCTGTTCTGTTTAATTTAGTCAGATTGCTTTATGTTGCATACAAGAAAGGAATCTTTTATAAGCCATCTTTCTGAGGAACTATGGAAAACAAAAACAGGGTTCTGTGTTAGACTTAAAATACAAGCAAGATTACAGAGTTGATGGTAGCTGACAGTATCTAAATTATTGAAAATTAATTTCCATGGCATGGATCATTCTAATAACTGCTATGAAATTGCATTCAATTAAAAAAGTGCTTCTAAAGCATGTAATCACAGGTACAACTAGACATACTCTTTGAATAAAAGATGTTTCAAAGTTTACCATTTCATCCATGCACGCTTGCTTGAATCATGCCTTGATATATGGGGATATTTTCATTGAGAAAGACTTCTTCTTAACTACCTTCATTTGCAGCATTGATTTATTTATAATTATTTTATATTGCCTATATAAATTCCTTCCTCTTCATCTGGTAGCACTTGTACCATGTGATATAGTTTGGATATTTGTCTACTCCAAATCTCATGTCAAAAGTTGATTCCCAATGTTGGAGGTGGGGCCCAGTAGGAGGTGTTTGGGTCATGGGGTAGATCCCTCATGAATGGTGTGGTGTCCTTCCTGCAGTAATAAGTGAGTTCTCCTTCTATTATTTCACATGAAATCTGATTGTTAAAAAGAGCTGGCACCTCCTCTTCTCTCTCTGGCTTTCTCTCTCGCCATTTGACACACCTACTCCCTCTTTGTCCTCTGCCATGATTAAAAGCTTTCCTGACGACCTCACCAAAATTAGAGGTTGGTACCATGCTTCTCTTACAACTTACAGAACTGTGAGCCAAAATAAACTCTTCCTTATAAACTACCGAGCCTCCGATATTCCTTTGTAGTAATGCAAAATGGACTAACACACCCTATACACCAATTACTAGCTCATTAGGCAAACATCAATATCTGTGAACAGTTATTAGAGCTGAGGAGAACTTCTTACAAGACCAAGTGGATTCCCCTCACATCATGTTTCCTGAGATTCAAAAAATCTCCTATGAGATTCTACCAGACTGTGGAAAACTAAAATCATCTCACCCAATATCAAAGGTTTAAGAGTTTTAATTATTGTTTAGACATGTCTCAGTCCACTTGGCTGCTGTAACAAAAATACCATAGACTGAGTGACTTAGACGACAAATGTTCATTTCTCACAGTTCTGGAGGCTGGGAAGACCAAGATCAAGGTGCCAGCAGATTCAGTGTCTGGTAGGGGACCACATGTTTCATAGATGGCCATCTTCTCTGTCTGTCTTCACAAGGTGGAGGGGCAAGGGTCGTCTCCAGAGTCTCTTTTCTTTTCTTTTTTTTTCTTTTTGAGATGGAGTCTCACTCTGTCGCCCAGGCTGGAGTGCAGTGGCACCATCTTGGCTCACTGCAACCTCCACCTCCAGGGTTCAAGCGATTCTCCTGCCTCAGCCTCCTGAGTAGCTGGAATCACCACCACGACTGGCTAATTTTTGTATTTTTAGTAGAGACGAGGTTTCACCATGTTGGCCAGGCTGGTCTTGAACTCTTGACCTCAGGTGATCCACCCACCTCGGCCGCCCAAAGTGCTGGGATTACAGGCATGAGCCACTGGCCTGGACCAGAGTCTGTTTTCTAAGGGCACTAATCCCACTCATGAGGGCTCTGTCCTCATGACCTAGTCACCTCCCAAAGGCCCTACCTCCTTGTACCATTGCATTGGGGTTAGTATTTCAATATATACATTTTGGAGGAACACAAACTTTCAGTTTATAGCTGGCAAATTAGTAGAAAATATTAATAGATTGGATGCATTATCATAATACACATGGAAACAAATATTAACATCACAGTGAAAAACAATAAAATATCTACTTACATGTGAGAGAGATTCATAAGAGGTCTAAACATCCTTTGTTGGATATTTGAAATTTCAATCCCTTCTAGGCTGCTAAAAATATCAAATTAATAATCAATCAAAGGAACATGTATTATACATGGTTTAATAAATTGAGTTTCTGTGAAGGACAATTTAATAAAATGCTTTTAGTTAACACTTACTCTGAACAAAATAATTATACTCAACCCACCCACTTCCCCAAATCCTCCTCCTTCTGATTGTGTTATTTATACACGTATTATCTTCCTTATTTGATTTTTTTCAGATCCTCACAGATCATGGCACAATGCTTTGTGCATTTTAACTAATCAATAAATATGTGTGGAATAAATGCACAAGCATTATCTTTTGTACAATATTACAATAGCAGAGGATGCTTTACATCCTTGAAAATTTCCTAGTAATTTTTAATTAATAAATTTTTTTCTAATAAAATGTCATTTTACTGAGGGAACACTCAAATTAAATGAACTGAAGCTTACCTTTTTTTTTTTTTTTTGAGACAGGGTCTTCCTCTGTTGCCCAGGCTGGTGTGGTGGTATGAACAGGGCTTACTGCAGCCTCAACCTCCCAACTCAAGCAATGTTCCCACCTCAGCCTCCCAAGTAGCTAGGACCACAGGTGCATGCCACCACACTCAACTAATTTGCTTATTTTTATTTTTTTGTAGAGGCAGCATCTCCCTATGTTGCCCAGGTTGTTCTTCAACTCCTGATCTCAAGCAATCCTCCTGCTTCGGACTCCCAAAGTGCTGAGTTTACAGGTGTGAACCACTGCACTCAGCCCTGAAGCTTATCTTTTAAGGCAATTCTTTGGCTCTAACAGAATTTTTGTCTTTTTGTGTGTGTGTGGTACAAGTAAGGATTTATATAATCTAGCATATTCCATCTTGGGGTAAAAACACTTATAATAAATTATAAAATACCCAGTGTTAAGAGAGTGAATATGCACAGATGTCTTTGAAGGGTCAAAGCAAACAAATCAACATAAGCTCCTAATGACTTATAGAAAAATATAAAATAATTCATCATTATTTTTTAATTTACAAGTATATAAGATAAAACTAATAGTTGTCTGTTTATAGTTCAGCAAGCACCCATATGTTTTTGTGGAGCTAAACTAATGTCTTGGAAATAAAGCTTATGATTTGAAGTAAATATATAAAAATATACATTGTTAGTATTTAAAAAACAATTTTATCATAAAACTATCCCCATATGTGAATACTTACAGAGACTTGAGTTTGACAAGATAATCAAATTGGTTTGCTTGAATTTTCTGGATTGGATTATAGGAAAGATTCCTGTTTTTTAAAAAAAGCAGCAATAGGTCATTTCTAAAAACTACATGAGTAAAGCGAGTGAATCTGTTTATTTTGGGTTACTTTAACATATTTATGAACGAAAGTATACAATAACTCGTAATGGATGAAAGACTTAAACTGTAAAATTATAAAACGACTAGAAGAAAACATAGGTGGAAAGCCCCAGGACATTAACCTGGGTGATGATTTTTTTGGATATTGCCCCAAAAATATAGGCAACAAAAGTGAAATAGATGAATGGGATTACATAAAACTAAAAAGCCTCTGCACAGCTAAGGAAACAATCAACAGAGTGAGGAGACAACCTGTGTAATGGGGGACAATATTTGCAAATCATATATCTGGTAAGTGGTTAATACCCAAAATGTGTAAGGAACTCAAACAACTCAGCAAGAAAACAAATAAGCTGGTTAAAAATTAGGGAAAGGGCTTGAATAGACATTTTTCAAAAGAAGACATATAAATGACTAACAGGTATATGAAAAAGTGCTCAACATCACTAATCATCAGAGAAATGCAAACTGAAACCACAATATTACCTCACACCTTTTAGAATAATTTTTATCAAAAAGATGAAAGATAAGGGTTGAGGATGATTTGAAGAAAAGGTTGCCCCTTGCATACTGGTGATGGGAATATAAATTAGTACAACCATTATGGAAAATAGTATGGGGCTTCCTCAAAAATCAAAAATTGAACTACTACATGATCCAGAAATTCCTCTACTGGATATATATCCAAAGGAAATAAAATCAGTATATTAAAGAGATTTCTGTACTCCCATATTCATTGCAGCATTATTCATAATAGCCAAGGTATGGATTCAACCCAAGTGTCCATCAAAGGATGACTTGATAAAAAAATATGTATACATACACAATAGAATACTATTCAGCCTTAAAAAACACAGAAAATCCTGTCATTTGCAACAACATGAATGAATCTGGAGGACATTATGCTACATGAAGTAAGTCAGGCATAGAAAGACAATTACCACATGATCTCATTTATATGTGGAATCTAAAAAAGTTGAACTCATGGAAGTAGAGAGTAGAAGGTGGTCACTAGAGGCAGGTGGGAAAGGATTGGAATATATTGGTCAAAAGGTACAAAAATTTCACTTAGAAAAGAGGAATAAGTTCAAGACATCTATTGTGTAACATGCTGACTATAGCAAATAACAATGTATTGTATTCTTGAAAATTGCTAAGAGAGTAGACGTTAAGTGTTCTCACCACAAAAAATAAGTATGTGAGATGATGCATATGTTAATTAGCCCAATTTAGGCATTCCACAATGTATACATATTTCAAAACATCATGTTGTACTGATAAATATATACAATTTTTGTTTGTCAGTGAAATAAAGAGATAGCAATAGCATTGGCCTCACAGGGTTGATTGTACATGTAAGTGAATTAATTAAGATAAAACACTTAGAACAGTGCCCAGCTTGTGGTAGATACTCTGTGATTACGGTAGTGATAGACTGAGACCTAATAAAACATAGGCATGAAGGCGGAGCTGTCAAGAAAGGGCTGCCACCAGAGAAGTGGTAGGGGACTGAGAAAGAGCCGCATCTACTTCACATTTTGCCTAAGATCAGATATGGTTTAAACAAAATGAAATAAAATAATCTCATTTAGTCAAAATTTGAATTAATGGAATAATATATCATATATTTTACAATAAATCTTAAGTCATGAAACATGAAATGAAAAGTAGACTTTAAAGGGAATTTATTGTTATATTTTAATTTTTTAGAGATGGGGACTTGCTATGTTGCTCAGGCTGTACTCAAACTCCTGGGCTCAAGGGATCCTCCTGCCCCAGCTTCTCAACTCACTGGGACTACAAGCACCTGCCTTCTTAAAGAGAACTGAAAGGTAAATTTAAATGGAGAAAATTTCAGAATCTTTGAAAAACAACACCTTGAAACAAGAATCATTGATTAAAGGAAACTTCTCAGGAAAATTTCTCTTTTTAAAATATTTAGACT
The DNA here is from genome assembly GCF_000001405.40 of Homo sapiens. Lineage (NCBI taxonomy): Eukaryota > Metazoa > Chordata > Mammalia > Primates > Hominidae > Homo > Homo sapiens. The sequence goes on along the minus strand of NC_000004.12, from coordinate 158,635,988 downwards.
GGGTGTGGTGGCTCATGCCTGTAATCGCAGCATTTTGGGAGGCCGAGGTGAGAGAATGGCATGAGCCTTGAAGTCCAATATGAGCAGCCTGGGCAACATAATGAGGCCCCCATCTCTACAAAAACAAAATTAAAAAAAAAGAGGAAATAAACAAAAATATTTACTGAAGATTAGACCATAAGTTACATGGGGGATGGAAGGAACTGCTGGGGGAGCCACAGTTACAGAAAGAAGGAAAGAGAGAAAGAATGACAATGACCAATGGGTTGTATAAAAAAATGAAGTGGACTCAGCAAACTAAAAATAAAAGGAAACTACCTCACATAATAAAGGATGTATATGAAAACCCACACTCAATGGTAAAAGACCAAAAGCTTTCCCTTAAGAGTGGGAACAAGACAAGGATTCCTGCTTTTACCACTTTCATTCAACATAATGTTGGAAGTCCTAATTAGAACAATTCGGCAAGAAAAAAAAGTGAAAGGCAGGCATCCAAATTGTAAAAGAAGAAAAAAATGATCTCTGTTTACAGGTGATGTAATCTTATATGTAGAATATCCTAAAGATTTAACTAAAAAGAAATCCATTTGAACTAAAACATTCATCAACATTCCTGGATATAAAATTAACACACAAAAATCAGCTGTGTTTCTATATGCAATGAATAATCACAAAAGAAAATGAGGAAAAGAATTCCATTTACAATAGCATCAAAAGAATAATATACTTAAATAAACTTAACCAAGGAGGTGAAAGATAAATACCCTGGCAACTGCGAAACATTGCTGAAAGAAAATAAGGAAGACACCAATGAAAGGAAAGACATGCTATGTTCACAGATCAGAAGACTTAATATTAAGATGTCAGTATTGCTCAAAGTGAGCTACAGATTCAAAGCAACCTGCCAAAATCCCATTGCCTTTTTTTTTTGCAGAAATATGAAAATCCATCCTAAAATTCATATGGAAAATGCAGGGAGCCCACATAGCCAAACAATCTTGAAAAAAGCAGAACAAAATTGGAGATTTTACACCACTTAATTTCAAAACATACTACAAAGCTACAGCAATCAGTGTGGTACTGGCTGAAATACAGACATGTAGACTAATGGAATAGAATAGAGAGCTCAGGAATAAACTCACAGATATATGGTCAAATGATTTTCAACAAGGGTGCCAAGGACATTCAATGGGGAAAGAGTAGTCTTTTCAATAAATTGTGTTGAGAAAACTGGACATCCACATGCAAAAGAATGAAGTTGGATCCTTACCTTACACCATGTACATAAGTTAACTCAAAATGGATTTAAGACCTAAATATTAAAGCTAAAAACTATAAGACTCTTAGAAGAAATCATACAGGAAAAGCTTCATGACATGACACCAATGACATTTGGTGTTATTTTGGATATGACACCAAAAGCATAAGTAACAAAAAAAGAAATTTAAAAATTAGACTATACATAAATTAAAAACTTTTGTGCATCAAAGGACACCATAATAGAGTGAAAAGGCAGCCCATACAATGGGAGAAAATATTTGAAAATCATGTATCTGAAAAGAAGTTAACATCCAGAATATATAAGAACTCCAACAATCTAACAACTACAGAAAACCTGAACAATCCAATTGAAAAATGAGTGAATGACTTGAACAGATTTTTCTGCAAGAAGGTATCCAAATGGCCAATAAGCACATGAAAAGTTGCTCAACATCACTAATCACTGGGAATCACAAAACAAAATCACAGTGAGATACCATTTCACATCCATTAGCATGCCTATTATCAAAAAAACAGAAAATACCAAGTGTTGGGAAGGATGTGGAGAAATGGAAACCCTAGTATACTACTAGCGGAAATGTAAAATGGTTAAACTCCTATGGAAAACAGAATGAAACATGCATTAAAAATAAAATGACAGAAATGTATGAAACAGCAATTCTACTTTTGAGAGTAGGTACCTAAAAATTGAAAGCAGAGTCAACAGATATTTGTACGCCCATGTTCATAGCAACATTATCCACAATAGGCAAAAGATGGAAGCAACTAAAATGTCCATTGATGGGTGAATAAACACTGCAATACATATACACAATGAAATATTGTTCAGCCTTAAGAAGGAAGGAAATTCATTTCTGCTACAACAGAAATGAAACTTGAAGACAGTATGCTAAGTAGAATAGGCCTGTCACAAAAAGATAAATATTCCATGATTTTACTTCTATGAGGTATCTGGAGTAGTCAAATTCACACAGACACAAAGTAGAATGGTGGTAGCCAGGGGATGGGGAAACGGTGAGTGGGAAGTTAGTGTTTAGTGGCTAGAGTTTCAGTTTTGCAACATGAAAAACTTCTGGAGGTAGATGGTGGTGGTGGTTGGGCAGCAATGTGAATGTAGCTAATGCTACTCAACTACACACTTAAAAATGGCTAATTTTATGTTATGCATATTTTACAATTTAAAAAATAATAAAATAAAGAAACGAGGTGGCAAAATTAACATCAGTCTTACAATTGTGACAGCTCCTTCAGGTCCTTGAATATAAGCGGTGGAAGATTTTCAATCTTATTACTTCCTAAATCCCTGGAGAAATAATTGCAAATATGTGATATTATTTTCTTAAGACTTTACTCATTGTTCTGAAATTCATTAGGAAACCACTATACAACTTTTCAACAATGCCATTGGTGAGTTATATTAATCACCAGAAGTCTAAAAATTTAAAAAAGGAGCAAAGTTGGAAAATATAAAAATATTTTATTCCATTTCATCATCCCCTGGAAGACAAATACTTGATGGTATTTGATCTTTTTTTTTTGAGACCGAGTATCACTCTGTCACCCAGGCTGGAGTGTAGTGGTGCGATTTTGGCACACCACAACCTCTGTCTCCCGGGTTCAAGTGATTCTCCTGCCTCAGCCTCCCCAGTAGGTGAGATTACAGGTGTGTGCTACCACGCCTGGCTAATTTTTGTATTTTTAGTAGAGACGGGGTTTCACTATGTTGGCCAGGTTGGTCTCGAACTCCTGACCTTGTGATCCAATCGCCTCAGCCTCCCAAAGTCCTGGGATTACAGGCGTGAGCCACTGCACCTGGCCTGATCTGGTTTTAATCAATCGCATTTTCTCATTCTTTTGATTTCTGTGTTGTGCCCCTTCTTCCTTTGTTCTCTTTTTTTGTGTGTTAGAATAGATGCATGGTTTGCGATCTTAATTTTTTTCTTCCGCTTAGGATTGTTGTGATTATTATGGAAGTGTATTATTTCAAGTTCGAGTTTCTTCCACAGCTGATATACACAGGCTCTCATATTATCCTGGGGTAGGATACTTTGCATGCCATCTCATGTATGTGTAGAGGGTCTGCTTAACATGGTATGACCTCGTACCTTAGTCCTAAAAAGGTGTTTGACAGCAGCACCTCTCGTGGTAGCTTTGACAGTGGCAGCTCTCATGTGAAAGGCCTCAGATTCTTTTATACAAGAAAAAGTTTCAATAGACTTGAGCTCTGTAAGGTGATCAAGAGATACTAAGGGAAAGTCTAACCTTTTCTTCTATTCATCTCCAAATCATATTTGTTGCCACTGGGATAGGTAGGAGAATGAATAGATGTATTTGTTATATATGCTGGTTTGCTTATAAGGCAAACGTTAGATTTTTTGACCTCGAAGGGTAGGACAATTTTTAGACTGAGTTTTTAAAACTAAAAATAAGTGGCTAATATAATGTGATAAATATTATAAACGTCTTTGCTGCAAACTGAACCTGGAGACTATTGCTGTTAGTTACATATTTATCGGTGAATTGTCAACAGATTGTTCTGATTAGACAACTGAAGGAATTACTCAAAAATTCCATCTCTTTCATAAAGAGTTGGAATCTCCTTCAATAGCTTACTGTACCTTAGGAGATGAAATCAAAACCGCATTGTGTGAGTGCAGTGGCACAAACGGCTCACTGCAACCTCCACCTCCCGGGCTTAAGCATGCTCCCGCCTCAGCCTCCTGAGTAGCTGGGACTACAGCCATATGCCACCATGCCCAGCTAATCTTTGTATTTTTGATAGAGACTGGGTTTCTTCATGTTCCCCAGGCTGGTCTTGAACTCCTGGGCACAAGTGATCATCCCGTCTCAGCCTCCCAAAGTGCTGGGATTACAGATGTGAGCCACTGCGCCTGGCCATAATGAACCTTTAAATATTCAAATGTCTTGCCATTGACTATGTTTCCAGTCTCCTTGCCTACCACTTTCTATCCAAAGTAACTTTTCACCATGACCCGAATGCACTTCAGTATTTTAATCCCCATGCTCTTCTTTCCCTCCTTGTGATCTCATATTCATCCTTCTAGACTTCATTCAAACGTCATTCCTCTGTTTAACCTCTGAGCCCAGGGAGGTTAAGTGTTTTGTCCTTTGTTCTCCTATGCATTCCTCTTGCACACTTCTAGTATAGCACATATAACACATATAGCACATATAACATCATACTACAACTGTTTCTGTACATATGTGCTTCCTTTCTGAAACGTGAGTTCTTTGAGTACAAGAACGATATCTATTCATCTGGGCTACCCAGTGCCTAGCTCAGTTTTGGACTAGCTGTTTTCTCCATCCCCAGTTAGAAGACTATGAATACACTGAGTCTATCTGCTTCATCTTTAGTAAAAGTGGGGCACAATTTCAGTTCCTTGTATAGGAAGCCAAGTAAAATATTGATCATATTAGTAAAGCAATGTGCAAATGGATTTAAAATGGTGCACTGGGATATTAAAATTCCAAATGTCTTGTTCAACAATTACTGGTGGGAGTGTGGGTTTTGTTATCAGAGCAAATCCTGGCAGATAGTTCTAACAGCATGAATCATGTAATGGGATAGTGTTGGCCCAGATCCCAAGTGACATTTGAAAGGGCCATTTTCTCAGCTTAAGTTTAGGAAAGTTAGGCTAAACTTAATTGGAGTCAAGGTCCATTTCTGAATGAACTCAGGAAACACCTTGTAAACTAGAGTAGTTGACTTTAAAAGCTCAAATTAAGTCACCCACGTGGCAAAGATTTTCTGTCACTAGAGCTACTTAAAGTCCTCTGTGACAAGTGAATCCTCTTTGTCCTCATTAACTCTGTTGGTGTGATGGAGCCTGGAGGGGCACAGAGTGTAGTTCAACCCTCTCTCAAAAGGACACTTTAGATATAGACTCATCCAATGAAAGCCATCGACTCTTAGAAAACATGCTATTTTTGTCCTGGTGAATCTGATTTTTCAGGTAAGTGTTTAATATGGGATTAGGTGCATTAAAGTCCACCTAATAATTAGCAAGACAAATTATTGGCCTTGGTCACCCTCTGCAGTTTGTATTATTCTTTCCTTTACTTCTGAACCTGGATTAGCATTGGTTATGCACTAAGCCCTTTGAGTTCATGTTCACTGTTGGTTATTGATATATAAAATCTGCACCTGACTGCCACCATGAAGGCTAGGATTTGAAGGAACTGTCCCTTGATATTCAGGTATGATTTCAAGTGGATGAAACAAGAAAAAGTATATAGTTAGTATTCCTTGACTAACTTGTATTCTAATGTCTAGATAATACTTTGGATCATCCAGCTGCATCTCCCCCTACTATTTAGACTACTTTCCTATGTGCTGATGATATGGTTCAATTATCACGTGCCAGGAGTTGCTACAACAGATGGTTGGGTCTATTTGTTTTTGAGATTTTCCTGCACATTTTGTGAATGATTGGTACTGACCACCAAAAGTGTTTCAGGCTACAGATAAAATGTTGGGTTTTTAATGGCTCATTCCCTGATGTTTTGGGGCAGAATGCAGGATTGTTACCTGAGAAACGTTCCTGCTCCTGGTACATGTATTCCCTCTACCTAGCATAAGGAAAAACACATTGTAACTTCTTGAGTGCCCAAGTAAGGTGTCCTGGTGTTATTTTCATAACATTCTAATTGTATTCTTTAATTTTTATGGAAAAGTTTTAATAAATCAGTGTTCTGTCTAGCTAATTGTCAAAACAAGTAGCTCTGTCCACATTCAGATTCTTTCCAGAAGATGGATACTACTTGGGCACAGTGGCTCAAGTCTGTAATACCAAAAGTATGGGAAGCTGAGGCGGGAGGATTGCTTAAGGCCAGGAGTTCTAGGCCAGCCCCAGCAACACAGAGACCCTGTCTCTACAAAAAATAAAAAAAAATTGGCTGGGCATGGTGGTGTGCTATAGTCGTAGCTACACAGGAGGCTGAGGTGGGAGGATCACTTGAGTCCAAGGAGTTCGAGGTTACGGTGAGCTATGATTGTACCATTGCACTTCAGCTTGGGCAACAGAGTGACACCCTGGTACTAGAAAAAAAGCAAACAAAAAATGAAAAGAAAAAAATTGACACTAAAATATAAAAAAATGGTCTGAAGGATAAGCACTTCATCCATTGTTCTACATCTATTTTATTCTGAAAATCAACTACAATGTACTTAGACCACGGGCTTTGGTTCATCATAGAATTGTTATAGTGCCCTTTAGAATTATGTCATTGGCATTAAAAAGGGGCATTATAAAAATAATTTATCTCTTCCATTATTATAGGTAGGAATATTATCCACAGTAGTGTCTAATTTCCTTATGGATACAAGATTATCCTTTGGTTTCAAATCAGCAAAGTGGTATCTTCTAATCTTATGGTCCCTGAATCCTAATCCTTTAGGAAACATAATAACAAATTTACTAGCCTGGCCAGCATGGTGAAACCCCATCTTTACTACAAATACAAAAATTAGCTGGGCATGGTGGGATGCACCTGTAATCCCAGCTACTCAGGAGGCTGAGGCAGGATATTTGCTTGAACCTGGGAGGCGGAGGTTGCAGTGAGCCGAGGTCATGCCACTGCACTCCAGCCTGGGAGACAGAGTGAGACCCTGTCTCAAAACAAACAAAACAAAAAACAAAAACAAAACAAAAAACCCCCCATAAATTTACCGTCCTTCTTTAGGAGTAGAACAGAGTGGTGTAGAATGTATTTTATTTATTAATTTTATACTGGCTTTATTATTTCTTTACAGCTGTGTTTCCTTTAACCCACTTTCCTCAAATATTTATATTTTTATTTTCCATATTTTTTGTATGCCATCTGAATTCCTTTGTGGCTTGAGGTGTATATATGTAAATAATGCTTAGAAAGAGGAGATAAGTAATATTTCTTAAATGTATAAACACATGTAAGTACAAGTGTGAAAAAACAGTAGAAAGAAAATTCTTATCAGTATATGTTCAGTCATACTTACAATTCATCCAGTTTCTGGAGAGGTGCAAAAGTATTTTCATTTAAGTGATTAATTTTGTTTTTCCTCATCACTCTGAAAGTAAAAAGAAAAATACATTGTAACTTCTTTAGGTAACCGACAAGAATTACTAAAGAGAGGAACGGTATGCAGAAACAAAGATAATGAATATACAGTACATTTTTCACATAAAGACATTTTGAAGTAGTATAAATTATCCAATTTAATTTTAATCCTAAATTTCTCAAATGTTTTGATGATGATAATAATAGAAATTCAAAATTTTAAGTGAAATAGGGAGGAAGAGCTTTGCACGAGAAATGGTGAAAACCCCAACTTTTGAGAATACAGACTGCATATCTTGCAACCAAGAGCATAGGAGCTGTTTTAGACTTGTCTTTTCAGTCTGCATAGCATGACTGTCTAACAAAATAGCCCACCCACCACAGCACTCCTACTCATTTGTTACTTGATGTGATTTCGGGCGGATCTGCCTAAGGAAGTCCACTCTTAGCTGAACCCCTTTAGAAGAATCTCTAATTTGGGATGCTGAATCAGTCTGTTTAACTCTTGACATTTCTGCACTGATCTCATGTGTTACCAGCTAGCCTAGAGGACCAACTCAGAACTAAGTTTTAAAGGGCTTTTAATTTTTTAAACATTGTATGACATGTCTTCAAATTGTCCTTTCCCATTTATTTCCTCACTGCACTCCAAACCATTACCACCATTTCCCAATATTCTTGGACCTTAAAAGCACAACACCTGCCAAGAGGAAATCCACAAATAATCTCTTAATACAGAGGTTTCCTTAAAAAATAAATACAAGTACAATAGAAAAGAAATTCTAAGTTTTTCAGATATCTATTTGTTCTGTGTCCTTCAGGTGCAATTTGGTTTCCTTTGGGCAATTACTATACACTATTTTGCATTATTTATATCAAGCACCCTGTACCTGAAGATTGCTGAACTCAGGAGGAGTTCAAACTGGAACTCATTGGAACCCATTGGAATGGGGGGAATTGGAGAAAACATATGGTAATATCAGTGGGAGCTATTGTATCGCCTATATACAGGGGTCCTGTGTAGTCTAGGATAATGGTTTTCAAATCATTCCTGTGGTAACACACAGTAAAAAATGTGTTTTATATTGGATCATAAAACACACACACACACACACACACACACACACACACACACACACACACCCTAAGGCTCATGAAACAATACATTTATTATCTGCATTGCAGTCTGATATAATCTATTCAATTAAATTCTGTTTCCCTTAAAAATGCTGACAAGGGTATAATAAATTGTGCTATATATTACTTTCATCACCTACTTATTAGTTGCAATCCATAGTTTGAAAAACATTCTGGTAAAATAAGCTGTGAATAGGAGAGTTGGATTTTTTTTTACTGAAGGAAGACCTAACATCCTTTACTTTTAACAGAAAATACCATGTGAATTTAAAATAGGCCAGAGATGCATAAGAAGGAATTACACTCATTAACACTTCAAGGTTTATCTTGATGTCCATAATTACATCCTCAAGGTTGTGAACATTCAGCAGTATTTTGTTTTTCATTTTGATTGTAACTATTTTTTCACAATTGTAAAGAAAAACTTAATTTATACCATAATAATTTGCAAAGGATAAACATTCTTATAGGCTAAGACTTCAATTTAGTGTTTCTCAAACTGAGATCCAACAACAGACTCTTGATGTTCTTTGGGATTTTTTTTCCATAAAATGGGTGTTTTTAAATTTTATTTGTAAGAAAAGATAATATTACTTCAAAAGCATAGCATATTACTTACAAAACAGTTAAATTACTGCAGGAAATAAAAGTCAAATTTCTTAAATTATGGATATGGTTGCCTTCAAGGTCCCTGGAACATAAAAATAAAACGATACAGCTAAATCTTAATCATGGAGAGAAATAAATTGGTTAAAATTATTTGCCTTCTAATAAAATATCTTTTCTTTACATACTGTTTATTTCATATAGACTCTCACTTGTAGCCATTTCTATTACAGCTGAAATTATATATATAAATATCTATATTATACACTTTTTTCTATGTTAAAGGTAAAAATGTTTTGCGTCCCATCTGTATCATGAGTGCATACGGGCATGTATATGAGAAATTGAAAAGAACAAGAAGTCAAATTGAAAACATTTGTTATGATAAACACCTAATTTATTAACCGATATTTCATAATGAACCATATGAAACATTTGTCCAAAGTTACCGATGGCATTTCCCTAAGTGGTGTGATTTTATTTTGCTACAGTCTGCATCAGATTCTATTATTGTTGCAAAAGCTGCTGCTGCCAAAACAATATTTAGCTCCTACCTTTCCAGCCTAATCACTCCCCAGAAAAAATCCTCAATAATCTTTTACTATTGGGAATACCCTTATTTGCTTTTTATATTGTCTCAAAGGCCAGCGCAGACAGAGAGCAAACAGCAGACTGCCTTAGGTTCTGCATCTCCAATTCAGAGAGCTGCATATATCTCTATCTCTACATCTATCTATCTATCTATCTATCTATCTATCTATCTATCTATCTATCTATCTATCTATCTATCTATATAGATATCTAAATATAATCCTCCTGGGGCTCCCTTGCTGTGTGATGCCTATGTCACCATAAACCTCCTTATGGTCTAAGCATAAAAATGTATCAAAATTTTTATGTTTTACTGTCTCTTCGTGGTTATCTTGAAGTTACTCTTTTATTGTTCCTCTTCTTTCATAAGTGAGTATATGGTGGAACTTTATAGAGCAGAGGAAGAGAGCTGAGGTTTAGGGATAGACTTTCAAAAGTAAATGCCGGCCCTTAAATCTATTCAGCCTCTTCTAACACTCAGCTTACTGGTCACCATGTAACATAAAGCTGTTCAGGAATAATTGTCACTAAAACATGTGAGCAGAAGTGTGATACAGCTATTAAAATCTGAAAGGAAACATGGAAAGTATTAATAGAAGTGCCTATACTCCACTGCCAACATGTGAGTCAGTTTTATTTTAGGTGCTGCATTAAAAATAGATGCTGACAAATCAAATATATCTGTAAAATCTGGAAGACCAGGATGTACGGTATCTAGAAATCAAGGCAATTGAAGAATATGGGGTGTTATTTATAACAAACAAAAACAAAATGAGAGATATATTTGAAGTCAGGCTATAGAATATATCAGGGGTTTTCTATGTTGCATTGGGTTGCAAAATTAGATTGACTGATCGAGGGACATAAAAAGTTTCAAATTTAAACCCAACTTAAACCTATCTAGCAATCTATGATATCCAGAGAAGTTGTTTCTTTTTACTACAGGTATTTAGCACAGACAATGTATCATATCTCTATAGTTTTGTAGACAGGATTTTTGTACTACATGGGATATTGTATTAGAATCTTAAATGTGGATTCTAGATCACCCTTCCAAATTTCTGTTATTCTATTAAGTTGGAAGCTAATCACTTATAGTGCTACTTTTTTTGGTCTTAGTTTTGGCCAAGGCTTTTGGTCTCTCATAATGTATGTTATCTGTGACAGGGACTGGCCATTTCCTTCTATTTGGTTGCTAATCATTACCCTGAATCTACCACCAGGTGGTGATGCTCTCTTAAGTCTCACAAAATGCGCTTAATGAGGTGAGTTGATGTTCCTATTTAGTTACTTACGTAACTGTTTTCTATTAGGCTGGCAAAAATATTTGTTAGTACTAATTTACTAATTTGTGAAAATCAAAAAGAGGCACATATTGGGGCACAAATTAGGACATTTGATTAAATTGGTAGTTTAATTTTGAATTTATTTTAACCTTGGGTTGTTTATTTACTGTTTTTCCCCCCTCCTGTGTTAATAATAAAAACATTTGGGGTCACATTTGTATGATGTGTTTCTATGGGCCTGTATATGAGCATACATATGAATATGTATATTTTCTTCCTAAAGTTAGGGGTTTTAGTCCTTGATAAGCAGGGATCTGGTTTGCAGCATACCTCTTAGCTGAAGCAAAAACAACAACAAAATCAAAATAACAACAAAAAATCTGTTTCTTGCTCCCTAGCTGCAAGCTTTAATGGAGTTAACGAAGGTTTTTTTATTTTTATTTCTATTTTTTACTGTGTTTAAACCACCACCCTTCCTATCTAATGAGCCTCTGAGACTAACCATTTTATTTTTCCCTTTATACCTGGTAGAATTGGATAAAAATGAAAACTTTGGTGGTTCTTCAATCTGAATAACAACAATAACAAAAGACAAAGACTATAATCTTGTCTATTCTCCCTCAACTTGTCCCTTAGTGGCATTCAAAACATGAAAATCTTACTCTCTATCTGCTTCCTCCTCTACCTTTTACATTTCTGGCTCCTATTTCACAGAGAAAACTGAGGTGATGAAGAAGGGAAAAGCCCTTGACTTGCTGCCTGACATCTGTAAACTTACCTGTATATGCACCTGGTCTCTTTCTAGTCTCAGAGGAAGAGATGACCCTTCTCCTGTTTTAGGCTAATCCCTCCATCTGTTTTCTTGAGTTTGGTTTGTGTATGTTTATGTCCTAAAATATATGGTCAATTTTGGTGAATGTTCTTTGGGCATTCTTTGCTTTCAAGTTCATATCTATTAGGATTAGGTGCACGTACATATAACAGAGACCCATCTATAATAGCATAAATACGCAGAGTTGTTGGGGTTTTTTCCCCCCAGGAAAAAAAAATCTAGAGTTGGGCAGTTCAGGGCTGATATGGTTGTTTTACAAAGTTGTTAGAAACCCAGGATCTTTCATATTCACTGATCACATGCCCTTGTCTTCATGGTACAAGATGTTGCTAAAGCTCAAGCCATCATATTCAGTTTTTTGTTTTCTGGATAAAGAAGGAAAAGAAAGGACTTGCATCTTTCTCTTTAAGGAGATTTTCCTGAAGTTCTACACTGTAATACTTCGACCTCCCTAGTCAGAACTTAAGACATATCCTATATGTGAATGCAGAGAAGTGTGGGAATGTAGTATTTTAGCTAGTTATGTTGCTGTCCCAAAGAAAGCAGTTCTGTTATTGAGAAGGGGCACTGAAGTTTGATATACACTGATTAGCATTAACTTACTAATTATGTTATTTATTTATTTTGGTTCTACTTGATCTTTTATGGAGTGAGAAGTAGTGGATTATCTTTTTTTTTTTTTTTTTTTTTTTTGAGATGGAGTTTCACTCTTGTTGCCCAGGCTGGAGTGCAATGGCACAATCTCGGCTCACTGCAACTTCTGCTTCCTGGATTCAAGTGATTCTCCTGCCTCAGCCTCCTGATTTGCTGGGATTACAGGCACCATGCTTGGCTAATTTTTTTTTTTTTTTTTGTATTTAGTAGAGACAGGGTTTCACCGTGTTAGTCAGGCTAGTCTCAAACTCCTGACCTCAGGTGATCCACCCGCCTGGGCCTCCCAAAGTACTGGGATTACAGGCATGCACCACCGCACCTGACCCAGTGGTGGATTATTTCTTACTGCTTATGTATGTCTACATTTTCTTTTGTTTTGGTTGCTATATTAATTTCTTTGGTGTGTATAGACTTATAATGTGATATCTTTTATTGGACATTGGCAGTTATAGCATTAAAATGTCATTGTGTTGTTTAATGCACATTGGCCAGAATTCCACCTACTTAGATAAAATATATGATGCCTGCTTTCTTTTGTTTGCAATTACATGACATACTTTTAAAAACTGTGTATACTTAAGGTATATAGCCTGTTTCGATATACAGTACATAGTAAACTGATTACTACAACCAAGCAAATTAACATACCCATCACCTTACATAGTTAATTTCTTTTATGGTAAGAGTGCCTGAACTCTACCCTTTTAGCAAATTTCCACTATACAATACAGTGTTATTAAACTATAGACATGCCATACATTAGATCTGTATGCTTATTCATCTCATAACTGTAATTTTGTACCCTTGAACCTACATCTCCTCATTCCCCCTGCCATGACCCATAGCCACGATTCTACTCTGTTTCTATGTGTTCAACTTAAAAAGAAATTCCACGTATAAATGAGATTACGCAGTATTTTTCTTTCTGTCTCTGGCTTATTTCACTCAGCATAATGTCCCCTAAGTTCACACATATTGTCAAAATGGCAGGATCTCTGTTTTAAGGCTGACTAGTATTCCATTGTATATATCTACCACATTTTCTTTATCCATTCAACTGTCATTGGACACTAAGGTTGACTAATATCTTGGCTATTGTGACTAATGCTGCAATGAACATTGGAGTGAAGATATCTCTTTGACATACTAATGGAATTTCCTTTGGATATATACCCAGAAGTGGGACTGCTGGATCATATGGTAGTTCTATTTTTAATTTTTTTTTTTATTTGAGATGGAGTCTTGCTCTGTCGCCCAGGCTGGAGTGCAGGGGTGTGATCTTGGCTCACTGCAACCTCCGCCTCCCGGGTTCAAGTGACTCTCCTGCCTCAGCTTCTTGTGTAGCTGGGATTACAGGTGCCTGCCACCATGCCCGGCTAATTTTCGTATTTTTAGTAGAGATGGGGTTTCATCATGTTGGCCAGGCTGGCCTCGAACTCCTGACCTCAAGTGATCCACCCACCTCTGCCACCCACAGTGTTGGGATTACAGGCGTAAGCCACCGCACCTGGTCCTATTTTTAATTTTTAGAGGAAGCTCCATATGTTTTCCATAATAGCTGTACTAATTTACATTCTCATCCACAGTGCACAAGAATTCCTTTCTAGCCACAACCTTGTCAACACTCGTCATCTCTTGTCTTTTTGATAATAGAGATTCTAACAGGTGTGAGGTGATACCTCATTGTGGTTTTGATTTGCATTTCTCTGATGATTAGTAATGTTGAACATTTTTGCATATGCCTGTTGGCCATTTTTAAGTATTTTTTGAGAAATATCTTCCCAGGTCTTCTTTCCCAGTCTTTTTCCTTTTAATAGGTGAGTTTAGCCTACTTATATTTATTGATATGATTAATATAGTTGGCCTTAGTCTGTTTTTTAAAAATATTATTACACGATTCCATAGGTTTAAAAAACTTTCACCTCAGGTTTTTTTTGTGTCTAATATTTATCTTAACCTAATGGTGTTTTAAAAAATTTATTTCTTATGATATTTACAAAGCTTTGTATATTCTATTGGCAATCTTTGTAACTTTACTCAATGCACTATACCTTCTTTCTTTTGATGATACTAAGAAATGATAAAATTTGTGTACATTGTCTTCCTCTCTGCTCCTCTGCCTCTCTTTACCATACAATATTGGTTAATTACATGCTTTTTATTAGTGTTCACCTTGGGAATACCACTGTCTATCTAATCTATGGATTTGTCCGTTGTTGTTGTTTTTTCCAGAGACAAGTCTCCCTCTGTTGCCCAGGCTGGAGTGTAGTGGCACAATCATAGCTCATTTAAGCCTTGATCTCTCAGGCTCACGCTATCCTCCCACTTCAGCCTCCTGAGTAGCTGGGACTGCCTACAGGTGCATGCTACCATGCTCAGGTAATTTTTATTTTTTATTTTTTTTTTGAGACAGAGTCTCACTGTCGCCCAGGCGGGAGTGCAATGGTGTGATCTCAGCTCACTGCAACTTCCACCTCCAGGATTCAAGTGATTCTCCTGCCTCAGCCTCCCGAGTAGCTGGGATTACAAGTGCCCACCACCACGCCCAGCTAAACGCTCAGCTAATTTTTTAAAAAAAATTTTAATAGAGACAGAGTCTCACTATGTTGCCCAGGCTGGTCTCAAACTCCTGAGCTCAAGGGATCCTCCTGCCTCGGCCTCCCAAAGTGTTGGGATTATAGGTGTGAGCCACCATGCCCGGCCAAAGATTCATCAGCTTTAAATGACATCCTTTGACTTTTAGCTATTTCTCTTTACAGTTCTATTGTTTTCACTTTATGTATTTTGAAACTGTTTACTCATTTAAGATTATCACATATTTTTGCTTAATTGATCTTTTTATTATTATATGATATCGCTCTTTATCCCTGGTGATAGTCCTTGTTCTGAAATCTTTTTCGCCAATATTACCATAGTCCTTCTGGCTTTTAAAAAAAAGTTGTTTTTCTTGTCTTTGTTTTACAGTGTATAATGTTTCTGTTTTCTCTGATTGCCTTAAGATACTTTTCTTTATCTTTGGTTTTCAGCAGTTTGACTATAATTTATCTAGTTTTTCTTGACTTCTGCATGGATTTTTCTGAGGTTCTTAGATTTCTGGTTTGTTGCATTATATTAATGTAACAAAATTCTTGGCTATTATTTCTCCAGCTTGTCTTCTGTCCTGTTCTTCCTCTATTCTTTTTCTGTGACTCCATTTACACATTTGTTAGACAATTGTATTATCCTGCAGCTTTTGGATTCTGTTTTGCCTTTATTTTTGTCTCTTTTTCTTTCGTTTCAATTTGAAAGCTTTCTATGACATATCTTCAAGGTTGTTGATTCTTTCCTTAGCTGTGTTCATTCTGCTGCTAAGGCTGTTGAAATAATTTTTTGTTTCTCTTTTGTAGTTTCCATCTTTTTGCTGACATTTTCTTTATGTTCGTGCATATTATCCATCTTTCCACTATATTACTTAACTTATTAATCATAAGCATTTTAATGTCTCTGTTTGGAAGTTGTAAAATCTGAGTTATTGCTGGTTCTGGTTCTGTTGATTGCTTTATAATTTGACATGAACTTCTTTTTCCTTATGCTTTTGGGGATGGGGCTGTCTCAGCTTTGCTGTTCCCCCTTCTCCAGAAGCCAAACTCTCATAAGAGCATTTCCTGCCGTGATACAAATGGGCACTACCCACTGCTTTGATCAGTGCAAGATCCTGGGCTGGAGTGGTTTTTTTTTTTGTTGGTACCCTGGGGCAGAATGCTCTAGTTTCTATTCCTCCTATGGAAGTAATGGACCTTTGCCTGGTCCCTGGGTGCAGGAGGATTTTCTGTCCCACTCCCAAAGGCTTGATGCTTTTGTTCCCTGAGACGGGTGAGTTTAGAGAAGAAGGTGGAGTTTTGTGTTGTGCTACCAATGAGGGCTCTGTCTGGTTTCCTTACCTACTCCTAGTTTTTCTTGTGGTTGGTGGAGATCAGTGAAAAAGAGCCTGTTAAAGATAGCTAAATCCCCTTGCATATGGGGTTCCCAGTTCTTTTAAAGCACTATAGTAGCCCACACTTAAGCTTACAAGTTTATTAAAGTTTTAGTTTTCTTTGTACCTGCTTTCACGCCAGCCAACTCTTCATCCTGTGCTCTGCCAAAGGTGAAATAGTATGTATGTCCCACATCTTCTTGTTGCTTGTTAGAATTCCATTTATTTGGCTACCTTATGACTGTAGCCTACTGATGGGCTCCACAAAATTATGACTTTGTAGATTACAAAGCTCTTTCTTATAGGTAGAGAGGAAGTACTGCTGTCTTGTGGCTTTCTATATCTTAATCAGTATTATAGGAATGGAAATGTAATATATGTAGTCTTCTGTGACTTTTTCTTGAGTAATTCATATGTGCTTGAAATTGAGTCATGTTGATTGAAGTATTGATAATTCATTCATTTTCACTGCTGTGTGTATGCGTGTGTGTGTGTGTGTGTGATCACATTTTACTTTTCCATTCTTTTCCATGTCTTCTAGTACTTTGCACTATTATGTATTCCCATCGTCTTCTATATTTTCAAGCTTTTCATATTGACTTCTTTGGCTAATAAATAAACTTGCTTAATTTCATCTCAAAAGAAAAGTTTACTTTATTCTTGACTTTTAGTTCACCTTTGGCTATTGCCATATCTGTCCTTATGCTTGCTTATTACTTATATTTCTTTTTTTTTGAATTTTACAACTTTTATTGTGGCATTTACAGTTTCTCATTGCTTTGCAAGAACTAATATAGGTTTCAGTTTATTGTCCTGCAAATACCTTAGAAGCATAATTTCCTGGGCTGTCATCTGTCTCTTTAGTTTGTATGTATTTTTCCCCTAAATCAGAGTTAAAATGATGTTTGGCCAAGAAATCTGTCAGATTTTCTAGTTCATACTGTGCTAAATGAAAGTTCATGCAAGGTAAGAATAGTATCATTAGTTATAAAAAGGTAAATAATTATAAAGCAAAGTATTATTATTACTAGAATTAAAATCAGGATAATATTCACTATCAGGAATTCATATGGAATAAGTTGTTTTGGATAGCTAGAATTTACATATGAAAACTTTAGTAACAAAATTTTTAATTTTATATTTTTAATTTTAATTTTTTTAGTAATACATCTTAATCATTTTGATGTTTATCTGAAGTATATTGTATATTTTCTTGCCTTTTTGTAAACAAAGGCAAGG